>NW_018654717.1:939070-1240651 GCF_000001405.40 Homo sapiens
TCAAGCCCTTGGATGTAGGGTAAAGAAAGAGAGATCAGACTGTCACTGGTGTCTATGTAGAAGGGAAGACATAAGAGACTCCATTTGGAAAAAGACCTGTAGTTTAAACAATTGCTTGCTGAGATGTTGATCATTTGTAGCTTTGCCGCAGCCCCTTCCTTTGACCAACTTGGAGCTCACAAAAACCTGTGTTGTATAAAATCGAGGTTTAAGGGATCTAGGGCTGTGCAGGACGCGCCTAGTTAACCAAATGTTTACGAGCAGTATACTTGGTAGAAGTCATTGCCATTCCCTAGTCTCAATAAACCAGGGGCGCAATGCACCGTGGAAAGCCACAGGGACCTCTGCCCTTGAAAGCAGGGTATTGTCCAAGGTTTCTCCCCATGTGACAGTCTGAAATATGGCCTCGTGGGATGGGAAAGTCCTGAATGTCCCCCAGCCTGACACCCGCAATGGGTCTGTGCTGAGGTGGATTAGTCAAAGAGGAACGCCTCTTGCAGTTCAGATGGAGGAAGGCCACTGTCTCCTGCTTGCCCCTGGGAACTGAATGTCTCGGTGTAAAGCCCGATCGTACATTTGTTCAACTCTGAGCTCGGAGAAAAGCTGCCCTGTGGCGGGAGGCGAGACATGTTGGCAGTAATGCTGCCTTGTTATTCTTTACTCCGCTGAGATATTTGTGTGGAGAGAAACATAAATCTGGCCTACGTGCACGTCCAGGCATAGTACCTTCCCTTGAACTTAATAATGATATGGATTCTTTTGCTCACGTGTTTGTTTTGTGTTGTTTTTGTTGACCTTCCCCTTATTATCACCCTGCTCCCCTACTGCATTCCTTTGTGCTGAAATAATGAAAATCACAATCAATAAAAACTGCGGGAACTCAGAGGCCGGTGCCGGTGCAGGTCCTAGGTGTGCTGAGTGCCGGTCCCCTGGACCCACTGTTGTCTCCCTATACTTTGTCTCTGTGTCTTATTTCTTTTCTCCGTCTCTCATCCCACCCGACTAGAAACACCCACAGGTGTGGAGGGGCAGGCCACCCCTTCACTTGGAAAATCAGTTACACACAAACACGGAATGAGAGTCAAAAGACAATATGTCATCTTCTTGAGAATTTTATTCACTTCAAAACACATTAAACACACATATGTACAAAGGCATTCCAGAGCCCAGTTTTCGAGGCTGAGGAAAGACCCCGAGAGCGCTTCGCACAGCACGCTTCCCAGCGTCCGAAACACTGCTCTCAGGGCGGGGCACAGCGGAAGGGCTGCACCTCTCAGGGTTCCCTAACTTTTCCCTTATTCAGTCATCTAGAGAGCAAATACACAGTAATTCCCCAGTTTCCTATTGACGTCCCAGCGGAAGTCTGACTCCTGCGCGTCACGCAGTTTCTGAGGCAACGAATCTCTGGCACGGAAGCTTTTCCTGGCGCGTTTCCGGAGAACCACGCCAACTACAACGTCCCTCACCAGAATTCAATGAGGCAGAGTCCCTGCATCTGCTCCCTGCCTGGCCTGGGCTCCCACATCCACAGAAGCGCCACAGCCGGGGAGCTTCGGAGTCACCGCACAGAGTGTGCTCTCTGCTCTGCGCTCCTCAGTCCCACAGTCCCCTCCAAGTCACGGGAGCCGGAGGCCAAGGAGCCCCTGCCACCTGCAGTCTCACTCCAGGTCAAAATCGCTGTCCTCTGAGGAGGAGGAAACCTGAAGGTCCTCATAGAGGACGCTCGGTGGGACACGAACACAGGGAGCCTCAGACTTCTCTGACACATGAGGGCTCTGAGCGAGGAAGGCTCCCGGCTTCTCAGGAGAGTGAAATGAGGGGGCCGCCAGGAGGCTGGAGCTCCAGCGTCCGTTTTCCAGTCTCCGGAAGAGCACTCTGAGAGGCTGGGCCCCATCATGGCTGGCCGCTGAGTGATGGGACATGGTGCAGGCCTGGGCAGTAGGCAGGCAAGGTGTGCTGTGCGGAGGCTGCCGGTCGACGCTGGGCACCTGGGCCGGTGTCCTCCTGCCCATCTGGGGCGACGTACTTGGTCCAAGTTCGGTTGCGGCTGGCGGAGGTTGGAGATTCTCCGGGGCCCCCAGCTCACCTCCCTGGATGGCGCTTTCGGGGATCTGGAAGGGACCCAGTCTCGGTTTCTTGGGGAAGTTCAGGCAAGCCTGAATCGGAGCCTGGGCAGGTCTCTTGGCTCCTGGCCCGAAGCTGAGATTGGAGCCTAGGCCCAAGCTGTGTGTGGCGGCTGGCGGGCAGGGCTGTGAGGTCACCGCAGGACGTTTGTCTTGTGCCTGGGGTCTGGCGGCCTGGAGCAGGCCGTGGGTTTTGGAGGCAGCCTGGGGAACTTCTCGGCAGCCACCCTCGGGGCGGCTGTGTGTCGGCTTCACCACGAGGAGAGGCTCGCGGCCCTGGTGCCTGACTGCAGGCTGAGGCATGTCGGCCGCAGCCCCTGTCTGTCTTTCCTTTGGTCCAAGACTTGAGGAGGAGCTCAGGCTGGCTTTTCTGAGGGGAGACAGTGAAGCCAAGACGGTGCCCCTGCCAGACATTGCGGTAGCTGAGCGATCAGCGAGGACAGGGTCCAAGCGCGGCCTCTTACTGGTTGTGTGGACCGGCATTGGCCCGCTTGCAACCTGAAAGAGAGGAAACAACACAGGTTAGAAGTTCCTCAGCATGGAGCCAACGTGAAAATCAAGCACATCCAAAGACAAGGTGCACACGCCATGAAATTCTTAGTACAGTATCGACAGGCGGTCCTTGGAAGTAGGGACAGACCCTCCACCTGAGTGCTGATCAGGACAAGACACATGAAAGATGCGCTCTCGAGCTATGTGTAGCTGATCTAAGCACACCATTGTTCAAAAGATCGCGTCTTGGGCATTAACTGGATCAAAGCGCCTCCACTCAGCCTTCCATGAAGTGGAACGGACTAATGCCCTTCCCAAGGCAGGTTGCTGGCTCAAGGGTACTCGGGACGTCTTCTCTGAACACATGCATGTTCCTGGGTTTCGCCTTCTCCACGTTTGGGGCCTCTGAGGGACTAATTTCCTCATGCCGCTAGGAACGTGTTGTTGGCAGGCTTGCCATAATTGGACAGAAAGAAAGCAACAGGAAATACGGCATGTTCAGATGCCTTCGCCTGGAATCCAATTGACCTGGAAGGATCGTGGAGTCCCTGACCCCAAGAAGGCAAGAAAGAGGGGTTCCCCGATTTCCTCCCGCAGACGGGAAGCTGAAAGGAAATCAACCAGGGTGACCTAGAGGAGAAAAAGACCAGGGGCCCGGGGTGACACTCGCCCTCAGATAATCAGAAGATTCCGTGGATCCTTTTCCATTCGGCAGCGGCTTCTCTGGAGGTTTCCCGGAAAACATGTGGAGGAGAGCCTTCCTCTGCGGGTCTTGTTGCCTGCAGAACAGAAGAAGGTCAGGCCGTGCCCCCTGGTTTTCCCCAGGAGACAGGGAGAACCCCGTCTGGGGCCCAGCCCCATTCCGTGTTTTGTGATACAGAAATGGACATCTGGTGCCCTTTCCGCCTCTGCACCTTCCCTCACGTGCCAACCTTCCCATCCTCCAGGTGGCCCTCTAGGCTTCCCAACTAAGGACTGTGATTTGGATTCCATCGCTTTTCCCGCTGTCGTGGGGAACCTGCACGAAGCGCCCCCGCCTCTCCCCGTCCCTGAATCTCCCAGAGCCCAAGGAGCTCCTGGGTGTGGAACCCCGGAGGACACGGAGCTCCGGCCTATTTCTCTGCAGCGTTCCTTCCCTGGCCCGGAGACGGAAAGGCACACGGTGTGCAGGTGCAGAGACACCATGTCCTTGGGAGGCCGTACCCTAAGAGTGGTGAAAACCCCTCCCACTGCTCACCTTGGTCTCTCTTCCTTCTCTCCCTTATCCTTGTTCAAGGGCCCCGGGTTGGCTTCACCCCGGGGCTTCCATGGTTTCAGGTTTTCCTTCCCTTCCTTTTTCCCCAAGGTCGCTGGAACCAGGGCTGCCTTCCAGCACTTCATGGGGCACCTGGTACTTCTGGCCGTGTGGCCAAAGGCCCCGCAGTTTTTGCACTTGAGCTGCGGGTGGAAAGGAAGTGATGTCAGTGAGTGAGCTGAAGCCACAGGCAGCGATCCCACGTCAACATTGGGACGGATTGTGAATTCAGAGCTGAATAAGGATTCCAAAGAGGGGACACCGGCATGGGGGCCGTTAAGTGCTGGGAGACTTCGGATACGATGTTCCCTCGCAAAGCCCATGTGACGGAGGAACTCTGAAAGGAAGGACTCAAGGTTCCAAGGGGCACCATGGTGAAGCCGATGTCAACAACGCAGCCAAACGTGGCTACACAGGACTCTAAGTAGAAAGGGAGGTTGCCCCCAAGAGTCTCTCAAGGGACCTATCGGGCCGGGGAGAAGGTCCCAAGCCACGCCCACCTTGGATGGGAAAAGCAACCTGGCTGGTGGTGACAGAACTCTTTGGAATCCAACCCAGTCTCTGAGGACCGTGGGACAGCCCCTCCCCCCGTCCCCACCCCCACCCCGATACCCAAGAGATCCAGGGCTACACTTACCCTGGGATCTTCTTCATCGGGCGGGGGAGCCCTTGGCCCAACTGGGGCCCTCCGCTGCTTCTGGAGGGTCTGGGCTCTCACCAGTCTCTTGGCCCAAGATTTGGGGTCCCGACGTGCCATCATCTTCGTCTCCTGGGGGTTTTATGACCGCCTTTTTCAGGGGTGGACTGTTGGGCCACCTGAAACACACACAAACACACACATGTCGATGGTTAAGCACGTTGGATATTCACACACCCACAGGAAGCCACCTGCTAACTCCCTGCCTGTGTGGTCATGAGGAGACCTCACCACCAGTCGGTCAAATCTGTAGAACACAATGTGCTGTGCGCATCCTCGGATATTGTGTGTTCCTCTGCCATGACTACCTAGTCCAAGAGTAAACCCCACCTGCCACAGGGCCCGTGGCCTAGGTATGGGGGGGTTGAGCTTTCAACCCCAAACAAACAACTGATTCTGGAGACTGGACTTAGGTCTCTCACGATTCACTCCGGTAGAAGACACGGTGATTCTATCTCCCTTGACGGACAGAATGATCGAAGACACAGGGCATGGCGTGTGCCACCCTTTGGCAGGTCTGCTTGAAGTCACGGATAAGGGATGCTTCCTGTGACAACTTGAATCGCTACTCTTGCCATTTCATTAGGCAACTTCCAAGCACAAATTCATACAGAGAAGTTACCTTCCTCTCTACCGCACTAGCAGGTGAGGATCTTTCCTGTTCTATCTTTTGGCTTTAGCTCCAGCCCCTCTTTATTTATTTTCCTGGTATTTTACGCACACCACACGAATTCATCTGAACAAACGGGGAAGAAGTGCCGTATCGTATCGACGTCTTACACGGCTGAAGGGCAAACCCCCCTTTTTTCCAAAGTCCTGTTTCCATTTACCCACCAATTCAGCATGCTGCAGTACATTTCTTTTCCCATTCCCATCTTGGTCTTCTCCCACACGTGGAGACGGATATGTTGTCTCGTTTTCTGTTCCAAGAATTACTAGTAACGAGAACACATCCTACCCCACCAGCAAGCCCCAGTGTGATCGGTTTCTTTCGGCCTCCTTTGTCTCTTCCTCCCCCACACCCCCCGCAAAAACCCCTCAGGGATTGCGTGAAACAAACAATTGTTCAGCGAAACCAACCTGAAATTACACGTCTACTTTCTTTCCCAGGCTGGCGCTGAGATGGGCAGGTGCTGCAGCAGCCCGGCTGGAAGCGATGCAGCATCCAGGACGACGGAGGAAGGGGCAGAGAGGGACCTCCGCTTTCCAGGCTGCCTTTTATACTGCCTCTGGTCACCTGACATGGAACGTACCCTAACCTAATCAGTTACCTGTACCTTAATTGCAATTAACTTAATCCAATTACATGACCTGGAAAGGTCTATCTGCACAGCCCACTCTAAGATCATGTCCACTGCTGACAGACATTCTAAAACCTACTTGTACAGCTGCAAGCTTTGAACAATAGATGTTCCCCGTCAGACATGTAACACTGGTGCCTGTACCCCTGTCTTCTTTTCCATCTTTTTTGTTGTTTTGTTTTGTTTTGTTTTAAAAAATGTGGTAAAATAGACACCTTTTAATTGGACCACATTTTGTCTATCTCGACGTAGGCCTCAGTGTCATCAAGGAGACTCTCCTTGACATGCAGTCACGGCCATGATCCATCTTCAGAGCTTCTCTTTCTTCCCCAAGGTAAGTCTGTCAGCAGAGAACCCTGACCGCACCCTCATGTGTTTTCTCCCCCAGGAGGCGCTTGGAAACAACCGTGAATTGGACCGCACTGGGAAACACAGATGAGGAAAGTCAACAACGCTTTGTCCTTCAGTGCCTGGCTCCTTTTTCAGCTCCTCTTGCGACTCCAGGCATTATGCCTGAAAAGTCTCCCGGACGCCTGTGAGGCTCTAATTCCCTGGGTCCCATTGCCATGTCTCTGGATTTGCGAAGATCCACCGCACCTTCTGTGGAACTCCCGTGTCGGTGAACTTTTGTGCCACGGCCCCTAATTCTGCCCATGGTCATCCGCACCTGCACGACTTAGGGTCCATGTTCCTTGGACGGGAAGAGACAGGCAGGAGTCGGAATGATGAACCAGCACACTGGGGCGTTTTCTCATGTAGCCCAAGTGACCCCATGGTCTTCTCGAGCTTTGGAACCAGTCGCGTCCCCTTTGACACTGCACCCGGCTCCCAGTCACTCAATCTTGTTGGCCCTCCGGCGATCTCCCGTTGGATGAATTGCTCCTGCTGAAACTCGAGTCCCCTTTGATTTGCGCTTCATTAATTATTCATGATTCAGGTTGGAAGGCCTGCTGACGACCCCCTGTGGCCGTTCTCTGAGCTTTCCTGTCACATCGTTTCCTTCCACGCTCTTTGGTTCCTTACGGTCCTGCTCCTTCTGCTGTCAGAGGAGCAGAGAGTTGATCTTATTCATTCTGGATACGGATACTTTCTAGGTGATCTGGATAATCAAGATAACGACCCTCAACAGCGGCGGAGAGGGAGCAGCCAGTTGGTGTGTCTCAGAAAATCCCGCTGAGTTCCGAGGCCTCCTAGATGTGGAATCCTGCTGAGAGTTGTTCCCAGGTCAGAGAATGGAGAGAGCCTGTGCATGATGGAATATCCCCGCCTAGATCTTTCAGTGAGTCTCTGCCTCAGCTACTCTTAGGATCAGGGGGAGAACCATGGTGTCAGACATCCGGAAAGAAGACGGGATGAATGTTTTACCTCTGAAGTACATCCCAAATGTGGGAGTTAACTTCAGCTTTGCTGGGGTCTATTTGGCCAGTGAAACTCTGCCTGGTTCCTTCGCACATCCGGAAGCCACTTCACGGGGGGCCGTCGCAACTGGAACCACACACTTGGCATCGGCGGTTGAGCCAAATGGGGACTCGTGGTGCAAGCAACGCTCCCCACGTGTTAGCGTGCGTGAGATTCGGTTGGCAGAATTTTACTAGGTGCGTGTTGGTAGAGTGGGGCTGAGGTGTTCTTGCTCCTGTGGATGTATAGGAAGTCAAAGGTCCTGCCCAGCCCTGCGGTCCCCTCAGTCAACTCTGTTTCGGAGACGTAACGATTTGGATTGCCAACAAGTCAAGAAATGTTCAAGCCCTTGGATGTAGGGTAAAGAAAGAGAGATCAGACTGTCACTGTGTCTATGTAGAAGGGGAAGACATAAGAGACTCCATTTTGAAAAAGACCTGTACTTTAAACAATTGCTTTGCTGAGATGTTGTTCATTTGTTGCCTTGCCGCAGCCCCTTCCTTTGACCCAACTTGGAGCTCACAAAAACCTGTGTTGTATAAAATCGAGGTTTAAGGGATCTAGGGCTGTGCAGGACGCGCCTAGTTAACCAAATGTTTACGAGCAGTATACTTGGTAGAAGTCATTGCCATTCTCTAGTCTCAATAAACCAGGGGCGCAATGCACCGTGGAAAGCCACAGGGACCTCTGCCCTTGATAGCAGGGTATTGTCCAAGGTTTCTCCCCATGTGACAGTCTGAAATATGGCCTCGTGGGATGGGAAAGTCCTGAATGTCCCCCAGCCTGACACCCGCAATGGGTCTGTGCTGAGGTGGATTAGTCAAAGAGGAACGCCTCTTGCAGTTCAGATGGAGGAAGGCCACTGTCTCCTGCTTGCCCCTGGGAACTGAATGTCTCGGTGTAAAGCCCGATCGTACATTTGTTCAACTCTGAGCTCGGAGAAAAGCTGCCCTGTGGCGGGAGGCGAGACATGTTGGCAGTAATGCTGCCTTGTTATTCTTTACTCCGCTGAGATATTTGTGTGGAGAGAAACATAAATCTGGCCTACGTGCACGTCCAGGCATAGTACCTTCCCTTGAACTTAATAATGATATGGATTCTTTTGCTCACGTGTTTGTTTTGTGTTGTTTTTGTTGACCTTCCCCTTATTATCACCCTGCTCCCCTACTGCATTCCTTTGTGCTGAAATAATGAAAATCATAATCAATAAAAACTGCGGGAACTCAGAGGCCGGTGCCGGTGCAGGTCCTAGGTGTGCTGAGTGCCGGTCCCCTGGACCCACTGTTGTCTCCCTATACTTTGTCTCTGTGTCTTATTTCTTTTCTCCGTCTCTCATCCCACCCGACTAGAAACACCCACAGGTGTGGAGGGGCAGGCCACCCCTTCACTTGGAAAATCAGTTACACACAAACACGGAATGAGAGTCAAAAGACAATATGTCATCTTTTTGAGAATTTTATTCACTTCAAAACCAATGAAACACACATATGTACAAAGGCATTCCAGAGCCCAGTTTTCGAGGCTGAGGAAAGACCCCGAGAGCGCTTCGCACAGCACGCTTCCCAGCGTCCGAAACACTGCTCTCAGGGCGGGGCACAGCGGAAGGGCTGCACCTCTCAGGGTTCCCTAACTTTTCCCTTATTCAGTCATCTAGAGAGGAAATACACAGTAATTCCCCAGTTTCCTATTGACGTCCCAGCGGAAGTCTGACTCCTGCGCGTCACGCAGTTTCTGAGGCAACGAATCTCTGGCACGGAAGCTTTTCCTGGCGCGTTTCCGGAGAACCACGCCAACTACAACGTCCCTCACCAGAATTCAATGAGGCAGAGTCCCTGCATCTGCTCCCTGCCTGGCCTGGGCTCCCACATCCACAGAAGCGCCACAGCCGGGGAGCTTCGGAGTCACCGCACAGAGTGTGCTCTCTGCTCTGCGCTCCTCAGTCCCACAGTCCCCTCCAAGTCACGGGAGCCGGAGGCCAAGGAGCCCCTGCCACCTGCAGTCTCACTCCAGGTCAAAATCGCTGTCCTCTGAGGAGGAGGAAACCTGAAGGTCCTCATAGAGGACGCTCGGTGGGACACGAACACAGGGAGCCTCAGACTTCTCTGACACATGAGGGCCCTGAGCGAGGAAGGCTCCCGGCTTCTCAGGAGAGTGAAATGAGGGGGCCGCCAGGAGGCTGGAGCTCCAGCGTCCGTTTTCCAGTCTCCGGAAGAGCACTCTGAGAGGCTGGGCCCCATCATGGCTGGCCGCTGAGTGATGGGACATGGTGCAGGCCTGGGCAGTAGGCAGGCAAGGTCTGCTGTGCGGAGGCTGCCGGTCGACGCTGGGCACCTGGGCCGGTGTCCTCCTGCCCATCTGGGGCGACGTACTTGGTCCAAGTTCGGTTGCGGCTGGCGGAGGTTGGAGATTCTCCGGGGCCCCCAGCTCACCTCCCTGGATGGCGCTTTCGGGGATCTGGAAGGGACCCAGTCTCGGTTTCTTGGGGAAGTTCAGGCAAGCCTGAATCGGAGCCTGGGCAGGTCTCTTGGCTCCTGGCCCGAAGCTGAGATTGGAGCCTAGGCCCAAGCTGTGTGTGGCGGCTGGCGGGCAGGGCTGTGAGGTCACCGCAGGACGTTTGTCTTGTGCCTGGGGTCTGGCGGCCTGGAGCAGGCCGTGGGTTTTGGAGGCAGCCTGGGGAACTTCTCGGCAGCCACCCTCGGGGCGGCTGTGTGTCGGCTTCACCACGAGGAGAGGCTCGCGGCCCTGGTGCCTGACTGCAGGCTGAGGCATGTCGGCCGCAGCCCCTGTCTGTCTTTCCTTTGGTCCAAGACTTGAGGAGGAGCTCAGGCTGGCTTTTCTGAGGGGAGACAGTGAAGCCAAGACGGAGCCCCTGCCAGACATTGCGGTAGCTGAGCGATCAGCGAGGACAGGGTCCAAGCGCGGCCTCTTACTGGTTGTGTGGACCGGCATTGGCCCGCTTGCAACCTGAAAGAGAGGAAACAACACAGGTTAGAAGTTCCTCAGCATGGAGCCAACGTGAAAATCAAGCACATCCAAAGACAAGGTGCACACGCCATGAAATTCTTAGTACAGTATCGACAGGCGGTCCTTGGAAGTAGGGACAGACCCTCCACCTGAGTGCTGATCAGGACAAGACACATGAAAGATGCGCTCTCGAGCTATGTGTAGCTGATCTAAGCACACCATTGTTCAAAAGATCGCGTCTTGGGCATTAACTGGATCAAAGCGCCTCCACTCAGCCTTCCATGAAGTGGAACGGACTAATGCCCTTCCCGAGGCAGGTTGCTGGCTCAAGGGTACTCGGGACGTCTTCTCTGAACACATGCATGTTCCTGGGTTTCGCCTTCTCCACGTTTGGGGCCTCTGAGGGACTAATTTCCTCATGCCGCTAGGAACGTGTTGTTGGCAGGCTTGCCATAATTGGACAGAAAGAAAGCAACAGGAAATACGGCATGTTCAGATGCCTTCGCCTGGAATCCAATTGACCTGGAAGGATCGTGGAGTCCCTGACCCCAAGAAGGCAAGAAAGAGGGGTTCCCCGATTTCCTCCCGCAGACGGGAAGCTGAAAGGAAATCAACCAGGGTGACCTAGAGGAGAAAAAGACCAGGGGCCCGGGGTGACACTCGCCCTCAGATAATCAGAAGATTCCGTGGATCCTTTTCCATTCGGCAGCGGCTTCTCTGGAGGTTTCCCGGAAAACATGTGGAGGAGAGCCTTCCTCTGCGGGTCTTGTTGCCTGCAGAACAGAAGAAGGTCAGGCCGTGCCCCCTGGTTTTCCCCAGGAGACAGGGAGAACCCCGTCTGGGGCCCAGCCCCATTCCGTGTTTTGTGATACAGAAATGGACATCTGGTGCCCTTTCCGCCTCTGCACCTTCCCTCACGTGCCAACCTTCCCATCCTCCAGGTGGCCCTCTAGGCTTCCCAACTAAGGACTGTGATTTGGATTCCATCGCTTTTCCCGCTGTCGTGGGGAACCTGCACGAAGCGCCCCCGCCTCTCCCCGTCCCTGAATCTCCCAGAGCCCAAGGAGCTCCTGGGTGTGGAACCCCGGAGGACACGGAGCTCCGGCCTATTTCTCTGCAGCGTTCCTTCCCTGGCCCGGAGACGGAAAGGCACACGGTGTGCAGGTGCAGAGACACCATGTCCTTGGGAGGCCGTACCCTAAGAGTGGTGAAAACCCCTCCCACTGCTCACCTTGGTCTCTCTTCCTTCTCTCCCTTATCCTTGTTCAAGGGCCCCGGGTTGGCTTCACCCCGGGGCTTCCATGGTTTCAGGTTTTCCTTCCCTTCCTTTTTCCCCAAGGTCGCTGGAACCAGGGCTGCCTTCCAGCACTTCATGGGGCACCTGGTACTTCTGGCCGTGTGGCCAAAGGCCCCGCAGTTTTTGCACTTGAGCTGCGGGTGGAAAGGAAGTGATGTCAGTGAGTGAGCTGAAGCCACAGGCAGCGATCCCACGTCAACATTGGGACGGATTGTGAATTCAGAGCTGAATAAGGATTCCAAAGAGGGGACACCGGCATGGGGGCCGTTAAGTGCTGGGAGACTTCGGATACGATGTTCCCTCGCAAAGCCCATGTGACGGAGGAACTCTGAAAGGAAGGACTCAAGGTTCCAAGGGGCACCATGGTGAAGCCGATGTCAACAACGCAGCCAAACGTGGCTACACAGGACTCTAAGTAGAAAGGGAGGTTGCCCCCAAGAGTCTCTCAAGGGACCTATCGGGCCGGGGAGAAGGTCCCAAGCCACGCCCACCTTGGATGGGAAAAGCAACCTGGCTGGTGGTGACAGAACTCTTTGGAATCCAACCCAGTCTCTGAGGACCGTGGGACACCCCCTCCCCCCGTCCCCACCCCCACCCCGATACCCAAGAGATCCAGGGCTACACTTACCCTGGGATCTTCTTCATCGGGCGGGGGAGCCCTTGGCCCAACTGGGGCCCTCCGCTGCTTCTGGAGGGTCTGGGCTCTCACCAGTCTCTTGGCCCAAGATTTGGGGTCCCGACGTGCCATCATCTTCGTCTCCTGGGGGTTTTATGACCGCCTTTTTCAGGGGTGGACTGTTGGGCCACCTGAAACACACACAAACACACACATGTCGATGGTTAAGCACGTTGGATATTCACACACCCACAGGAAGCCACCTGCTAACTCCCTGCCTGTGTGGTCATGAGGAGACCTCACCACCAGTCGGTCAAATCTGTAGAACACAATGTGCTGTGCGCATCCTCGGATATTGTGTGTTCCTCTGCCATGACTACCTAGTCCAAGAGTAAACCCCACCTGCCACAGGGCCCGTGGACTAGGTATGGGGGGGTTGAGCTTTCAACCCCAAACAAACAACTGATTCTGGAGACTGGACTTAGGTCTCTCACGATTCACTCCGGTAGAAGACACGGTGATTCTATCTCCCTTGACGGACAGAATGATCGAAGACACAGGGCATGGCGTGTGCCACCCTTTGGCAGGTCTGCTTGAAGTCACGGATAAGGGATGCTTCCTGTGACAACTTGAATCGCTACTCTTGCCATTTCATTAGGCAACTTCCAAGCACAAATTCATACAGAGAAGTTACCTTCCTCTCTACCGCACTAGCAGGTGAGGATCTTTCCTGTTCTATCTTTTGGCTTTAGCTCCAGCCCCTCTTTATTTATTTTCCTGGTATTTTACGCACACCACACGAATTCATCTGAACAAACGGGGAAGAAGTGCCGTATCGTATCGACGTCTTACACGGCTGAAGGGCAAACCCCCCTTTTTTCCAAAGTCCTGTTTCCATTTACCCACCAATTCAGCATGCTGCAGTACATTTCTTTTCCCATTCCCATCTTGGTCTTCTCCCACACGTGGAGACGGATATGTTTTCTCGTTTTCTGTTCCAAGAATTACTAGTAACGAGAACACATCCTACCCCACCAGCAAGCCCCAGTGTGATCGGTTTCTTTCGGCCTCCTTTGTCTCTTCCTCCCCCACACCCCCCGCAAAAACCCCTCAGGGATTGCGTGAAACAAACAATTGTTCAGCGAAACCAACCTGAAATTACACGTCTACTTTCTTTCCCAGGCTGGCGCTGAGATGGGCAGGTGCTGCAGCAGCCCGGCTGGAAGCGATGCAGCATCCAGGACGACGGAGGAAGGGGCAGAGAGGGACCTCCGCTTTCCAGGCTGCCTTTTATACTGCCTCTGGTCACCTGACATGGAACGTACCCTAACCTAATCAGTTACCTGTACCTTAATTGCAATTAACTTAATCCAATTACATGACCTGGAAAGGTCTATCTGCACAGCCCACTCTAAGATCATGTCCACTGCTGACAGACATTCTAAAACCTACTTGTACAGCTGCAAGCTTTGAACAATAGATGTTCCCCGTCAGACATGTAACACTGGTGCCTGTACCCCTGTCTTCTTTTCCATCTTTTTTGTTGTTTTGTTTTGTTTTGTTTTAAAAAATGTGGTAAAATAGACACCTTTTAATTGGACCACATTTTGTCTATCTCGACGTAGGCCTCAGTGTCATCAAGGAGACTCTCCTTGACATGCAGTCACGGCCATGATCCATCTTCAGAGCTTCTCTTTCTTCCCCAAGGTAAGTCTGTCAGCAGAGAACCCTGACCGCACCCTCATGTGTTTTCTCCCCCAGGAGGCGCTTGGAAACAACCGTGAATTGGACCGCACTGGGAAACACAGATGAGGAAAGTCAACAACGCTTTGTCCTTCAGTGCCTGGCTCCTTTTTCAGCTCCTCTTGCGACTCCAGGCATTATGCCTGAAAAGTCTCCCGGACGCCTGTGAGGCTGTAATTCCCTGGGTCCCATTGCCATGTCTCTGGATTTGCGAAGATCCACCGCACCTTCTGTGGAACTCCCGTGTCGGTGAACTTTTGTGCCACGGCCCCTAATTCTGCCCATGGTCATCCGCACCTGCACGACTTAGGGTCCATGTTCCTTGGACGGGAAGAGACAGGCAGGAGTCGGAATGATGAACCAGCACACTGGGGCGTTTTCTCATGTAGCCCAAGGGACCCCATGGTCTTCTCGAGCTTTGGAACCAGTCGCGTCCCCTTTGACACTGCACCCGGCTCCCAGTCACTCAATCTTGTTGGCCCTCCGGCGATCTCCCGTTGGATGAATTGCTCCTGCTGAAACTCGAGTCCCCTTTGATTTGCGCTTCATTAATTATTCATGATTCAGGTTGGAAGGCCTGCTGACGACCCCCTGTGGCCGTTCTCTGAGCTTTCCTGTCACATCGTTTCCTTCCACGCTCTTTGGTTCCTTACGGTCCTGCTCCTTCTGCTGTCAGAGGAGCAGAGAGTTGATCTTATTCATTCTGGATACGGATACTTTCTAGGTGATCTGGATAATCAAGATAACGACCCTCAACAGCGGCGGAGAGGGAGCAGCCAGTTGGTGTGTCTCAGAAAATCCCGCTGAGTTCCGAGGCCTCCTAGATGTGAAATCCTGCTGAGAGTTGTTCCCAGGTCAGAGAATGGAGAGAGCCTGTGCATGATGGGATATCCCCGCCTAGATCTTTCAGTGAGTCTCTGCCTCAGCTACTCTTAGGATCAGGGGGAGAACCATGGTGTCAGACATCCGGAAAGAAGACGGGATGAATGTTTTACCTCTGAAGTACATCCCAAATGTGGGAGTTAACTTCAGCTTTGCTGGGGTCTATTTGGCCAGTGAAACTCTGCCTGGTTCATTCGCACATCCGGAAGCCACTTCACGGGGGGCCGTCGCAACTGGAACCACACACTTGGCATCGGCGGTTGAGCCAAATGGGGACTCGTGGTGCAAGCAACGCTCCCCACGTGTTAGCGTGCGTGAGATTCGGATGGCGGAATTTTACTAGGTGCGTGTTGGTAGAGTGGGGCTGAGGTTTTCTTGCTCCTGTGGATGTATAGGAAGTCAAAGGTCCTGCCCAGCCCTGCGGTCCCCTCAGTCAACTCTGTTTCGGAGACGTAACGATTTGGATTGCCAACAAGTCAAGAAATGTTCAAGCCCTTGGATGTAGGGTAAAGAAAGAGAGATCAGACTGTCACTGTGTCTATGTAGAAGGGGAAGACATAAGAGACTCCATTTTGAAAAAGACCTGTAGTTTAAACTATTGCTTTGCTGATATGTTGTTCATTTGTTGCCTTGCCTCATCCACTTTGCCCCAGCCCCTTTGACCCAACTTGGAGCTCAGAAAACCTGTGTTGTATAAAATCGAGGTTTAAGGGATCTAGGGCTGTGCAGGACGTGCTTTGTTAACCAAATGTTTGCGAGCAGTATACTTGGTAAAAGTCATTGCCATTCTCTAGTTTCAATAAACCAGGGGCACTATGCACCGTCGAAAGCCGCAGCGACCTCTGCCCTTGAAAGCAGGTTATTGTCCAAGGTTTCTCCCCATGTAACAGTCTGAAATATGGCCCCGTGGGATGTTAAAGACCTGACTGGCCCCCAGCCTGAGACCCGTAAAGGGTCTGTGTCGAGGTGGATTAGTCAAAGAGGAAAGCCTCTTGCAATTTAGATGGAGGACAGCCGCTGTCTCCCGCAGCCCCTCTTGCCTCCCTGGCTCTTAGGACCCCCATCGCAGGGTGTGAGGCACTCCCCCCGTTTCGGGTTGTAAGAGCCAAACCCTCTTGCCCCCCTGGCTCTTAGTTTCCCCCATCTCAGCTGGGTGAGTCACGTCCTGCTATGCTTGGGGTAAGAGCCAGCCCCTCTTGCCCCCCTGGCTCTCAGGACCCCCATCGCAGTGGTGTGAGGCACGCCCCTTGATGCGGGTATTAAGAGCCTTCCCATCTTACCTCCTGGCTCTTAGGACCCCCATCGCAGGGGGTGAGGCACGCCCCGCCATGCGCAGAGTAAGAGCTAACCCCTCTTGCCCCCCTGGTTTTTAGGATCCGCGGTGGACTCACAGCCTGTTTATCATATTGTGAGTAATATCGTCTCCCGCTCTGGAGATTGTGAACTGTTTCACCCACCGGTGTTCACCCCGGCGTACAGAGGTTGTACACCCGTCTGTATTGGGAGTCATATCATCCTCTTCCTCTCTGAATATTAAGAACAGTATCACAGGGGTGTTTCTACTCCCTGGGATATCGCGTGTCATATCCTCCTCTCCCACGTTGCAATTAGAAACAATATCAGTGGGGGCGTGTCCACCTTCTGTGATACTGAAAGTAATATCATCCTCTTCCCTCCAGGATCGTGGGAACAATATCCTTGGGGGTGTCCACTTTCTGCCATATGTGTAGTCATATCACCCCCTCCGCCTTGGAATATTATTAAGAACCATGTCACACGGGGGTGTACACTTCCTACGATGTTGGGAGTAATAGCATTCTCTTCTTCCATGAATATTAGGAACAAAATCACCGGGTGGATGCACACCCAGTGCTATATTGGGAGTAATGTCATACTCCACCCCCTGGAGATTATATTCGGATCAATATCACCGGCTGGGTGTGCACCTGCTGCGATATTGAACGTAATATCATGCTCTCTCACTCCCTGAACATTAGGAACAATATCACAGGTGAGTGTACACCCACTGAGGTATTAGGGCATACTATTAGTATGAATTATTCCTTGTTTTTTATTAACATGAATATGAATGGCCGATATTAATATTAATATTAAGAAGTAATTGCTAATAAAAAGTTCTCAGATTATTAATATTAATATTAATTATTAGGAGCTAATATTACTATTTTCTAATGAATAAGATCCGTATCAGTTATTAATATCAGGCGTCATAATCATTAATATTAATCATGTATTGTTATTGTTAGTATAACTATTTAATATTAATTATCATTAGTATCGGTATTGATTTTAAAAATTATATTATGGGTTATTAATATTGATAATTATTAGTGTCAGTTAATAATTGAGATTATTAATTGCGGTAAGTCGCATTGCGCCATTCCACCCCTTCCTCGGCAGCTCGTTTACGACCCAAAACGGGGACACAAATGCCCCTGAGAGAGCAGCGGTATACTGGGATAGATGAAAATGCTCATGTAGTGGAGAGACGTGTTTTTGGGTACCAGCCCTTCACCTGCGTCGACCTTCTCAACTGGAAAAACAATACATCGCCCTATACCGAAAAGCCACAAGCCCTAATTGATTTGCTCCAAACTGTTATCCAGACCCACAACCACACCTGGACCGATTGGCACCAGTTGCTCATTTTCCTCTTTAACAGTGAAGAAAGGCAGAGAGTCCTCCAAGCAGCAACTAAGTGGCTAGAGGAACATGCACCAGCTGATTATCAAAACCCCCAATAGTATGGAAGGACCCAGTTGCCAGGAACCGACCCCCAGTTGGACCCACATGAAAGAGAGGAGATGCAAAGGCTAAACCGAGACAGGGAAGCTCTCTTGGAAGGATTAATGAGGGGAGCTCAGAAGGCCACAAACGTTAACAAGCTCTCTGAGGTCATTCAGGGAAAAGAAGAAAGTCCAGCACAATTCTACGAGAGACTGTATGAGGCCTATCATATGTATACTCCCTTTGATCCCGATAGCCCTGAAAATCAGCGCATGATTCACATGGCTTTAGTCCATCAAAGTGCAGAAGACATGAGAAGAAAACTGCAGAAACAGACTGGGCTTGCAGGGAAGAATCCATCCCAATTACTAGAAATAGCTAGCCAGGTGTTTGTAAACAGGTATGCAGTAAGCCGTAAGGAAAACGGCAAAGAGAATGGAGGTCAGGCCCGGCCACACGCCGACCTGTTTGTCAGCTGCAGCAATCAGAGGGGCCCCCGCAAAGAGGCAAGGGAAAGGGGGCCCTGGGAAAGAAACTCAGCTTGGCTGTCAGAGTTTGCAGCGTAACCAGTGTGCTGATTGTAAAGAAATAGGACAGTGGAAGAACAAATGCCCTCAGCTCAAAAGAAAAGAAGGTGACTCAGAGCCGGAGGCCCCGGACAAGGAGGAAGGGGCCCTGCTCAACCTGGCAGAAGGGTTCTTGGACTGAGGGAGACCGGGCTCAAGCATCCCCATTCTGACATCTGTTCAGAATGACAGTCAGGGGTGGAGACATTAACTTTCTTGTAGATAGCGGTGCTGAACATTCGCTAGTAACCGCCCCGGTCGTCCCCTTACCGAAAAAGACTACTGACGTCATCGGAGCCACGGGGGTTTCAGCAAAGCAAGCTTTCTGCTTGCCTTGGACTTGTCCTGTAGGAGGACATAAAGTCATTCATCAGTTTTGTTACATGCCTGACAGTCTCTGGAACTTTTCAGGAAGGGACTTGCTCAGCAAGCTGAGAGCCACTGCCTCTTTCACAGAGCACGGCTCTTTGCTGCTAAAGTTACCCGGAATGGGAGTCATTATGACGCTTATGGTCCCCCGAGAGGAGGAATGGAGACTTTTCTGAACTGACCCGGGCAAAGAGAAAAGACCAGCTCTGGCTAAGCGCTGGCCAAGAGTTCGGGCAGAAGAGAACCCTCCAGGATTGGCCAGTTAAGACTGGGGCCCAGCCGGTGAGGCAAAAACAGGACTCGGTCCCCAGAGAAGCCCTTCAAGGTATCCAGGTCCATCTCAAGCACCTAAGAACGTTTGGAATGATTGTTCCTTGTCAGTCTCCATGGAACACTCCCCTCCTGCCTGTTCCCAAGCCACGGACCAAGGACTACCGGCCGGTACAGGATTTGCGCTTGCTTCATCAAGCCACACTGACTTTACATCCAACAGTACCTAACCCGTCCACATTGTTGGGGTTGCCGCCAGCTGAGGACAGCTGGTTCACCTGCTTGGACCTAAAAGACGCTTTCCTTCCTATCAGATTAGCCCCTGAGAGGCAGAAGCTGTTTGCCTTTCAGTGGGAAGATCCGGAGTCAGGTGTCACTACTTAGTACACTTGGACCGGGCTTCCCCAAAGGTTCAAGAACTCCCCCACCATCTTCGGGGAGGCATGGGCTCGAGACCTCCAGAAGTTTCCTAGCAGAGACCTAGGCTGCTTGTTGCTCCAGTAGGTTGATGACCTTCTGCTGGGACACCCCACGGCAGTCGGGTGTGCCAAGGGAACAGATGCCCTACACCGCACCTGGAGGACTGTGGGTAGAAGGTGTCCAAGAAGAAAGCTCAGATCTGCCGACAGCAGGTACGTTACTTGGGATTTACTATCCGACAGGGGTCGGAACGCAGCCCGAGATCAGAAAGAAAGCAGGTCATTTGCCATCTAGCGGAGCCTAAGAGCAGAAGGCAGGTGAGAGAATTCTTAGGAGCTGTGGGGTTTTGTAGACTGTGGATCCCAAACTTTGCAGTATTAGCCAAGTTTTTGTATGAGGTCACAAGGGGGGCGGGGACGGGGAATCTTTGGAATGCGGATCCCAACAACAGCAAGTATTTCATGAGTTAAAGGAAAAACTTCTGGCAGCACCAGCCCTGAGGCTACCCGATCTGACAAAGCCTTTTCCATTGTATGCATCAGAGAGAGAAAGGATGGCAGCTGGACTTTGAACCCAAACTGTGGGGCCCTGGCTGAGGCTGGTGGCCTACCTCTGTAAACCACTAGACGGGGTTTCTAAAGGATGGCCCCCCTGTTGGAGGGCCTTGGCAGCAACTGCCCTGCTAGTATAAGAAGCAAATAAGCTGACTCTTGGGCGAAACCTGAACATAAAGGCCTCCCGTGCTGTGGTGATGAATACTAAAGGACGTCATTGGCTAACGAATGCCAGGCTCACCAAGTACCAAACTTTGGTCTGTGAAAATCCCCGTATAACCATTGAAGTTTGTAACACCCTACACCCCGCCACCTTGCTGCCGGTATCAGGGAGCCCTGTCGAGCCTGATTGTGTAGAAGTGTTGGACTCAATTGACTCTAGCAGACCTGAGCTCCGGGACCAGACTTGGGCATCAGTAGACTGGGAACCACACGTGGATGGGAGCAGCTTCTTCAACCCCCAAGGAGAGAGAGGTGCAGGGTATGCAGTGATAACTCTGGACACTGTTGTTGAAACCAGGTCGTTGCCCCAGGCCACTTCAGCCCAGAAAGCTGAACTCAATGCTTTCATTTGGGCCTTAGAACTCAGTGAGGGTGAGACTGTCAACACTTACACTGATTCTCGGTATGTCTTTTTAACCCTTCAAGTGCATGGAGTGTGATAGAAAGAAAAGGGCCTATTGAATTCTGGGGGGAAAGACAGAAAATATCCACAAGAAATCTTGCAATGATTAGAAGCAGTATGGAAACCCCACAAGGTGGCAGTTAGGCATTGCAGAGGACACCAGCGAGCTTCCACCTTGCTGTGTTTGGGGAATTCCCGCGCTGAGTCAGAGGCTCGAAAAGCAGCAACTGCCCCCTTCTGGGCATCAGTGCTCCCTCAAGCACCTGATCTTGGACCTGCTTCTTCTAAAGAAGAAAGGACTTTCTCCAGGTAGAGGGAAGGACAAGTGATGGAGGAAGGATGGATTCAGTTACCAGATGGGAGAGTAGCTGTGCCACAGCTGCTAGGAGCTGCAGTTGTACTGGCTGTGCAAGAAAACACCCATCGAGGTCAGGAGTCACTGGAAAAGTTGTTAGGCCGGTATTTCTACATCTCGCCTTTGTCAACCCTTGCCAAAACGGTGAGGCAGCGGTGTGTTACCTGCTGACAGCATGATGGGAGTCAAGGTCCAGCCGTTCCGCCCGGCATACGAGCTTGTGGAGCAGCCCCCTTTGAAGGTCTCCAGGTGGACTTCACAGAGATGCCAAAGTGTGGAGGTAACAAGCATGTACTGGTTCTTGGGCGTACCTATTCTGGGTGGGTGGAGGCCTATCCAACACGAACTGAGAAAGCTGGTGAAGTAACCCCTGTGCTTCTTCGAGATGTGATTCCTAGATTTCAACCGCCCTTATGGATCGGCTCAGACAACGGGCCTGCGTTTTTGGCTGCCTTGGTACAGAAAACGGCAAAGGTATTGGGGATCACACGGAAACTACATGCCGCCTCCCGGCCTCAGAGTTCCGGAAAGGTGGAGAGGATGAATCGGACTATCAAAAATAGTACTACTGTCTTCCCCGCTGGATATTTAAAACAACAGCACAAGGGGCGTCAAACCACCTGCTAAATTGGAGGCAATGTTATCCTCTCCCCTCCTCCCCCGGCCCCGGATATTAGAGACAACAACACAGGGGTGATGTACACCCACTGCTTTATTGTGAGTAATATCATCCTCTCCCTTCTTGGATAGTAGGAACAGTATCACACTGTGCGTGTAGGCCTGTCGCGAAATTCAATGGAATGTCATCCTGCGCCTCCCTGGATATGACGAACAATATCACGGGGGATGTACAACTTCTGAGATATTGGGAGTGATGTCATCCTCTCCCCTCTGGAAGTTAGGGACAATATCACAGGGGTAGTGTACACCCTCTGGGATGTTGGGACTAATATCTCACAGATGTCTGAGAATTCCTCCTCCTGGGACTCTCAGAGGATCCACAACTGCAGCCGGTCCTCGCTTTGCTGTCCCTGTCCCTGTCCATGTATCTGGTCACGGTGCTGAGGAACCTGCTCAGCATCCTGGCTGTCAGCTCTGACTCCCCCCTCCACACCCCCATGTACTTCTTCCTCTCCAACCTGTGCTGGCCTGACATCGGTTTCACCTCGGCCATGGTTCCCAAGATGATTGTGGACACGCAGTCGCATAGCAGAGTCATCTCTCATGCGGGCTGCCTGACACAGATGTCTTTCCTGCTCCTTGTTGCATGTATAGAAGGCATGCTCCTGACTGTGATGGCCTATGACTGCTTTGTAGCCATCTGTCGCCCTCTGCACTACCCAGTCATCGTGAATCCTCACCTCTGTGTCTTCTTCGTTTTGGTGTCCTTTTTCCTTAGCCTGTTGGATTCCCAGCTGCACAGTTGGATTGTGTTACAATTAACCATCATCAAGAATGTGGAAATCTCTAATTTGGTCTGTGACCCCTCTCAACTTCTCAAACTTGCCTGTTCTGACAGCGTCATCAATAACATATTCATATATTTCGATAGTACTATGTTTGGTTTTCTTCCCATTTCAGGGATCTTTTTGTCTTACTATAAAATTGTCCCCTCCATTCTAAGGATTTCATCGTCAGATGGGAAGTATAAAGCCTTCTCCACCTGTGGCTGTCATCTAGCAGTTGTTTGCTGGTTTTATGGAACAGGCATTGGCTTGTACCTGACTTCAGCTGGGTCACCACCTCCCAGGAATGGTGTGGTGGCTTCAGTGATGTACGCTGTGGTCACCCCATGCTGAACCTTTTCATCTGCAGCCTGAGAAACAGGGACATACAAAGTGCCCTGCGGAGGCTGCGCAGCAGAGCAGTCGAATATCATGATCTGTTCCATCCTTTTTCTTGTGTGGGTGAGAAAGGGCAACCACATTAAATCTCTACATCTGCAAATCCTGCCCCTCAGTCACATTCTTTTTGTGGCTTGATGGCTTTTATTCCTTTCCGCATTTCCTTTGTGAATATTGCTTTCTTCGTTATGCCTTTATCTGGAATGAGTGACGATTCTGGGATCCTTGGTTTAGCAGAAACCTCATGACAGAATCTTCTATACCTAGGTGGCCTCTTTTAGTCTCTGAGCAATAACCATGCCATCCAGGTGGAATCACAACCATCATTTTATATACACGAAGTCCTCACTTCGTTTTGGAATTCCCTGAAAACTGACTTTATGGAAACAATGTACAGAAGGTCCTCCAACAGCATTGGTTGTTCAAAGTCGTGTAGTTATACTGTTGATGAAAAATAAGTGGTTTCACTATACATAATTTTGCTTCAAGGTGAAGTTTCCAAGAGACTTTCAAAGATGTTAAGTGAGGACATACTGTACATCAAATTCATATCCTCTTCCACAGTTCATGTGGAATTTCTTTATAAACTTCTTCTAGAGAATCTATTTAAGCAGGTTCTGTGTAGATATCCATGTCGCCGTTCCTCAATCTTGGCTTTGAGTCAAATCACCTGGGCAGCTTACACATGATGAGGACTGGTTCTCAATACCTGAGATTCTGATTTCCTTGCACCTGTGTGAGTGTGTGGATTTTTTTTTTTTCTTTTAAAGCACCAGAGGTGGTTCCAATGACGAAGTTTTTAGAGGCATCAAGCTGCAATGAGTAAGAACAGAAATTAATTGTAATATGATTTCTTCAAATATTATCTTCAAATGCATTGTCCATCAACACCATACGAATGTTTATTATGCTGTTTTTTCTTACCATTTCGCATTTTCTATTTCCTTCTTGTCCTTTTTTTTTTTTTTTTTTGAGTCAGAGTTTCACTCTTGTTGCCCAGGCTGGAGTTCAATGGCACGGTCTCGGCTCACTGCAACCTCTGCCTCCCGTATTCAAGCAATTCTCCTGTCTCAGCCTTCCAAGTAGCTGGGATTACAGGCATGCGCTACCATGCCTGGCTATCTTTTTGTTGTTGTTGTTGTATTGTTAGTAGAGACAATGTTTCTCCATTTTGGTCAGGCTGGTCTTGAACTCCCGACCTCAGGTGATCCGGCCGCTTCCGCCTCCCAAAGTACTGGGATTACACGCATGAGGGACCGCGCCCAGCCACCACTTAGCATTTACATTTTGCAATTGTTGAAGTTATCGATTTATACACACATCAATTGCTGCTTTGTTATACACTTGCAGATACATAAGATGGGAAATAGAAAAGAATAAAATGGGCACGGTATCCCTGAAGTTTCACATTCTGAGACTTTAAAAATATTTGCTCTTTAGAAATTTGTTTCAATAAAGAAACTGTGGTATACACACCCAATGAAGTATTATTCAGCCTAAAGAGGAAGAAAATCCTCTCCGCTGCAGACAAAATGGATGAGATTGCAGGTCTGTATATTAAATGAAATAAGCCAGGCACAGAATGTCAAATATTTCATGTCCTCACTTCTACGTAGGAAGAAAAAAGGAAACCTTGACCAGGCGTGGTGGCTCAGACCTGTAATCCCAGCACTCTGGGAGGCCGAGTCGCAGGGATCACTTGAGTCCAGGGGTTCGAGACCCGCTTGGCCAACATGGTGAAACCCCGTCTCTACGGAAAAAACAAGCAATTAGCCGGGCGTGGTGACGCGTGCCTCTAGTCTCAGCTACTCGGAGGGCTGAGGCCCAAGAAGCGCTTGAACTCGGGAGGCGGAGCTTTCAGTGAGCCCGGATTGTGCCTGTGTACTCCAACCTGGGCAACATAAAGAGACTCCATCACACACCTACACACAAAAGGAATCTCAGGAAGGTGGAAAGTATAAAGGTGGTTAGCAGACGCTAGGAAGAAAAGGGGTGGGATGGGGAATGAAGACAAGTGGATAATTGGGTCCCAAAATACAGAAAGATGGAATAAGTGAGTTCTAGTGTTTGATTGTACAGTATGAAAATTTTAATTCACAAGAATTTCTTGAATATTTCCAGATGCTTTGGTAAGAAACTTCCTAATTTTCTCATTATGCTGGTTTTTCAGCTCTTCTCTTTCTGCTCTTGAAATCATGCTGGTTTTTTGTTTTTTGTTTTTTGTTTTGAGATGGAGTTTCGCTCTTGTTGCCCAGGCTGGAGTGTCATGGTGCAATCTTGGCTCACCGCAACCTCTGCCTCCTGGGTTCAAGCGATTCTCCTGCCTCCACCTCCCGAGTAGCTGGGATTACAGGCACGCGCCTGTAGTAGAGACGGGGGTTTCTCCCTGTCGGTCAGGCTGGTCTTCAACTCCTGACATCAGGTGATCCGCCCACCTCGGCCTCCCAAAGTGCTGGGATTACAGGCGTGAGCGACGGGCCCGGCCCATGCTGTAACATTATCTGTTGTCTGCTGTTGTTTGTTTATTTTGGAGCCCAGAAATAACTTGTCACCTGTATGTTCAAACGATTTTTAACATGAGTGGTAAGAAAGCTCATTGGTGGAAAAACAGCCTTTTCAAGAAATGGTGTTGGAGAAACTTGATTTCCACATGCAGAAGAATGAAGGTGGACACTATGTCACACCAGGTGCAAAAATTAACACAAACTGGATCAAAGACCTCACCCCAAGCGCTAAAAGAATCATTCGCCTAAAGGAAAACATTGGCCATGCTTTCATGACATCATATTGGGCAATGTTCTCTGGGATATGACACCAAAAGCATAGGCAACAAAAGAAAATTAGATTCCTTGGATTACATCGAAATGACAGACACTTTTGTGCAGCAAAATCACGGCAAACTGAGTGAAAAGATAACCCATGGATTAGGAAAAATATTTTCAAAGCATATATCTGAAAAGAGGCTGATATCCATCATACATAAAGAACAGGCAGAACTAAAGAACAAGAAACCCAAAGCATCCCATCAATAATGGTCAGAAGACTCAAGTAGACGTGTTCCTAAAGAAGATATAGCAATGGCCAATAAGCATCTAAAATGATGTTCAAAATCACTCATCATAAGGAAGCGCAAATCAAACCAAGAATGTGACACCACACATTAGGATGGATATGATAAACAAACAGGATTGGTGAGACTAGAGGGAAGTAGGAATGCTCGAATCTGATCAGAAGGAATGTAAAACCGTGAAGGAACGGGGAAAATAGTATGGCGTCTACTGGAAAAATTAGAAACAGGATGATCATATGTTGCCGCAGTTGCATTTGTGGGTACCTACAAAAAGAAGCCAGGAGTGGAAGACAGATTTGTGTACACCCATATTCATAGCAGCATTATTCACAAGAGCCAAAATGTGGAAGCAACCCAAGGGTTCGTGGACAGATGAATGAAAAAGCCCACTGCAGTTCCTTCATACAATGGAAGACTATTCAGCCTTCAAAAGGCAGGCACTTCTGGCCGGTGCGGTGGCTCACGCCTGTAATCGCAGCGTCTTGGAAGACCGAGGTGGGCGGATCACCTGAGGTCAGGAATTCAAGACCAGCCTGGCCATCTTGGGGAAACCCTGTCCCTACTGAAAATGCAAAAAATGAGATGAGCATGGAGGCGTGTGCCTATAGTCCCAGCTACTCGGGAGGATGTGGCACAAGAATCACTGGAACCCGGGAAGCGGAGGTGAGCCCAGATTGTGCCACTGTACTCCAGCCTGTGCGACAGAGTGAGACTCTATGGAAACACAAAACAAAACAAAGTCAAACGAACAAACAAAAAACAACAAAAAAAAAAACAGACAGGCACTTCTGAGGCAGGCCGCAACATGGATGAACCTTGAAGACATTATCGTCAGTGAAATAAATAAATCCCAAAAGGATAAACAGGCCCAGGCTCAGTGGCTCGCACCTGTAACACCAGCACTTTGGGAGGCTGAGCCAGGCGGATCACTTCAGGTCAGGAGTTCGAGACCAGCCTGGCCAATATGGTGAAAGCTCGTCTCTATTAAAAATACAAAAATTAGCAGGGCGTGGTGGCGCACGCCTGTAATCCCAGCCTCTCGGGAGACTGAGACACAAGAATCGCTTGAACCCACGATGTGGAGGTTGCAGTGAGCCGAGATCACACCACTGCACTCCAGACTGGGTGAGAGAGAAAGACTCTGTCTCCAAAACAAAAAAAATAAACACGGTATGATTCCACTTATCTATCAAGTGTCTAGAGTAGTTAAACTCATAGAGTTGCAAACTAGAAAGGTGGCCCCCAGGGGTGGGCGAGAGAAAGGAATGGAGAGCTTGGTGAATGGGTGGAATTTCCATTTTGAAAGATAAAACTGTTCCTGAGATGATGGCGGTGAGGCTTGCTAAATAATGTGAACGTACTTAATGTCATTAATCTGTAAACTGAAAAAGAGTGGAAATTGTAAATGTTTATACTGGCCATTCTATATGAACTAATATATATTTATAATTTTTAATATTTATACGTGGTATATTTTCCCATTATAAAAGATGAAAATTAAAGCAGTTGGATGTTTAAAAAGAAAAGAAAGAAGCGAAGAATACACACCAGCTTTCTTCTGATTAGAGGAGGAGCCCCAAAGTTTCTATGGACACTCACTTTTCTCTTCTTCTTGCATTATTATGAGGACATCCTTAGAGGTTGGGGAACTTGCGCGGCTTTGGCTAATGAGGAGCTCTGTGCCTGAGCCCCCCAGGCCACAGGATAGTAAATACTCAGTCTGTGCCTCCCGCCCTGCAGTGTGAGGTTGCAGTCCTGTGGTCTCCACAGCCGTCACCTGTATCAGGAGGCTCATGTCTCACCCTGTCTTCTTGCCAGCCTTGAGGACGGAGCCTGAGCCTCCATGGTGCACCACGCAGGGAGGACAGTGGACCTGTTCTCCGTGGTCATGTCCCAGCAGAGGGGAGAGGCAGTTCAGTGAGTGTAGGGAAAAGAAAGAGAGATCAGACTCTTACTGTGTCTATGCAGAAAGGAAAGACATAAGAGACTCCATTTTGAGAAAGACCTGTACTTTCAACAATTGCTTTGCTGAGATGTTGTTAATCTGTAGCTTTGCCCCAGCCACTTTGACCCAACCTGAAGCTCACAAAAACATGTGTTGTATGAAATCAAGGTTTAAGGGATCTAGGGTTATGCAGGACTTGCCTTGTTAACGAGATGTTTCCAAGCAGTATACTTTGTAAAAGTCATCGCCATTCTCTAGTATCAATAAACCAGGGGCACAATACACTGTGGAAAGCCGCAGGGAGCCCTGCCCTTGAAAGCAGGGTATTGTCCAAGGTTTCTCCCCATGTGATAGTCTGAAATATGGCCTGGTGGGATGAGAAAGACCTGACCATCCCCCAGCCCGCCCCCCGTAAAGGGTCTGTGCTGAGGTGGATTAGTCAAAGAGGAAAGCCTCTTGCAGTTGAGAGAGAGGAAGGCCGCTGTTTCCTGCCTGCCCCTGGGAACTGAATGTCTCGGTATAAAACCCGATTGTACATTTGTTCAATTCTGAGATGGGAGAAAAACCACCCTATGGTGAGAGGCGAGACATGTTTGCAGCAATGCTGCCTTGTTATTCTTTACTCCACTGAGATGTTTGGGTGGAGAGAAACATAAATCTGGCTTACGTACACATCCAGTCATAGTACCTTTCCTTGAAATTCCTTATGAAATAGATTCTATTTCTCACATGTTCGTTGCTGACCTTCTCCTTATTATCACCCTGCGCTCCTACTACATTCCTTTTTGCTAAAATAATAAAAATAATAGTCAATAAAAACTGAGGGAACTCAGAGTCCTGTGCCGGTGCAGGTCCTTGGTATGCTGAGCGGCGGTCCCCTAGGCCCACTGTTGTTTCTCCATACTTTGTCTCTGTATCTTATTTCTTTTCTCAGTCTCTCGTCCTACCCGACTGGAAATACCCACAGCTGTGGAGGAGGAGGCCACCCCTTCAAGTGAGTGCTGAGGGACGGTCGGGAGACTTGTTTGTTTCCTCATCCTCAGGACAAACAGGAGAGTGCGGTGGGCAGATGTGAGGAGACCAATGTGCAACTCTCTGCTCAGCAGACTGTGCAGTTTATGTTCTTGGTTGTGCTGGGGGTCTCAGAAATCTTATTCAAAATTTTGCTTTCCTCCCCCACTGGTTGTCCTTTTCATAAACATCTCACCCATGATAGCAGGGAATCAGTCCCTCTAACTATTCCCTAAGAACAACAAAGAGATTATGAAGGTGATGATGAGGATAAAGAGGATGACGACAGACACCATGGCATCATGAACCCTTACTGAGGGCTTCCTAAAGGCCAGGCTCTGAGCTCTGTGCTCTATGCAGCTTGTTTCATTTCATCTGCATAGTCTCCACGTTATTAGTGCACATTTCATGATGATTTTACAGACTAGAAAAAGCGCAACGGATTTTCATGCAGCTTGTACCAGATCACGAAGTCAAAAAGGGCGAAGTCCAATTTGAACCAGGCAGTCTAAGTCCAGACACATGGCATTTGGCAAGTCCTCTCCCTGCAACCAACCTGCCCTCTCAAATCCTCGTCACTCAGGCGGATGCCCCTACTCACTGTGCCCTTCCCTTTGTGGGTTCCTTGTTGACCACAGCTAGACCAGTGGGTGCCACAATCACTGTGTCATGTATAGAAAGGGCAGCTGAGATCACATCAAGGATTCCAGAAAGAATTTGCACAGGATCATTCGGGACGCATCTCTCCCTTGCCCCTGTTCCTGGCTTTCCTTACAGCTCTCAACTTCCTCAAAGGAGTCATCAATTCGGAGTTTGGCTTCCATTCCTATTGAGGAAGCTGGAAAGTGTTTCAAAAATGCTCCTCCGATGTGCCTGTGGTTAAGACCTCTGAGCTCTGCTTAAAACTCTTTGAAGCTGTGCGCGTTGGCTCACGTGTGTAATCCCAGCCCTTTGGGAGGCTGAGACAGGCGAATCACAAGGTCAGGATTTCGAGACCAGCCTGGCCAACATGGTGAAACCCTGTTTCTACTAAAAATACCAAAAAAAACTCAAAAAAATTAGCCAGGCATGGTGGCATACGCCTGTCATCCCAGCTACTGGGGAGGCTGAGACAGGAGACTCCTTTGAAGCCGGGAGACAGAGGTTGCAGTGAATCGAGATCACACCACTGCACTCCTGCCTGGGCAACAGAGCAAGACTCCGTCTCAAAAAAATAAATAAATAAAAATTACGAAAAAATGGCAAACTTTAGCCGTTAGCTCACGTACCACTTTGGAAGGGCATACCTTTAGTCACTTCACCCTTTAATCCCTTTGCTCAAGACTAAAGTTCTGAGAGGAAGACTAATCGGCTGAGTTGTGTCCATGTGGGCAGTGCAGGAAAGGATGCAGCGGGACGCTGCTCCAGGGATGTCTTTGGCTTCCATCATGGGGGAGCAGGCGCCTGGATTACCCACCCTAACAAATCTGGACAAAGGAAAACGAGGTTCTCCGAGGAAGGAGACATAGAGCCCAAGGAGCTAACCAAGAGACAAATGGTCATCCTGTCTTGTCATTTTCTTTTACACATGTGTGTACATTATCTTACACTTATCACTTTGTTTTCTTTCTCTCCTTTAATTGCACGCTGCTGCCAAAAGTTAAAATAAAATGAAAGTATTGAGATAGCTCAGTAACTGACTTTTGGTCAATTGCCTTTTCATATAGTGAACAGGTGCCCAAACGATTGTCTCTGTCACTGTGCAAATTTGCAAGCGTTTGCATGATCACTCCCACTCCCCCAATACAGAGCTGTGTTACAGCACAATTTAGTTCAGTGTTTTGCTCTCTGCAACAGGGAGGTTCTCATCCATTACAGGATGCAGTAAAAACAGGGGTACCATAAGCAACCAGCTCTTTCCTCAAAGAGGTGATGAAAGCAAAAGCCAAGTAGCTCCATGTATCCAACTTAAAAATATAAAAGTTACGCCCGTGGGCTGCAGTTGGAGCTATGGCGGCGGCAGCTGTCACTGGGCCTAGCCCGGGGTGTGGACCTGGGGACTCCCCAGAAGGGCCCGAGGGGGAGGCTCAAGGAGCGTCGGTGGAAGGCGGACAGGATGCTGAAGTTTTACAACGGCCTCTCGGAAGTGGAGGCGGTGGGACTCCCTGCGGGGACCGACCCCCTGGACCCCACTGATATGAACGGGGTACACTTCGACCCGGAAGTTTACCTAGACAAGCTTCCTAGAGAGTGCCCTCTGGCCCAGCTGATGGATAGTGAGACGGACATGGTGCAGCAGATCCGGGCTCTAGACAGCAACATGCAAACCCTGGTCTATGAGAACTACGATAAGTTCTCATAGACCCAGCCACAGAAATTGACACACAGCATAAAACTGTAAGAGGAATTGCAGGAGACCCAGAATTTCCCAAATAACCTTGTAAAAGAAGAACAAATTTGGAAGACTCACAAAAAAAAATATATATATATATATACATATTATATATATATACATATATATATAAAGTTGTGTTTTCATTCAGTTGTAAATGTTTAGTAATTTCTATTGTGATTTTTCATTTAACTCATGAAAGGATATTTTTAATTTTCCAAATATATGCTTGTGTTTAGCTATCTTCTTGCTGTTGACTTCTAATTTTGTGGCATTATGGTCAGGAAAATGTGGTCTGGACACTGTCAATCGTATAGTGGATTTTGTTGAGACTTCTTTATGGCCTAATATGTGGCCAGTTTTTTTTTTGTTTTTTTTTTTTTGCAAATTTGCCACATGTGGTTAAAAGGAATGTGGATTATTTGTTTTTTTTAGGAGAGTTTTTATTTTTAAATAGATAAGGTTCTCAGTGTAATTGAAATCTAACTTCAGTTAACAATATGCTAGACCTCTCAAACCTCAGGATGTTAGTCAGTGTAACAATAGACTGCTGCTGAGACGAATAAACCCTGAACTCTCAGTGGGTTGACACCCATAGCATAGTCTGGTGCAGGGCAGGGGTTCTCCTTGGGGGCCCTTGTCCAACAGTGATTCAGAGATTCTGGAGGTTTCCATCTTTTAATTCTGCCATCTCAGAGTTTTTCACTTGTAGCCATATGGATAGGAAGAGAGGGAACATAGCTCACACTTTGATAACCTTGGCCCAGAAGTGATTTCTTACATTCCTATTGGTGGAAATGCAGTCACATGGTTCCAAACTAACTGCAAATGAGGCTGGGAAATGTAGTCTTTCTGCATGTCCAGGAAGAGGAATGGTGTGAACACAGTATTGTCTTTGACACACTAAGCATGTGCTGAAGAGTTCTTACTCTCATAGGAGGTTTGTCTGTCCTGTGTAACTTTCTCAGTTTTTGCTTAGATAGTTTCAGGCAATGCTGTTTGGTGCATTCAGCTTGATGATTATTATGTCCTCTTGGCAAAGTAGTCAAGATTCCCATCAGTTTGAATGAAAGTGTTTTACAGATAGGTCAGGAAATGTTAATACTTTAAAAGGCCCTTCTATTCCTCCACTCTACATATAAGAAAAACAGAGTCCTAGAGAGAGGAGGTCATGGGTCTCACTCATGAGTGGCAGAATTGAAACCAATGTGGCACTAACTTTGTCTTTCCCCCATCATGTTGTTCTCCTTCTATCTTCACTCTGCTGATTTCTTCACTTGCTCCATACAGACCTCCCAGTGCCAAGTGTATAAGTGTGTCCAGAATTGGTGGGTTCTTGGTCTCACTGACTTCAAGAACGAAGCTGTGGACCCTCCTGGTGAGTGTTACAGTTCTTAAAGGTGGCGTGTCTGGAGTTTGTTCCTTCTGATGTTCGGATGTGTTTGAAGTTTCTTCCTTCAGGTGGGGCTCGTGGTCTCGCTGGCTCAGGAGTGAAGCTGCAGATCTTCACGGTGAGTGTTACAGCTCTTACGGCTGCAGGTCTGGAGTTGTTCATTTCTCCCAGTGGGTTCATGGTCTTGCTGGCTTCAGGAGAGAAGCTGCAGACCTTCTCGGTGAGTGTTACAGCTCATAAAGTCAGTGTGGACCCAAAGAGTGAGCAGCAACAAGATTTATTGCAAAGAGCAAAAGAACAAAGCTTCCACAGTGTGGAAGGGGACCCCAGTGGGTTGCCACTGCTGGCTCGGGCAGCCTGCTTTTATTCTCTTACCTGGCCCCACCCACATCCTGCTGATTGGTCCATTTTACAGAGAGCCTGAGTGGTCTGTTTTGACAGGGCACTGATTGGTGCGTTTACAATCCCTGAGCTAGACACAAATGCTCCCCACGTCCCCACTAGATTAGCTAGATACAGAGTGTCCACACAAAGGTTCTCCAAGTCCCCACCCTAGTAGCTAGATACAGAGTGTCAATTGGTGCATTCATAAACCCTGAGCTAGATACAGGGTGCTGATTAGTGTGTTTACAAACCTTGAGCTAGATACAGAGTGCCAATTGGTGTATTTCCAATCCCTTACCTAGACATAAAGTTCTACAAGTCCCCACCAGACTCAGGAGCCCAGCTGGCTTCACCCAGTGGACCCAGCACAGGAGCTGCAGGTGGAGCTGCCTGCCAGTCCCTCTCCATGCACCCACACTCCTCAGCCCTTGGGTGGTCGATGGGACTGGGCGCCATGGAGCAGGGGGTGGTGCTCATCGGGGAGGCTTGGGCCGTACAGGAGCCCACAGAGGGGGGAGGCTAAGGAATGGCAGGCTGCAGGTCCCGAGCCCTGCCCCGCAGGGAGGCAGCTAAGGCCCGGTGAGAAGTCGAGCACAGCAGCTGCTGGCCCAGGTGCTAAGCCCCTCACAGCCCCGGCCGGCAAGGCCAGCCGGCAGCTCCTAGTGCAGGGCCACCAAGCCCAAGCCCATCCAGAACTCCAGCCGGCAGGCAAGCAGCACACGTAGCCCCAGTTCCAGCTCATGCCTCTCCCTCCATGCCTCCCTGCAAGCTGAGGGAGCCAGCTCTGACCTCGGCCAGCCCAGAAAGGGGCTCCCACCATGCAGCCGTGGGCTGAAGGGCTCCTCAAGTGCTGCCAAAGTGGGAGCCCAGGCAGAGGAGGTGCCGAGAGTGAACGAGGGCTGTGAGGGCTGCCAACACGCTGTTACCTCTCATAAGGAGTGATTAATCTGAGCTTCTCCAGAAAGTCCATTCCTGGTAGGCACTGGGAATAAGAAATCTCAGAGTATAAAAAAACATCAAGTGGTAGCACTTTTGTGAGTGGCTCCCAAATTAGATCCTTTACCTTTTTTTCATGAAGCACAGTTGCCCAAAACACGCTTAGCCTGAGGTGAAGCACATATTAGAGAAAAGTTCTCTCTATAGCATTATGTATTACTCAAATGAGCATTAAAAAGAGGAGACGGGACATGCTCTCTCTAGCTATTATTACCTGCACTATAGAGTTGACATACACAAGCTCATTATTGCATTATGTTTTATTCAACAAAATAACTTTAATGTTGAAGCTTAAATTGAATTCGCTAAAACATCTTTGTCTCCAGCATAGTGTGCCTCAAGTGTCTCCTTGGTGCCTGAATTTTCTCCAGAATTATAGTGCTGAAACTATGGAAATGGTGAAATTATATGCAATCTGCAAAACAATGTGGCTATAACGTGGTAATTGGCCTTCCACATAATTAAAGGAACATTTCCTCATCAGAGCTGTTCCATCAGAGACCCAAAGGCTATCGTTGTACAAATCACCCACTTAGGAAAACCTTTATTCCCAGTAGCCTATAAAAATCTGCTTATGCAAACAGATTTGCTTATTCAGTAACATTAATGGCTTCTCATAGTTAAAAAGTCATCAATGTGATTGACCTATAATCTGCTTCCTCTGTGACCAAGTGTCATTTTTATTTTGACAGTTAGGAGCCTTTTGACTCTTTCACAGCTGGCATGAAGGCACAGGGAGGGAAATCTCAAAAACCAACAACCTGTGTATTCCCAGCCTATTAATCAATAGAAAATCACTTCAACTGGATTAGGGTCTTGTACCTGGCAGAAAGGCTCTTATGGACATTGGAATTGGATTTTTACACTTGATATGACACCTCCTTGAGTCAGATCAGATTCGTGTTTGATAGACTCTTGCCGAAAAATTGCTCCAGGGTCTGTGCAGTAGCTAAAGCCTTTTTATTGTTGTTGTTTTAAAAGCAGCATTAAATGTTTTCATGAAGACCTTCCCAGCAGTGATTTTATTGGGAATATGGTCTTTAGCTCTGGTCCTGAATAACTCACACTGAGGAAACCTCTAACAAGTGTTTTATTGGAAGATGTCTGATGGATGGTTGGTTTTAATAACAAATCTCTTCCCTTTTTCTGTCCCCTGTGTTCTATTCTCCTTTCTTACACATTATTCTGGGAGGATTCACCTATTCCCAAAGTCCTTTCCTCTTTATTTCCATTCCAGAGCTCTCTGTATAACTCCAGGCTGATGAATCCAACTGCCCAGTTGTTATCTCCACTTGGCTGTCTGTCTTGCATTGACCTCATCTTACCTTTCCTCTCCTGATTTCCTCTTCTGCCAGGGCTCAACACGTCAGATTCACACCACCATCCACCCAGCTTCCAAATCACCTGGGCCTCCTCCTTCATTCCTCCCTCTTTCTCAGTCAAGTTAGTCTACTGTCTCCTCTCCATCCTCACTGCCACAGCCTTGGTCCAGCCAACCATCTTGTCTCACTTGGCGTATTGCAGCCTCCTACCTGGTCTACTCACCACCCACTCTCCTCCAGCCAGACTGCTCTTCTTCTAGCACAAAGTGGATCATTACTCCCCTGCATAAAAACATCTACTGTCTCCCTTTCTCTACAGGATAGACACGACAAAGAGCCTTTAAGATTTGGCTCCAACTTACCTCTATATTACTCACTTTTTACAATTATATGAACATCTCTCAGCTCCTCACCCTCTCACGTCTCGATTTTTACACATGCTCTTCCCTCTGCTGAGAATGATCTTCCACACCTCTCCTATCGACCTGGCTAGTTCCTACCATTTTCTAGTCTTCAACTGAGGAGTCCTGTGGTGGAGAAGGATTTCTCACCACCTGATATAGATTGCATGCCCACCCACCTCCGAGCTTTTTCTTTTTTCTTTCTTTTTTTTTTTTTTTGAAAGAGTCTCGCTCTGACCATGCAAGCTGGAATGCAGTGGTGCGATCTTGGCTCACTGCAATCTCCACCACCCGGGTTCAAGCAATTCTCCCACCTCAGCCTTCTGAGTATCTGGAATTACAGGTGCCCCCCACCACATCTGGCTAATTTTTTTGTATTTTTAGTAAAGACAGGATTTCACCATGTTGGCCAGGCTGTTTTCGAACTCCTGGCCTCAAGTGATCCACCCACCTTGGCCTCCTGAAGTGCTGGGAATACAGGCATGAACAACTGCACCTGGCCGATTGGGTACCCCTTCTATGTGCTCCCATTGCCCCAGGCATACTGTCACCATAACTCTTACCATTCTGAGTTGAAAATGATTTTTTTTTTTTTTGCTTTTTATTTCTCTCATTAAATGCAAAGCTTATTGAAAAGAGGACAGTGGTTGTTCACTGTTGTACTCCTAACCTTTGACTCAGTGTCCTTAGGTTGGCTCTAGAGCTGTGCACACATGTTCAGACATTGGAGCACATCTTGTCTAGCACCTCTTTTGTGGTGGCTTAGAGAAAAGTCAGTAGGTACTTCCCCAAGGATGAAACAGAAGCTTCACCTAAACCAGTTCTTCAACTTCAGCCTGCATTAGAATCCTCTGAGACCTTGTTAAAAATACCATCTCCTGGAGCCCACTCTTCAAGAGTCGGTGAGTTGCTTCATCATCAAAATATACACAGAATTCAGGCAGTCTTCAGCCCCAGCCTGGTCTGAACCTCTGTGGACTCCCACCTGCAAAATGTCCCTGCTGGTCTCCTTGCTTCTGCTCTTACCTTCTTATTACCCATTCGAGTAGCCGGGGTGATCCTTTTTAAAAAATTTTTTAAATTTTTTTGTGATGAAGTCTCACTCTGTTGTCCAGGCTGGAGTGCAGTGGTGCTATCTCAGCTTGCTGCAGCTCTATCTCCTGGGCTCAAGCAATCCTCCCACCTCAGTCTCCTGGGTAACTGGGACCACAGACATACACCACCACACCCGGCTAATTTTTGTATTTTTTGTAAAGACACGGTCTTGCTGTGTTGCCCAGGCTAGTCTTGAACTTCTGTGTGCACCCACCTCAGCCTCCTGCATTTTTAGGAGGCCCCTCTTGTAGGGATTTTGATCCAGATGCCTGGGTGCCTCATGTTTCCTCCCATCTCTCTCTGTCTTTCTGTCTCTGTCTCTCTCTCTCTTTCTCTTTGCCTTATAGCTGCCCTGGGGTGTAGACTCTGCCTTAGGCATCCCTCTGGCTCTTGTTTGCTTTTATACTGAGGCTGCTTTAAATTGTACCTTGATCTGAAGCCTAGGGCTTCTGTTCCTATTCCTTGCTTTTGTTGGAAGGGCCATGCAGCTTCTTGACAAATTGCAAAGGTGCCCACGAGTTTCCAAGTCCCCAAGAACCAAACCAGATGACAAACAAGGATGCAGTCCACAGCTGGGGAGACAGATTTCATGTCCACACAGAGACTCCAAGATGCTGAACTGAAATCCACCTCGAAACCTGTTTTCTCTCTCATTTAAGTTCATTGTCACCTGGGGGCTTGCAGGGCAGAGCTGGTGACCATTCTCAGGGCAAAGATGCTTTGAAATGTCAACTGAGAATGGTGTGGTGGTTGACAGATGGCACGTCAGAGCATAGATTAACATGGAAAGAGAAATTCACCCCTTGGGGGGAGTGTGTGAGGCTGGCAGCCACACAGAGGGCTTTTCCTGTGAGCTCTTGCATAGATGCAAACAGCCAGGAGGTTTTGCTTTCTGATCCTAAGTGGAAGCATGTTCTTCCCTGCACATTGCCGCTCTGCAGCAAATGTTTATTCCTGTTGCATTGATTAAAAGTGCTTACCAGGCCGGGCGCGGTGGCTCACGCCTGTAATCCCAGCACTTTGGGAGGCCGAGGCAGGCAGATCACAAGGTCAGGAGATTGAGACCATCCTGGCTAACACGGTGAAACCCCGTCTCTACTAAAAATACAAAAAATTAGCCGGGCATGGTGGCGGGCACCTGTAGTCCCAGCTACTTGGGAGGCTGAGGCAGGAGAATGGCATGAACCCAGGAGGCGGGGCTTGCAGTGAGCCGAGATTGTGCCACTGCACTCCAGCCTGGATGACAGAGCAAGACTCCGTCTCAAAAATACAAAGTGCTTACCGAAGTGGTTTGAGGGCAGCGGTGACAGTGTGAGTTATGGCTCTGCCGGCTGCCAGTGGAGCCAGCCTCTCTGCACAGCCGTGCAAGGGTGTTTTGAAAAGTGGCTCAGCCGGCCAGGAGTGACTGGCTGTAAATATTGCTGCCAGAACATCTTGTAGCCTGATTGGGGCCGTGTTTGCAGAACCCCTAAACCACTACACTTGTTCAGGCTTAAAAATAAGCTTACTTTTTTTTGTTTGTTTTGTTTTGTTTTATGAGATGGAGTCTAATTCTGTCACCGGGTTGGAATGCAGTGGCATGATCTTGGCCCACTGCAACCTCTGCCTCCTGCGTTCAAGTGATTCTCCTGCCTCAGGCTCCCGAGTAGCTGGGACTATAGGCGTGTGCCATCATGGCCAGCTAATTTTTGAATTTTTAGTACAGACGGGGCTTCACCTTTTTGGTCAGGATGGTGCGATCTCTTGACCTCGTGATCTGCCCGCCTTGGCTTCCCAAAGTGCTAGGATTACAGGCGTGAGCCACCGTGCCTGGTCAAACATAAACTTACTTTCTTACCTCTTCTGCTGAACTCTATGTGCTTCTTTTCGCAACTTCTGCTGAACTCTATTTTGCTTCTTTTTCCTGGATAAGGCTCTTGTTTATCCAGAAGAACTTTTAGCAACAAAGTTACCCAATGCCTTTCCCTAGTCTCTCCTTGCAACTGACTCTCAGTGGTGGGGGGGGTGGGTAGGAGGAAATCCTTGACAGAACCAATTTACATGACTGTTTGGAGGACTCTCACTAGCCCCAGGAGGTGTTTACATTTTTAAATTGGTTACTAGTGTCAGAATGTTTCATGAGTAAGAGCACAGCCTCTAAGTTGGATACCCTGAATTTAAGTCTCAACATGGCCATTTTGTATATAAGCAGAGGACGGATTTGGGGACCCAATGGATCTACCATGACATGAACTTGGACCAACATTCACCTGAACTCCAAAATGCCTATTCTGACTGGTAGACCCTAGTCTCGCCCTAGTGCCAGTTCAGAGCCTGTGTCCAGTGGTCTTGCACAGGTCCCATTAGTTCTTTTTCTCCTATTCAGTCATCCTGGTAAAGGCTGTGTATTCCCTTGGGGACAGGCTGGGAGAAAGATTGACAGTATAAATTTTTGGCAGTGGAGCAGAGTCCTTTCTGGAGGGGACCTGGCTTCCCATTCAGACAAGGGACTCCAGGTCTGTGAACTGGCTTATGTCTGGGAATTGACGGGGGACTGTGACTCTGTTTTTATGATTCAGATTAGACTTCTGCTCACCTGACCTAGAATTCTTCTTCAAACACAGATCCAGTAAAAATGTGGCAGGCTTCTTATCTATTTCAGTTCTAGGAAAGCCACGATCAGCTGGCACCATAGGTCTCTGCGAGTCAGGCTATTCTGGTTGCAGCTTTGACTCTGCTGTCTTTTATGGTAACTGCATCCACCTTGCCTTTGGGGATTGAGTGCTCTGATCACTTGACCCCAGCCCCTGTACTGTGCGTATGTCACTTACCCTCTTTATACCTCAGTCTCCTCCTCTATAAAATGGGCATCCTCATTGCACCCACCCCCAGGGCTGCTGTGAGGTATAGATGGATTAGCATATGGAAAGTAATAGAAGAGGGTCTCAAAGTCCATGTGTCGTTATCAGAATTATTTCATGATGGGGAGAGCTGGAGGAGAGAGGAAGGTGCTGAGCAGACCCACGTGCTCTCCCACCAGTGTTTCCTGAGCACCCACTATGTGCTGCCCACTGTGAGAGCTGTTAGGGTTGAAATAGGGAGAACAGCAGGATAGGGGCTGCCATCAGGAGCTTAGTGGGGAGACCGTTGTGCAACATGGTTACAGTGCTTGGGGTGGGGAAGCCCAGGGACTACAGGGGCCTAGGATCCAGGGCAGAATCATGGAAAGGACACAGCCGCCCCAGCCTCCCCTGCCTCCCCTGCCTCCCTGACCTCCTCTGTTCCCTGGCCTCTCCTGCCTTCCTGGCTTCCCCTTCCGCCCCGGCCTCCCCAGTCTCCCCTGTCTTTCCTGCTTTTGAGGTGGGCCAGGAGCTGCTGGTGCTCACTTAGCCTGTCCTGGACTCTGGGTGTAGCACTTCGATGTCCAGAAAATACCCCCGGGTTCAGCTTATCACACAGCCAAGAAAGGAGCTCCACACTGACACTAAGGGTGCATCCTGGGCTCATTCATCAGGGCATGCCTCCAAAATATTTCTCCACGTCTCCTCCCTTTGCCCACCTGCATTGTCTCTGTGCCTCAGCCCCAGCTGGGGGCCTGCAAGGATCCTCTATCTCCTCTGCCCCTGCACGGCTGGGTCCCAGGCAATCTGTCTGCCCACCACACCTCTCTCCTATTGCCCACCACGCTCCAGCCCCACAGTCCTCTTTCTGCTTCTTTCCCAGCCTCTGGGCTTTTGCACACGCTGTTCCTTCTGCCTGAACACCCTCCACTGGGCTGAGAACAACTCTCTGAGACCTCTCTCAGCTGTTGCTTCCTTTGGAAAAGCCGCTGCTGCTGTCCCTCTCCCAGCTCAAAGACCTGCTGAGCCTCCTGTCTTTTTCAGTTCCCATGCCCCCAGCACTTCTCCTTGGCCTCCTTTGGCCCAATTGACAATGTCCATTCTCAATGCCTTCCCACCCAGCGCTGAGCCCCACTGGGTGAAGGCAATGCCTGTCATGTTCACCACAATATCCCCTCCCCCATCACCACGACTGGTCCACAGTGATGCTCAAAAAAGATCTGTTGGTAGGCAATGCGAAGGTGCATTCATGTCATCCTGCAGGCGGAATTCTCCACGAGTTTTGAGCAGCCTCGGGTTTCCCACCACCTCCAAATCATGGAAGACACAGGGTAAGAGCAAAGACAAGGTGGCTGTGGCCGATGTCCACCCTATCGTGGCGTCCCTTCTCTTCTCTCCTCCTTGAGCAGGGAGACCATCGGGGTGCAACCTGGCTGGGGCGGGGAGGTGGTGCAGGGCATTGCCAGAGCGGACCTGTCCATGGGCAAGGGACAGCGACCTCCTGGGCCAGGACATGTGACAGCTGCGCAGGCCTGGGCCCGGCGTGGCAGAGGTGCGCGAGAGCGGCCAGAAGAGGGCGCCAGAGAGCCAGGCGCGGCCCGCGGAGGAGCCCGGGCCGGCCCCGATACCCAGCTCCGCGCCGCGCGGACCCACCGAGCCCGTGCTCAGACGCCCCAGCTCCGCCGAGAAGCCGCTTGAGCCGGGTCCTTCTTCTTCCCCAAGTTCAGGCAGAGCCCGCGGAGCCATGGCCAGCCCTTCCAGCAGCTCCGAAGCCACTGGCAAGCCCCGAGGCAGGGATGGCAGTCCCAGGATGGGGGAGGAGGAAGTCCCTCCCGAAGAGAAGAGGCTGGGGCTGTAGCTGGAGGGGGGAAGCGCACAGCCCGAGGACTGCGAGGACGGGGAGGACCCGCCGCTGCCGGGCAGGAAGGAGACCGGCACCCAGACAGGTGGCGACGGCAAAGGAGTAAGTGATGCGGGCGCGGGGGTCCGGGAGTGCCGGGGGCTCGGGGGTGCCGGGGACGCGACGAAGGGGCGTCGGGAGGCTCCGTGGCCGTCCCCGGGTTGAAGTTGGGAGTGCAGCCTTCATTCTGAACCCATTTAGGCAGCATGGGCAGCCCTCCTCGCCATGGGCAGGATCAGAACCCCCCCGCCCAGTCTGGGGGTTGCTCCTGGATGCTGTCTGGGAGGCTTGCTCATGGTGACATCCTCATCTCCCCGTCCACGTTACCGCATTCAGAGCTTGGGTCACCTGGACACTGAACTCAGGTGAATTTTCTCTGAGATCCCGGGAGAAGGAGGACAGTTCTTTGGAAGGTTTTCCAGGGCCGATCACGGAAAGGATGAGAAGGGAGAGGTCCTGGTCGGGGACACAATTACGGTGGCAGTGTAACGCCGGGAAACTTTATTGCATGAAGTCCCTCTCACTCCCTCTACCTCCCTCTTTTACGTGGACTCTGCCAAAGACCAGGATACCAGAATGCGGTGGAGTGACCAAGTGTAGTGAGACCTTGGGAATGTGATTTTGGAGCCAGGCGGCTGGGGTTTGCATCCTGGTTCTGCCCCTCCTTAGCTGGCTGACATGGCACAAGCCACTTACCCTCTCTGAGCCTTACTGTCTTCAGTGGCAAATGGATCTGTCAACAGGCTCCATTGCCTGGGGTTGTTGCTGCTGAGATTAAGGGAAGCTCGTCCATAGAAGCACTTAGCGTTGTGCCTGGCACATAGTGTATGGTGGATAAGTGGGACTTAGGACTAAAACTCATGCCTTGGTGTGTTTTTGCAGTGATGTTTTGTTCTGGAGTACGTCACAAGAGACAAGGTTCTTGGCTGGGCATGGTGGTTCAAGCCAATAATCCCAGCACTTTGAGAGGCCGAAGGGGGAGGATCGCTTGAGCTCAGGAGTTTAAGACCAGCCTGGGCAACACGGTGAAGCCTCATATCTACCAAAAAAAAAAAAGGCAGTTATGGTGGTGTGTGCCTGCAGTCCCAAGTACTTGGGAGGCTGAGGTGGGAGGATTGCTAGAGCCTGGAAGGTTGGGTTGCAGTGAGCTGTGATCATGCCACTGCACTTCAGCCTGGGTGACAAAGTGAGACCGTTTCAAGGAAAAGAGAGAGAGAGAGACAGACAGACCCACAAGAGTCTTAAGCCAGAATCTCCATGTTAAAATGCTTTCTGGAGGCTAAAAGGATGATATGTTGATAATGAAATGTTTAAAAGGCAGAAACCCCACTGAATTGTTTGGTCCACAGAGGGAAATGGGAATAGCATGACCTGAAGGATGATGGAGGAACTGAACAGAAACCATCCTTGTTTCCTGAATCTGAACATGGCACGCTCTTTTCACGGTGCCTGTATCTGCTCAGTCCGGCAGCCCCTTGAAAAGAGGGAATCCTGATTTGCAAACTTAAAATTTGGCCCAAAGCTCACTGCTGCCCACAATGCCCGCCAGACACATTCCTCTTCCCTTTTAGTTCCTATGGGAATACTCTCTTTGAAGAACCCATGAAGCAGTGTCAGGCTGGTACGAGGATCAGCAGTGATTTCTTTGAGGAGGAGAGCCCGTTTCTTCACTCACAGGCCATGTCTGAGTGGATCAAGAAGAACAGAGTGCCCTTTTATGAGATTTTGTCTGCGTAGACCACTAGCTTGGTAAAAATGTCAAAACCATCCTCGTTCTTTAATAACAGATTATTTTGGACTTTTCTCTGCAAGAAGCAGCATGGGCATTCAGATGCTTTTAAGGATAAAATGTTCTTTCTCATCACCAGGCCTGGTGCTCTGGATGGCTGAGGTTTTAATGTGACTGGATGTCCCTTGGAGTGGCTCCCAGGCTGTGCTCTTGTGGTTGGGTGGCAAGCGGTTGCTTTATTCGGTGGTGGCTAGAGGATGTTTTAGCAGATTAATCGGGACCCCAGGAGCCCTTGAGTGTCAAGTCCTGCTGCAGGGCATGTGTTTATGGTGGGGAGGTGGGGGAGGGTGGAGGGGGGGGCATTGATTTCCTCCCAATATCAGAAGTTTCACAGGCTTCTTGTTTATCCACAAACACCCACCCCATTGAGAAGGCCTAGAAAATCTGCCCCTCCTCAAGCCTTTATTGACCACTTGTGAATGATCCCAGTGTGTGTCTGACCCACAGCTCCTCCTGGAGGGAGAGAAAAGTCTCTCCTAGGTATTTGGTTGTCCACCTCAACCACTTGCTGAGTCTTCCGCAAGACCAGGCACCTCGGCAGAGATTTCTGGGTTGTCAGGCAGAACCGAGCATTCAAGGGTGATAACTCACTGGAGTCCCTGAAATCCCTGATGGACGCACCAGGTAAAAGCATCCAGGGTTGAAACCAGATCAGGAAGGTTATTGTCAGCCTGGGGCTCCTGTAGAGGTGCATCCACGTTGCAGGGATTTTCCTTCTTGCTGAGGAGAAACCTGGGTTTCTCAGCTTTGGCACAGTCAGAATATTTGTGGTGAGACCATTCGTGGTGCTGGTGGTGGGGCTGTCCTGTGTATTGAAGGATGGTTAGCAGCATCTGTGGTCTCCATCCTCTAGGTGCCATTCTACCCTCCCTGCTATGGCTACCCCAGACGTCTCCAGATGGTTTCAAATAATGTGGGGCAAGGGAGCGGTACGTGAGCAAAACCACCCCAGTTGAGAGCCATTGGTCCACACTTGTATAAATGTTTGAGGGTGAGAGTGTCGAGCTTGGGTCCCTGCTGTACCCTTTATGAGCAATGCGGTCTTGGAAAATTAATACTACTCCAGGGGCCTCAGTTTTCTCATCTATAAAATGGAGATAAATGAGATACACTTTGATAGGAAGGTTATATGGGATTCACCGAGATAATAAGACAGTACATGGAAAATGCTGCGCATAGCATTTATTTATTTTAATTTTTTTTTAAGACAGAGTCTTACTCTGTTGCCCAGGTTGGAGTGCAGTGGCATGATCTCCGCTCACTGCAATCTCCACCTCCTGGGTTCAAGTGATTCTCCTGCCTCAGGCTACCGAGTAACTGGGACTACAGGCGCGCGCCATCATGCCCATTTAATTTTTGAATTTTTAGTAGAGACGGGGCTTCACCATGTTGGCCAGGATAGTCCGATCTCTTGACCTCGTGATCTGCCCGCCTCGGCCTTCCCAAGTGCTGGGATTACAGGCGTGAGCCACCGTGCCTGGCCAAACATAAACTTACTTTCTTACCTCTTCTGCTGAACTCTATTTGCTTCTTTTCCCATACGTCTTTATCCAGAAGAGCTTTTAGCAACAAAGTTACCCAATGCCCTTCCCTAGTCTCTCCTTGCAACTGGCTCTCAGCAGGGGGTGGGAGGAAATTCTTGACAGAACCAATTTACATGACTGTTTTGGGGACCCATTCTAGTCCCAGGAGGTGTTTGCACTTTTAAATTGGTTACTAGTGTCAGAATGTTTCATGAGTAAGAGCCCAGGCTCTATGTCGGATGCCCTGAATTTGAATCTCAGCATTGCCGCTTTGTATATAACCAGAGGGGATGGATTTGGGGACCCAATGGACCTACCGTGACATGAACTTGCACCAACATTCACCTGACCTCCAAAATGCCTATTCTGACTGGTAGAACCTAGTCTCGCCCTAGTGCCAGTTCAGAGCCTGTGTCCAGTGATCCTGCACAGGTCTCATTAGTTCCTTTTCTCCTGTTCAGTCATCCTGGCGAAAGGCTGTGTATTCCCTTGGGGGCAGGTTGGGAGAAAGACTGACAGTATAAATTTTTGGCAGTGGAGCAGAGTCCTTTCTGGAGGGGACCTGGCTTCTCATTCAGACAAGGGACTCCAGGTCTGTGAACTGGCTTATGTCTGGAAATTGACTGGGGACTGTGACTCTGTTTTTATGATTCAGATTAGACTTCTGCTCACTTGACCTAGAGCTCTTCTGCAAACACAGATCAAGTGAAATGTGGCAGGCTTCTTATCTATTTCACTTCTAGGAAAGCCACGATCAGCAGGCACCATAGGTCGCTGGGAGTCAGGCTATTCTGGTTGCAGCTTTGACTCTGCTGTCTTTTATGATAACTGCATCTACCTTGCCTTTGGGGATTGAGTGCTCTGATCACTTGGCCCCAGCCCCTGTAGTGTGCGTATGTCACTTACCCTCTTTATACCTCAGTCTCCTCCTCTATAAAATGGGCATCCTCATTGCACCCACCCCCAGGGCTGCTGTGAGGTATAGATGCATTAGCATATGGAAAGTAATAGAAGAGGGTCTCAAAGTCCATGTGTCGTTATCAGAATTATTTCATGATGGGGAGAGCTGGAGGAGAGAGGAAGGTGCTGAGCAGACCCACGTGCTCTCCCACCAGTGTTTCCTGAGCACCTACTATGTGCTGCCCACTGTGAGAGCTGTTAGGGTTGAAATAGGGAGCACAGCAGGGTAGGGGCTGCCATCAGGAGCTTAGTGGGGAGACCATTGTGCAACCTGGTTCCAGCGCTTGGGGTGGGGAAGCTCAGGGAGTTCAGGGGCCTAGGATCCAGGGCAGAATCATGGAAAGGACATAACCTCCCCAGCCTCTCCTGCCTCCATTGCCTCCCTGGCCTCCTCTGCTTCCCTGGCCTCTCCTACCTTCCTGGCTTCCCCTTCCACCCCGGCCTCCCCAGTCTCCCCTGTCTCTCCTGCTTTTGAGGTGGGCCAGGAGCTGCTAGTGCTCACTTAGCCTGTCCTGGGCTCTTGGTGTAGCACCTCAATGTCCAGAAAATACCCCCGAGTTCAGCTCATCACACAGTCAAGGAAGGAGCTCCACACTGACACTAAGGGTGCATCCTGGGCTCATTCATCAGGGCATGCCTCCAAAATATTTCTCCACGTCTCCTCCCTTTGCCCACCTGCATTGTCTCTGTGCCTGAGCCCCGGCTGGGGGCCTGCAAGGATCCCCTATCTCCTCTGCCCCTGCACAGCTGGGTCCCAGTCAATCTGTCTGCCCACCACACCTTCCTCCCCTTGCCCACCATGCTCCAGCCCCACAGTCCTCTTTCTGCTTCTTTCCCAGCCTCTGGGCTTTTGCACACGCTGTTCCCTCTGCCTGAACACCCTCCACTGGGCTGAGAACAACTCTCCGAGACCTCTCTCAGCTGTTGCTTCCTTTGGAACAGCCGCTGCTGCTGTCACTTTCCCAGCTCCAAGACCTGCTGAGCCTCCTGTCTTTTTCAGTTCCCATGCCCCCAGCACTTCTCCTTGGCCTCCTTTGGCCCAATTGACAATGTCCATTCTCAATGCCTTCCCACCCAGCGCTGAGCCCCACTGGGTGAAGGCAATGCCTGTCATGTTCTCCACAATATCCCCTCCCCCATCACCACACCTGGTCCACAGTGATGCTCAAAAAAGGTCTGTTGGTAGGCAATGGGAAGGTGCATTCATGTCATCCTGCAGGCGGAATTCTCCACGAGTTTTGAGCAGCCTCGGGTTTCCCACCACCTCCAAATCATGGAAGACACACGGTAAGAGCAAAGACAAGGTGGCTGTGGCCGATGTCCACCCTCTCGGGGCTTCCCTTCTCTTCTCTCCTCCTTGGGCAGGGAGACCATCGGGGTGCAACCTGGCTGGGGTGGGGAGGAGGTGCAGGGCCTGGCCAGAGCGGGTCTGGCCACAGGCAGGGGACAGCGACTGCCTGGGCGGGGGCAGGTGAGTGCAGCGCAGGCCAGGGCCCGGCTTCTCCGCGGTGCGCGCGAGCGGCCAGCAGAGGGCGCGAGAGCCAGGAGCGGCCCGCGTAGGAGCCCGAGCCGGCCGCTATGCCCAGCCCCTCTCCGGGCGGACCCACCGAGCCCGCGCTCAGACGCCCCAGCTCCGCCGAGAGGCCGCTCGCGCCGTATCCTTCCTCTTCTCCAGGTGCAGGCAGAGCCCCCCAGCCGTGGCCAGCCCTTCCGGCAGCTCGGAAGCCACTGGCAAGCCCCGAGGCAGGGATGGCCGGCCCAGGAGGGAGGAGGACGACGTCCCTCCCGAAGAGAAGAGGCTGCGGCTGTAGCTGGAGGGGGGAAGCGCAGAACCCGAGGACTGCGAGGACGGGGAGGACGCGCCGCGGCCAGGCAGGGAGGAGACCGGCACCCAGACAGGTGGCGAAGGCAGAGGAGTAAGTGACGCGGGCGCCGGGGTCCGGGGGTGCCGGGGGCGCCGGTAGGGGCGGCGGGAGGCTCAGTGGCCGGCCCCGGGTTGAAGTTGGTATTTTAGCGGCAACTCCGAAGGGCGCGGAGTGACAGCGCGTGACGGCCTCCGAGACGCCAGCTGCCGCTTCTCGGCTGTGTGGCTTTGACTTCCTGATTCTCCCACGACGTCCCTGGCTGGGAGACCCGCTGGACTCTGCGGCTGGCCAAAAAGAGAGGGGCAGCCCCGCGTCCTGGGGGCCCCTAGCAGGGGAAGTGGCGGTTGTTGCGCTGGGCATCCTGTCTGGGGCATCTGTCTGGGACCCTGTCGGTGCCTCTCACCTGGCGAGGGGCCTGTGGTGGGGGTAGGGGGGAAGTCCCTGGCGCCAGGCTTGGCCAAGCCCTGCTCTGCTGGACTGCGGGCTGGCGGCGCTTACCCAGCTCCTCACCCGTCCCGCATCTTCCTGTTTTTCTTCCCTTTCTGGTTGGGCAGCAAGAGTTGAGAGGAGGCAGATGGCTTCCACCCCAGAAATCGCTCTCCTCTTTCCATCCCTACAGAGAGGGACAGAGAGGCAAAGTTCCTTGCATCCCCGGGGCGCTGTCCCTGTGAGCTCCCGGTGTCCTGCAAACGTTGGCCCCTGAATCACCGGGCCAGTGTGTGTGGGATGGGGCTGCATAGCCAGGCTGGCCTCCTGGGGTTCACTTTCGGCTTTCCTACCCCAACTCTTCCTGTGTGGCTTTGCTGGCCTTCCACTGCGGAGGCATGTGGGTTTGGAGGGCAGATGAGGGCCCGCTGGAGAACTGTACCCCTCAGTGAGGGCCGCCACCTTGATGGTTTTTAATGGATAATGGGGTTGACCTCTTTGTTCCTTCCACATGTTTTTATGTTTGACCATTTGCTCAGCTGAGCTTGTTTTAATAATTGGATTCATGGTTAATGAGCCCCACATGGGAGAGAGGGCGGTCTTCATTCTGAACCCATTTAGGCAGCATGGGCAGCCCTCCTCGCCGTGGGCGGCATCAGAGCCCCCCTGCCCAGTCTTGGGGTTGCTCCTGGATGCTGTCTGGGAGGCTTGCTCATGGTGACATCCTCTTCTCCCCGTCCACGTTACCGCATTCAGAGCTTGGGTCACCTGGACACTGAACTCAGGTGAATTTTCTCTGAGATCCCGGGAGAAGGAGGACAGTTCTTTGGAAGGTTTTCCAGGGCCGATCACGGAAAGGATGAGAAGGGAGAGGTCCTGGTTGGGGACACAATTACGGTGGCAGTGTAACGCCGGGAAACTTTATTGCATGAAGTCCCTCTCACTCCCTCTACCTCCCTCTTTTACGTGGACTCTGCCAAAGACCAGGATTCCAGAATGCGGTGGAGTGACCAAGTGTAGTGAGACCTTTGGAACGCGATTCTGGAGCCAGGCGGCTGGGGTTTGCATCCTGGTTCTGCCCCTCCTTAGCTGGCTGACATGGCACAAGCCACTTACCCTCTCTGAGCCTTACTGTCTTCAGTGGCAAATGGATCTGTCAACAGGCTCCATTGCCTGGGGTTGTTGCTGCTGAGATTAAGGGAAGCTCGTCCATAGAAGCACTTAGCGTTGTGCCTGGCACATAGTGTATGGTGGATAAGTGGGACTTAGGACTAAAACTCATGCCTTGGTGTGTTTTTGCAGTGATGTTTTGTTCTGGAGTACGTCACAAGAGACAAGGTCCTTGGCTGGGCATGGTGGCTGAAGCCAATAATCCCAGCACTTTGAGAGGCCGAAAGGGGAGGATCACTTGAGCCCAGGAGTTTAAGACCAGCCTGGGCAACAGGGTGAAGCCTCATATCTACCAAAAAAAAAAAAAAAAAAAAAGGCAGTTATGGTGGTGAGTGCCTGCAGTCTCAAGTACTTGGGAGGCTGAGGTGGGAGGATTGCTAGAGCCTAGAAGGTCAGGCTGCAGTGAGCTGTGATCATGCCACTGCACTCCAGCCTGGTTGACAAAGTGAGACCGTTTCAAGGAAAAGAGAGAGAGACAGACCCACAAAAGTCTTAAGCCAGAATCTCCATGTTAAAATGCTTTCTGGAGGCTAAAAGGATGATATGTTGATAATGAAATGTTTAAAAGGCAGAAACCCCACTGAATTGTTTGGTCCACAGAGGGAAATGGGAATCGCATGACCTGAAGGATGATGGAGGAACTGAACAGAAACCATCCTTGTTTCCTGAATCTGAACATGGCACCCTCTTTTCACGGTGCCTGTATCTGCTCAGTCCGGCGGCCCCTTGAAAAGAGGGAATCTTGATTTTCAAACTTAAAATTTGGCCCAAAGCCCACTGCTGCCCACAATGCCCGCCAGACACATTCCTCTTCCCTTTTAGTTCCTATGGGAATACTCTCTTTGAAGAACCCATGAAGCAGTGTCAGGCTGGTGTGAGGATCAGCAGTGATTTCTTTGAGGAGGAGAGCCCGTTTCTTCACTCACAGGCCATGTCTGAGTGGATCAAGAAGAACAGAGTGCCCTTTTATGAGATTTTGTCTGCGTAGACCACTAGCTTGGTAAAAATGTCAAAACCATCCTCGTTCTTTAATAACAGATTATTTTGGACTTTTCTCTGCAAGAAGCAGCATGGGCATTCAGATGCTTTTAAGGATAAAATGTTCTTTCTCATCACCAGGCCTGGTGTTCTGGATGGCTGAGGTTTTAATGTGACTTGGTGTCCCTTGGAGTTGCTTCCAGGCAGTGCTCTTGTGGTTGGGTCGCAAGGGGTTGCTTTATTCGGTGGTGGCTAGAGGATGTTTTAGCAGATAAATCGGGACCCCAGGAGCCCCTGAGTGTCAAGTCCTGCTACAGGGCATGTGTTTATGGTGGGGAGGTGGGGGTGGGGGTGGAGGATGGGGGCATTGATTTCCTCCCAATATCAGAAGTTTCACAGGCTTCTTGTGTATCCACAAACACCCACCCCATTGAGAAGTCCTAGAAAATCTGCCCCTCCCCAAGCCTTTATTGACCGCTTGTGAATGATACCAGGGTGTGTCTGACCCACAGCTCCTGCTGGAGAGAGAGAAAAGTCTCTCCTAGGTATTTGGTTGTCAACCTCAACCGCTTGCTGAGCCTTCCCCAAGACCAGGCACCTTGGCAGAGATTTCTGGGTTGTCAGGCAGAACCGAGCATTCGAGGGTGATAACTCACTGGAGTCCCTGAAATCCCTGATGGATGCACCAGGTAAAAGCATCCAGGGTTGAAACCAGATCAGGAAGGTTATTGTCAGCCTGGGGCTCCTGTAGAGGTGCATCCACGTTGCAGGTATTTTCCTTCTTGCTGAGGAGAAACCTGGATTTCTCAGCTTTGGCACCGTCACAACATTTGGGGTGAGACCATTCGTGGTGGTGGTGGGGGGGCATCCTGTGTATTGTAGGACGGTTAGCAGCATCTGTGGTCTCCATCCTCTAGGTGCCATTCTACCCTCCCAGTTATGGCTACCCCAGATGTCTCCAGATGGTTTCAATGCTGTGGGGCAAGGGAGTGGTATGTGAGCAAAACCACCCCAGTTGAGAGCCATTGGTCTACACTTGTATAAATGTTTGAGGGTGAGAGTGTCGACCTTGGGTCCCTGCTGTACCCTTTATGAGCAATGCTGTCTTGGAAAGTTAATAGTACTCCAGGGGCCTCAGTTTTCTCATCTATAAAATGGAGATAAATGAGATACACTTTCATAGGAAGGTTATATGGGATTTACTGAGATAATAAGACAGTACATGGAAAATACTGGGCATAGCCTTTATTTATTTAATTTTTTTTTAAGACAGAGTCTTACTCTGTTGCCCAGGCTGGAGTACAGTGGCATGATCTCTGCTCACTGCAACCTCCACGTCCTGGGCTCAAGTGATTCTCCTGCCTCAGCCTCCAGAGTAGCTGGGATTACAGGTGCCCACCACCACACCTGGCTAATTTTTGTATTTTTAGTAGAGATGGGGTTTCACCATGTTGGGCAGGCTGATCTCAAACTTCTAACCTCAGGTGATCCGCCTGCCTCGGCCTCCCAAGTTGCTGAGATCACAGGTGTGAGCCAGCACACTGGGCTTGTCATCGCATTGTAACACAGACAAAGCACAAAATACGTGGACAATATCTTTTTACATTTGGCTTGTCTAGACTCCATCCTCCATCCCCTCGTGCACTGGTGTGGTGCAGACCAGAATATCGCTCACCTAGACTGCAGAGTGGATTTGGGTGGCATCTTGGCTTTCTGCACAAGACTTGCCTGCTCCCCACCACATCCCCCTGGTTCTCAGGGTTCAGGATTCCAGGAGGCCGGGATGTGGGTAGGCAGGTCAGGTGGCCCACCCAGTTCACTCTCACACTGGGGACCTGCAGAGCCAGCTCCCTGAGACAGGGTGTTTTGACCAACATCTGGTTTTTTTGATTTCCATTTGAGCACAGCTGGACTACACAGGCTGAAGCTCTCTCTGCCGAGATATAGATATTTCCCTGGCAATGATCTTTCAAGTTGACATGAAGACATGGCCATCCGCTGGAACATCGTGGGTCTGCCGTAGCGCTCTTGTAATTTGTGAGGCAGGCTCCTGATGAATGCAGTGCGTAAGTGGGAAATGGTAGGATGTTCTCCCATCCTCCCCTTGCCGAAAGTGCTGCCTGCGCAGGTTGGTGGACGGTCCTTTGAGCAGGAAGAAGACACGGAGCACATTCCTGTTAGCTATGACAGAGAGGGGCAGGGTACACACTGGACATTTCAAGCCCCTGTAGAGAAGCAAGTCTTACTGTGCTGGGAGTTCTTGTGGAGTGGGGGCTGTGTTGCCCTGGGCTTTAATTATTTCAGGAACATTTAACCACAGGGCCAGCAGGCTGGATCTTGATATGTGTTTCTTAGTTGGAAAGATTTTGGACCATAGAGAAATGTCTTCTCAATTCTTTTAATTTCATTAAGGTGGTCATTTTTCTTCTTGTGGCCTCTGGAATGTGACACAGAACTCAAGGGACAGGAAGGAGATGAGTTGGAGGCTGGGACAGGGGTCCCTGCCAGGGATGCTGGTGACTCACGTGACAGTGTTGATGTGTGGAGTCCGGTGCCTGGTTTGGGGAATGTTCGTGGGATATGTTCCAAAGGACTGACAGACCTATCAGGTACTGGAGGTGAATGGTCAAGTCTGATCTCAGGGCTGACAGTGTCAGGCAAGGACAGGAAGTTGGCATTGGTCTCATTGGCTGAGGTTGTTGGGACCCAGGGGGCAATGTGTGCCAGGACAGATGGGTCTGGGGCTAGGAAGGCAGGTTTGGGCTGGCGACCCGGGCATGGGAGGCATCCCAGGTGGACAGTGGTTGAGGCTGTGGAAATGACGGCGATTGCCTGGGATGAGAGTGGAGACAGACAAGATGGAGGTTTTGCTTTAAGCCTGGGGAGCCCACCTCCCAGGTTCAAGCGATTCTCCTGCCTCAGCTTCCCAAGTAGCTGGGAATGCAGGTGCGTACCACCATGCCTGACTAACTTTTGTATTTTTAGTAGAGATGAGGTTTGGCCAGGCTGGTCTCAAACTCCTGACCTCAAGTGATCGGCCCACCTTGGCCTCCCAAATTGCTGGGATTACAGGCATGAGCCACCATGCCTGACCATTTTTAAATATTAATTTTTATGCAATATTTTCAAACACATTTTACTGTACATTGGAAAAGTCAATCATGATTTGAAAACTTTATAAAAATCTAATCAAATATCAATTAACCATTTAATTGTGGATAAGTAAGGAGACTATTTTGACCAAAACATGTTAGAACAATTACCACTTATAGAAATAATCTGTGTTTTAATGTTTTAGTTGAATTAAACAATCTTTTATATTCTGTCCAGGTGCAGTGGTTCACACCTGTAATCCCAGCACTTTGGGAGGCCGAGGCTGGCGGATCACCTAAGGTCAGGAGTTCGAGACCAGCCTGGTCAACATGGCAAAACTGTCTCTACCAAAAATACAGAAATTAGCCAGGTGTGATGGCACACACCTGTAATCCCAGCTACTTGGGAGGCTGAGGCAGGAGAATCGTTTGCACCTGGGAGACAGAGGTTGCAGTCAGCCAAGATTGAACCACTGTACTTCAGCCAGCCTGGGTGACAGAGCGAGACTCTGTTTCAAAAATAAATAAATAAATAAAATAGAATTCTGAATTTTATTTTTAATAATTATTTTTGTAAAGAGAATGTCTTGTTTTTTGGAGTTGTTGAATTTATTGAATTGGCAAAAATTATGTACAAGAGGGTATACAACATGATGTGATTGAGGTATGTATACATTATGAAATGGCTAAATCAAGCTAAATAACATATCACCTCCCAGACTTACTTTTTGGGGTGAGAACACTTAAACAATCTACTCTCTTAGTGATTTCCAAGTGTATGATATGTTGTTATTAACTATAGGTACCTTGTTGTCCCATGGATCTCCTGAACTTATTCTTCTTCTCTAAAAATGACATTCTGTGTCCTTTGGCATCTGCCCACTTCCCCACCCTGGCAACCATCATTCTACTCTGCTTCTGTGAATTCAACTTTTTTCTTCTCTTTTTTTTTCTTTTTTTTGAGAAAATCTCCTTCTATTGCCCAGGCTGTAGTGCAGGGTTGTGATCATGGCTCACTGCAGCCTTGACGTCCCAAGTTCAATCAATCCTTCCACCTCAGCCTCCTGAGTATCTGGGAGTACAGGCATACACTACCATGCTCCACTAATTTTTGTATTTTTTGTAGAGATGGGGTATTGCTATGTTATGCAGGCTGGTCTCGAACTCCTGGGCTCAAGCAATCTGCTGGTCTCAGCCTCCCAAAGTGCTGTGATTACAGGCGTGAGCCACCATGCCTGGCCGAGTTCAACTTTTTTAGATTCCACATGTAAGTGAGATCATGTGGTATTTGTCGTTCTGTGCCTGGCTTATTTCACTTAACATAATATCCTCCAGGCTCATCCATGTTGTCTCAAATGGCAGGATTTCCTTCTTTTTGAAGGCTGAATAGTATTCCATTGTGTACATACACCACATTGTTGCTGGAAGTTTAATGGAGGCCAGTTGGGGGAGAATGGGGAGAAGATTCACTCTAAGTCTAGATGCTCCAGTACCCACCCAGGATGTGTGCAAGGAAGTGCAGGATGCTCCTGGTCCTGCAAACTGTGGTTTGTGGGACTCCAAAGCCCCTATCCTTCCACGATGCTTTCTGTCCTGTTATCACATTTCCTTGGAGGAGAACCCAGCCTTGGTGGAGAGCCCTGCTCTGGCTTTGTCCCTCGGCATGAGATGGCGAAGGATGGTGCCGCTGGGAGACCCTCACATCTGCACACTGGGGGCTGTTTGCCTTCTCCATTCCTCCTTCAAGTATCTGAGCAGCTCCTGTGTGCCAGCTGCTGGTCTACAAGATGGATGGGTCCTTGGAGATCACCCTGTAGCAGAGGAGGCAGGCTATAGCCCACAGGCCAGAACCAGCCCCCTGCCTGTTCACACAAATAAAGTTTTATTGGAACACAGCCACACCCATTTCAGTACCTATTGTCTGTGGCTGCTTTCCTGCTACAATGGAGAGTTGAATATTTGGGACAGAGACCTATGGCCTGCAAAGCTCAACTATTTACCATCTGGCCCTGGAGAGAAAGGAAAAAAATGCTGATCCTTGTACCCTGACAGTCTTAGGTTAAGAGGACTTCGTACCACTCTGACGTCCCAGGCGGCCATGAGTCCAGCCACCCTTGAAATGTACACAAGTCTGGGCTGAGGTTGCAGCAGGTGAGGCCCAATTTTGCAGGTCTTTGGTATCAGGGGCACAACCCAGGATTTTGTGTGGGGTTTCTTCCTCACTGTGGCTGGGCGCTGGGCAAGGGTGCTTTCTGATTTTTGTATGGGGAAGAGAAAGGAGGGAGGAAATGGCAACTTGTTGCCCTGTTCTAACATTTTCCTAAGATGGGTCTCCAGGCCAGGGCTTGGGATCTCACCTTGCACAGCTTACAAAACCCAGTGAGGCCGGCTGTCTTGGCGCTGCCACTCTGAGGGATGGAGCCCGCAAATGACTAGGAAGGGAGATAAAAGAATGGTTTCTGCAAGCACAAGAAGTGGCGTTATTGAAATTAACATTTCCCCCAAGTTTTACAATGTCTAGGCATGCATATTTAAGTGTCTGCCTCAAAAGCTCATGCTAATAAGGAGATGGTGCATTTAATTTCCTTTTTTTGTTCTCTGAGCAACATGCAGCTTCCTGCACAGCCCTCCTTGCAGGCAACTGCACTGAGGTGACAGTCCTCCAGGCTGCCAGCACAGATCCCCAGGGCCTCTGAGAGCCCTGTATTCTGGGGGCAGTCTTTCACTTTCTATTCGGCCCCAGCTGGAAGGGGGCAGTTTAACCACAGCCCAGCACAGGTCTCCCGCCTTAGCTTCTCTAAGGAGTCTGGCTCCTTCTGACCCTCTAGACCTCACCAGCTGAGGATCAGAGCCCCGGGGCAGGAGCCAGGGCCAGGGGGCATTGGGGGGTGGTTTGAGAGTGCAGCTCTGGAGGGGGGCAGTGCGGGCCCAGGAAAAGCTGCTCAGGGGAGACTGCAAAGAGATGGCAGAGTTAGGACAAGAGGGTCGGGCATGGTGGCTCACATCTGTAATCCCAGCACTTTGGGAGGCCGAGGTGGGCGGATCACCTGAGGCCAGGAGTTTGAGACCAGACTGGCCAATATGGTGAAAACCTGTCTCTACTAAAAATACAATAATTAGCCGGACATGGTGACACCTATAATCCCAGCTACTCGGGAAGCTGAGCCACGAGAATTGCTTGAACCCGGAAGGTGGAGGTTGTAGTGAGCTGAGATTGTGCCACTGTACTCCAGCCTGGGCAACAGAGCAAGATTCCATCTCAAAAAAAAAAAAAAAAAAAAAAAAAATAGGACAGGAGGAGGAGGGAAGAGAAGGGAGCTGTGGGGCAGCGGCCAGGACCTTAAAGGCACAGAAGAGGAAGCTTGGATTTCCAATTCCAAAGGACATGAGGAAAATTCACACACCTTTATTTAACCTGCTCCAGGTGAGGCTGGGCTTTGTGTATTTTCCTTGTTTTACTTTTCCTTGTGTTCAGGCTGTTGTAGAAACAGGTACACAGGGGCTCTGTGTGGTGCCATGTTCTAGTTGCCTTCAGGAAGCATGTGGTGCCCTGGTTTCCTTGGCTTCGTGTCCCCCTTTCCTCCTGCCACCCCTGACTCTGCCCCCCACCTTGTCCCTCAGAACATCTTCCTGGAAGGGCCTGGCCAGGGCTTGTGTCCTTGCTAGTCTCTGGGGAGGAAGACTCTGTGGCTTGAAAGGCTGTCGGCTTAAGTTGCAAGGTGTAGGTGCCTGGGAGGGCATGTGCACGGCCCTCTTGACTGATCCATTCATGTTTTCCTTTTTTGACTCCGTTCTATGTTGTCCTGATGGAGGGGTAAGCCCCTGCCTTCTGCCTTTCCTGCCTTGGACTCTTGCAATTGGGCCAGATGAGAGGGTCCATGTGGTCTGAGAATTCAAGCAATGCAGGCCAGGCGTGGTGGCTCACACCTGTAATCCCAGGACTTTTGGAGGCTAAGGTGGGCAGGCCAGGAGTTTGAGACCAGGTGGCCAAAATAGTGAAACCCTGTCTCTACAAAAAATACAAAAGTTAGTCGGGCTTGGTGGTGCATGCCTGTAATCCTAGTTATTTGGGAGGCTGAAGCAAGAGAATCCCTTGAACTCAGAAGGAGCAGGTTGCAGTGAGGAGCAGGTTGCAATGAGGAGGAGGTTGCAGTGAGGAGGAGGTTGTAGTGAAGAGCAGGTTGCAGTGAGGAGGAGGTTGCAGTGAGGAGGAGGTCGCAGTAAGGAGGAGGTTGCAGTGAGGAGGAGGTCGCAGTAAGGAGGAGGTTGCAGTGAGGAGGAGGTTGTAGTGAGGAGCAGGTTGCAGTGAGGAGGAGGTTGCAGTGAGGAGGAGGTCGCAGTGAGGAGGAGGTCGCAGTGAGGAGGAGGTCGCAGTGAGGAGGAGGTCGCAGTGAGGAGGAGGTTGCAGTGAGGAGGAGGTCGCAGTGAGGAGGTCGCAGTGAGAAGGAGGTTGCACTGAGGAGGAGGTTGTAGTGAGGAGGAGGTTGCGGTGAGGAGGAGGTTGCAGTGAGCCGAGATTGTGTCCCTGGACTCCAGACTGGGCAATAGAGCGAGACTATGTCTCCAAAAAAAAAAAAAATATATATATATATATAGAAAACAGAAAGCAAAACTACCTCTTGATTTGCTTTTCTTGATCTTGCATCTCAGAGGTAACACTGGGAAGGGTTGGGGTATACCTCTCCCCACCTTTTTCTTTGATTTCTTTTTATTTTTTATTCTACGTTCTGAGATACATGTGCAGAATGTGCAGGTTTGTTACATAGATATACATGTGCCATGGTGGTTTGCTGCACCTATCAACCCGTCATCTAGGTTTTAAGCCCCGCATGCATTAGGTATTTGACCTAACGCTCCCCCTCGCCTTGTCCCCCACCCCCGATGGGCCCCGGTGTGTGATATTCCCCTCCCTGTGTCCATGTGTTCTCATTGTTCAACTCCCACTTATGAGTGAGAACACACCGTGTTTGGTTTTCTGTTTCTGTCCACAGCTTTTTCCTCTGTGCACACAAGCACATGTATTTGCACATAAGTGTTTATTGTAATCTTTTTAAAAAAGTAAAATGCAATAATGCTATATTTATTCTTTGGAAAGCCTGTTTTTCAGGCAGCATGTCTTTGACATTGTCTCACGTTGGAACCTGGGTACCACCTTCTTCTCCCTGCAGTTATTCTGACGTGTGGATGTACCACGCTTCGTTTAACCAGCCCTGCACCGATACGTCTTTGGAGGGTTTCCGCCTTTTCCCAATCACAGACGGTGTTCTGATGAATTTCCTTACACACATCACTTGGTGCTCTGTGCCTGCATTTCTGTGAGATGTTCCTGGAGGTGGGCTGTCTAGGTCAGAGGGGGATCTGTGCTCAATTTGCATCCTGTGCAAAACTCCATCCGGTCATCCAGCTTCCCAAGGGCTCACATGGTACTGTCCTCTGTAGACATCATCTTCTGCAGATGATGGCATGACAGCCCCTCTTTCTTTTACTCACACCAGTCTGCACCCTGGTGTCCTGGGGGGTCCAGCCCCTACCTGCTTGTCTGCCTCCACCCCACAGTGCCCCCAGCCCCTGCTAACAGGGACACTGGCTTCTGAGCTCTGGCAGACTGCCTCACTCTGGAGAAGTTTGCTTTCTCAAACATTCCTGGCAATGTTACTGCAAATCTCGAGGCCTGCATTTGCCTTCTTCAGGCCTCAGTTTCCTCAAAAGTAAAATGGGGATAATGTGATGCTACTGTCTGCATCCTAGAGCTGCCATGAGGTTTCAGTGAGATCACTGTTGAGAGCACGTTCATAGCGCCGGCCTTGTGCGCAGTCAGCACGTGTGGGGCAGGGCTGTTGCTGATAGGTGGTTGACTGTCATTGCTAGACTGTGGCTTTACCAGGGTCAATGTCTTTAGTGCCGAGCCCAGAGCCACCCCTAGTACCTGCTGTGATAATAGAGTGATTGAGTGTCAGGGTCAGAGACTGGGGCAATGGCAGCAGAAACAGAGGAAAGAAGTGGGGCTTCTAATAGTTCCTGCACCAGTGGCCTTTGAGATGAAACCTTCTTGCCAAGGTCTGGGGCTGTGCTGTGTGTTCTAGACCCGAGACTGGAAGCTAGGCCTGGCTACAGTCCTAGCTGAGCTGGGGAATTGCAGGACAGCATCCTGCTTCATTAGGACACCTCCAAGCCCAGCTTAGACGTGGATTCCAGGTGACCCCCTGTTTACTCTGAGCCCAGACAGAGGACAGAAAAGTGTGCAAGGGTCTGGACCCTCATCACAGCCGTTGACTCTGTAAGGCATATGGGTTTGTGCACGTGTGTGAGCACGGCCGTGTCTTCTCTGTGAGTTTCAAGGTCGAGGTTGTGTTTATGCAGGGTTAGGCTTGCCAGGTAAAATACAGGAGGTCCAATTAAACCTGAATTTCTCATTAACCTTTTTTTTTTTTTTTTTTTTTTTTGGTGCAAATATATCCCATGCAATATTTGGGACCTGCTTACTCTAAAAAATGATTTGTTGTTTATCTGAAATTCAAGTTAAACTGGCATCCTGTCTTTTCACTTGCTATGTATGAGAGTTCCGTGTGGGGGTTATCAGTGTGCATTTGTGAGTTCCCACGTGAAGGACTCTCTCCAAGTGTCTGTAGGTGCCAGGATGGAGATGGACAGAGAAGATCCTCTTGGGCTGCTTTAGTGGCACCTAGAGGCTGTGGGGTTGGACACTTCAGCCCCAGGGACCTGGGCAGCACTGTCCAGCACTTGCCTGCTCCTGTCTTCTCCACGGGGGCTGACTTCCCTGACATCTCTCTCCAAATACGGTGGCAAGAGCTATCCCATCTGCCCCCATCTGGAGCTCGGCATCCCAGCCAGACAAGATGGCAAAGTGTGCAGATGGTTGCAAAGCTTTCCCCAGCTCCTTCTGCAAGGGGCCTGCAGATGAAAGGGAAGCCCTCATCCTCACCACCTCCCCCTTCCAGAAAACCCAGGCAACAGCCACCTCTGAATGCTGCTTTAGAAGCTTCTCCCTCCTGGTGATTAAACCACCCCAAACAATAAAGCACTGCATTTCCACCATAGGCTTGTTCACATGCACGCAGCCAGTTGTCTTGGATCCGCCCCTGTGCCTGATTCATCAGGGTGAGGGGTTCTCCTCTGAGGTGCTTGCAAAGAGCTGCTTAATTTTCATATGAAAGACTCTCTGTAGAAACCAGGCCCAGCTTTGGAAGAAAGCCCTTTCTCCCCCTTTAGCAAATTCGGTGTCATTTTTTTTTCTTTTTTGAGACGGAGTTTCACTTTTGTTGCGCAGGCTGGAGTGCAATGGTGCAATCTCAGTTCACTGCAGTCTCTGCCTCCTTGGTTCAAACGATTCTCCTGCCTCAGCCTCCTGAGTAGCTGGGACTACAGGCACCCACAACCACACCCAGCTAAATTTTTTTTTGTATTTTTAGTAGAGAGGGAGTTTCACCATGTTGGTCAGGTTGGTCTTGAACTCCTGACCTCAGGTGATCCACCTCGGCCTCCCAAAGTGCTGGGATTACAGGCATGAGCCACCATGCCTGGCTGGAATTCTGTGTCATTCTGCATACTTATCATGACTTCAAGCATCCAGGACTCTGTCCTGGGTATCCTGAGCCTGAGGGTGTATGTGTGTCCAGCTGGCTTGGAGGTTGTCTACAGACAGGTTGAACTTGGCCTCTGAATGCATGGCAGCCCCATGTGGGAAATACCACCAAGGAACCTCATCGTGTGCTTTTAGGAGATAGTTTCTATTTAGTAATTGCTGAATCTGTTACAGACAGGGTCTCGATTTCTTGCAAGTCCTGTATGAGGTCGGTGCTGTGATTATCCATATTTTCACTTGCTCTCTCTGGCCTCTTTCAGGCTCTTGCACTTCCTTTGTTTTCTTTCTGCCATAGGGTCTTTGCACATCCTGCTCTTTCTGCCTGAAAAATTTTCCCTCTCCCTGCTTCTTCACCTGGTCACGGTCTCATCTGACACTGGAGTCACTACATCCTCAGGGACTTCTGGCCACACTGACTCAGTCCCAGTAACCCCCTGTTATCTGCTTTCATGACACCAGCTGCCTCTCTGTGGTAGAAACTAGCTCAGCTACGGCTTCCTATTTCTCTGCGTGTCATCCTTCCCCTTCAAGACTGTGGTCACCATAAGGGCCAGGGACGTGCCTGTTCTGATTCTCATTTGTGTCTCTGGTGTTTAGTATATGCTCACCTAGAATTTGATTAATGAATGACAACATACCCATTTTACAGATGAGAAAGTTGAGGCTCGGAAACATTATGTAACTTGCTCAGTATTAGATAGTGATGGTTTGTGGTCATCTGGCCAGTCGCTGGGTGCACACTCTTAACCACTTCACTATGGTTCTTCTCTCATGGTAGCTCTCCAACAGCAGGAGTGAGAGACAAGTTTAGGACAGGAGTAACCAGAATCTCAGGGCTTATCCTAGAAGGTGGTGTCAGGAACATACTTGCCTATGGGCCTTCTTACTGTATTGCATAAAATACCCAGTTTTTCTGACTCACCTTTAGTAAAGACCTTAGCAATATTTGAAGCACAGTTGTCAGTAGGAAAGGGTGGATGTTTATACTTTTTTAAAAAGGAGTCTATATCATATTTATCTTGTGGTCTGCCATGCCCCCCGATCTTCTTCAGCTTCAGTTATGCAAAATTCACACTTCTTCTCTTGACTGCCTCTCTCTTACCTGTTCAGTTTATTTTCTGTGTTCGAGATTGCTTAGAATTTTTCCCCATTACTACAGCCTGCTTCCCAACTGCATCCCCCACCCAGCTTGTTCTGGATTTTGTCAACAACAGTTCCAGCGTTTAGTGAGGGCTGGATTGAAGGAAAGCCTTGGAAAAGGCTATGTGATGAATGGTGAAGACACTTAATGGGCAGGCAGTCATCAGTGTTAATTCAAAGGCTGGAAGAAGGGCTGACCTGGAGGACTGGAAATGTCTTTGAGCTGAAGGTCATGTGCAGGTGGAACGAAGAGGGTGAGCCTTTTGGGGTGAACTGCAAGTATTTGATAATATCCCTGTCTCCATGGTTGGGGAAGTCTTGATAAGCATCCTTAATGTGAAGGAGGGATTAAGGAACACCTGGTTCTACCTGCCCAGCATGGCAGTAACATGACACAGCCAAGTTATTGATTATTGGTTGCCCAGCTGTCATCAGCTCAACATCTTCTGTTAGTTTTAGCTGCAATTTCCGTTAGTTATCAATGCCAGTTTTGACTTTCCTAGTCAATAAAGTGTTCTGAGAGTGGTGACTAAGGCTGAGCACTACCCATAATCATGAGTATTACAGAGGCAAGCCCCCTTGCCCACCTACCTGCAGGTGATGAGACACCCTAGGGAAATAACTCAATTCTTTGGAGGACCCCGAATAAATGCCCAAGTCTATCTGTTCATCTGTCCATCCATCCATCCACCCTTCCTTCCTTCCATCCGTCCATCCATCCATCCATCCACACATGCATACATCCAACCACCCACCCATCTATCTACCCACCCACCAATCTATCCATCCAACCCAGTCTCTTATACACCCAGCTATCATCCACCTACCCATCCACCACCACCCTCTATCCATCCACTCACCCATGCATCTATCCACCCGTTTACTCATCTAACCATCTATCCACCCACCCATCCATCCATTTATCCCTCCAACCCCTCACCCACTCATCCATTTCTCCACCCACTCAGCCATCCCTTCACTGACTCAACCATCCATTCATTCGTCCACCTGCCCGCCCACCCATTATCCACCCATCCACCTATGTATCCATCCATCTGTTGTCCTTCTGTTCATTTATTCCACAAAGACTCGTTAACCACCTGCTAGATTCTGGGGAGGTACCTGCTCTAGTAATTGAGAACATGATCTCTGGAATAAGATTCCCTGGGCTCAAACTGAGCTGCCTCCTAGCTAGCTGCTTGGGTAAGTTATAGAAACTGTGCTTTGACTTTCTTATCTGAAAATTGGCTATTAATAGCTTCTACTCTTGCAGATATAGTGAGGATTAAATAAGATGTCACATTAAAAGTGCATCATCGGCACTCAATAGAGATTAGGTTTTACCATTCATTATTATTCTTGGCAGATGCTGCAGATAACGTGGAGAGCATATGAAAGGCACATGTTTGAACCAATAGTGACATACAGACGCTAAGTTCTGCATTAGGGGAAGGTCAGACAGCCATGGAGAGGGCCTGGCCCAATCCTGGAGCCTCAGAAAAATGTTCCCCGTTGAATTCCTGTTTTAGCTGAGACTTGTGGGATGGGTAGTAGTTGGAGATCCCAGACAGGATGTGACCGAGTTAGCCAGGGAAAAATTGGGTCCTGGCACCCATGGCAGAATTGATTGATCAGTTCTTCTGTCTCCTCTGTTTGGAAGTCCACTAGGTCTGGGAATGTCAAGTTGGGGGAGGGCGCTGACAATGATCATGACCTTCACCTGTCCTCACATGTCCTCTGTGTATCTGCAAAGCCTCTGCCTCAGTCTCCTCTTTTGGAAAGTGGGATTGGAAACCACATCTGCTTCTCTCCCAGGACTGCTAGGAAGACAAGATTAGATGGCAGGTGAGAGCTCCTTGAAAACAAAAACATTCTACTATTTGAATGCAAAGTGTTCTTCTTTGCCTGTGATGTTTCCTAATCTGTGAAATCATACTGGACCTCGAAGCTGTCTATTAAAAAAATAGCAAAGTGGCTGGGCATGGTGGCTCATGACTATAGTAGTTCTAGCACTTTGAGAGGCTGAGCGGGGTGGATCATTTGAGGCCAGGAGTTCGATACCAGCCTGGCCAATATGCGAAACCCCATCTCTACTAAAAATACAAAAATTAGCCAGGTGTGGTGGCATCTGTCTGTAGTCCCAGCTATTCGGGAGGCTGAGGCACAAGAATCATTCGAGCTCAGGAGGCAGAGGTTGCAGTGAGCCAAAATTGCACCACTGCACTCCATCCTGGGCAACAGAGTGAGGCTCTGTCTGAAAAAAGAAAAAAAAAAAGCAAAGTTAACACTTCCTCCATCTCTCCCCTGGGGGAGGCAATTTGTCAAAGATTGTTGTTGGATTTTACACACAGGGAAATCTAAGGAAAGTGTGGAAATCAGACCGGGACTCCAGACTCTGGTCTCCCTGTTTGCAGAGTCTTAAAATGGGGAGCCACTTTGGGTTCTTTCTACAAGATTGCTTTTTTAAAAACAAACAAACAAACAAAAAAAAACTCAAAAAAAAAAAAAAGCCCTGACCTAAATATTCACAAGGGACCTTAGGCAATATCTGCAAACAAAAGTGAGTGAGGAGTGGAATCTGTCTTTACAACTAAGACAGCTCCAGAGTTAAAGCAAGTGGAAATATCTCTAGAGACAGAGACTTGGGCGGGTTTTGTTTTGTCACTTACAAGCTATGAGAACCTGGGCAGGTTTACCTCTCTGAGCTTCTGTGACCTTGTAAAATAGGCTGCATTGCGCTAAACTTGCAGGAGGAATCCCAGCATCCTCCTGTGCACAAGGCTGGTTTCTTCCCATCCTTTTCCTTGTTCTGCCTCTCTCCTCCTCTCCAAGAGACGAATACATTTGGAGCCAGTAGGGGCCTATGTTTGCAAAAGCTCGCAGGTGATTCTCATGCAGCCAGCCTGGCTCTGGCACTGAGTTCTTGGACATTTCTGGAGGCGCATTTACTAGTGAGGAAGGTCTCTCTGTGCTGAAGGCATGATTCATCTCCCATTCCTTTCTTCCATGAAGGAAGGCGCATGGGTCGACTGAGCTGGGAGAGTCCACGATGTCAGCCTCCCCCACGCTTCCCTCCCTCCTTATTCCTTGTGTGTTGTACTTTGTCTCGATTTCCTGTACTCTGCACCAAGCCAGGAGATGATAAGATCTCAAAAAAATCGTTTTTTGGGAAATGGGATCAAGAGGGTTTTTGTTTGCTTGTTTGTTTGAGACAGGGTCTGTCGCCCAGGCTGAAGTGCAGTGGCGTGACCTTGGCTCACTGCAGCCTTGACCTTCTGGGCTCAGGTGATCCTCCCACCTCAGCCTCCTGAGTAGCTGGGACTGCAGATGCACACCACCATGCCTGACTAATTTGTCTATTTTTTGTAGAGATGAGGTTTCACCATGTTGCCTAGGCTGGTCTCAAACTGCTGGGCTCAAGCAGTCCTCCATCCACCTCGACCTCCCAAAGTGCTGAGATTACAGGCATGAGCTGCTGTGCCTGGCCAAGGTTTTTTTTTTATTATTATTACAAAAACTTTTCAATAAACATAAAAGTAGAGACACCAGTTTAATGAGCTATCATATACCCATCACATAGATTTAAAAACTATTAACATTTGCAATATTTACTTCATTTGTTTTTCTGAAGTATTTACAAAATAGTTGACAGTAGTTATGTAATTGCATCCTGATATTCATCCCTACGTAATTTACTTTCCCTCTAAAAACATGAGGGCACTTTTTATATGATCATTGTCATACCTAATCAAATTACCAGTAATTCCTTAATATCCTCTAAGATCAAGTTTACATTCAGATGTCTTGTCCTCAAAATGTCATTTGTGATTATTTTTTTCTTTGACCAAAGATAGTAAGATCTCAAGATTTAATGACAGAGATGCCATGTTAGCCCTGATGTCTAAGCTCTGTGGTCCATTGTGGCTTTACTTGAAAGTCTGAGGCTAGGCGTGGTGGCTCACATCTGTAATCCCAGCACTTTGGGAGGCCAAGGTAGGCGGATCATGAGGTCAAGAGATCAAGACCATCCTGACCAACATGGTGAAACCCTGTCTCTATTAAAAATACGAAAATTAGTCAGGTGTGGTGGCGGGTGCCTATAGTCCCAGCTATTCGGGAGGCTGAGGCAGGAGAATCACTTGAACCCGGGAGACAGAAGTTGCAGTGAGCTGAGATTGCACCACTGGACGCCAGCCTGGGTGGCAAGAACAAGACTCTGGAAAAAAAAAAAGTCTCTCACTGTGGTCTCATAATAAAAGGACACTCCATTTCCCATCTGGTCCCTGCTCCTTAATGTTAGCCCCCTCCTGTGGGGAGGAAGGGGTGACTTTCAGCGCGGGTTCAAATATTCCCAGGGCTGGCTCTGATCCCAATAAAGCCCATCGTCATGAATGAATGCTTCCCTTGCAGGATATTCTAAGTATTGTAAATAGTGCACGTGGAGTGTCCTCATGATGCCTGGGATTGTAGTGAATATTTATAGGTTTCTTTTAGTGCCTTTTTTTTTTAAGTGTTTTCTATAGTTCCATGTTTCTACAACCCTTAGGAACATCAGAATCATGTGTGTGTGGGTGCTTATTAAATAAAAGAGTTCCTGGAGCTCACTCCCAGTGACTGCCAGTCTGATGATTAGGGGCTTAGCTAGGACCTAGGTTTGCAAAAGCTCCCAGCTGATCTCATGCAGCCAGCCTGGCTCTGGCTCTGGCGCTGGGAGCTGGGTTGGGAACTAGTCTTTGGTGCTATTCTGCTGATACTTCAAGTTGGGCTCTTTGACTCCGTCTTGTATTGTCATCACTTGTATTCAGGTCTGTTCTTCCCCTGGATTGTAAACTCCTTGATGTCTGGGTCATCTCAGCTCATGAGCTGAGCTTTCAGTGGGTGCTCAGTGGAACAGGTGCTGAATGGAGTCCGGCTCTAGGGAGGCCAGGGTGTGTTGGTAAGTGAGAGACTAAAATCCTTTTAAAAAGAATCTTTTTGCCCTTCAGTTGTGTTTGCCATGAGTTAATGTGATTTACTCTAGTGGAAGCCAGTGCAGCTTAAGTGGAGGTCTTGCCCTGAAATGGAGCCAGGTTATGGATCAGCAGAGCTGCCAAAAGCGTTTTGGGGGAAATGTTTCTGTGTCACCCTCAGTTGATTGAACTCAAGTTTTCACTCCCGTTTAACACCATGTGGGGGCCATTCTGACTTCTGCGGAGTGGGTATGATCAGATCTTCTGTAAAAGTGTAAGTGAGGGGGCTGGGCACGGTGGCTCACACCTGTAATCTTAGCACTTGGGAGGCTGAGGTAGGTGGATCACTTGAGGCCAAGAGTTTGAGACAAGCCTGGACGACATGATGAAACCTCATCTCTACTAAAAATACAAAAATTAGCCAGGCGTGATGGTGCATGCCTGTAATGCCAGCTACTCAGGAGCCCGAGGCAGGAGAATCACTTGAACCTGGGAGGTGGAAGTTGCAGTGAGCTGAGGTTGCACCACTGCACAGTATTCCAGCCTGGGTGACAGAGCGAGACTGTCTCAAAAAAAAAATAAAAAAAAAAGTGTATGTGAGGAAACTGGAATTGAGCTTGGGGATGTTGGGGGATGGAGGTACTTCATTTACTGAACAACAAAAACCATAGGATACCAATCCTGGAGGAAGAAGCATCATCCTCAGATTCTACTAACTCAACCACGCATGAGATGGGGACTTGGTGTCTGAGAGAAAAGCTACTTTTTAGGTCTTCAACCTTGATCAAACCATTTCTGAATTCCTCATACATATATAATCAGGTGCTATGAGTGGTACTGATTGGATAATCTTTCTGTCTTTTCCTGTGCTAGGAAGGAAAATACATGTACAGCCAACTTCCTTGAGGGTTCGTTCTTTTGCATCAGGGTGTCTCAAACTGATGCCCTTAAAACACCTGTAAGAGAATCATCCAGGCGGCTTGCTTGCTCTGCATGCAGGCCCTTTAGAATCAGACTCAGAATCCCTGGGGCTGGAGCCACAAAATGAAATGACATTTCAACGAGTTTGTCATCATGTGAGAGAGAATAGGTGAGTATTTGGATACCTATAATACAAAGTAGATTCAAAAAGAATGACTTGATTATTTTAAATGTTGTGTTTTAAAAAATTTAATACAGAAAAGGCTGGGCACAGTGACCCATGCCTGTAATCTTAGCACTTTGGGAGGCCAAGGCGGGTGGATCATTTGAGGTCAGGAGTTCAAGACCAGCCTGGCCAACAAGGTGAAACCCCATCTCTACTAAAAACATAAAAATTAGCCAGGCAGTAGTGGTGCGTGCCTGTAATCCTAGCTGCGGGGGAGGCTGAGGCAGGAGAATTGCTTAAGCCTGGGAGGCAGAGATTTGGTGAGCTGAGATCGTACCACTGCGCTCCAATGTGGGTGACGATTGTTTAACCACCACCAAAATGGGTTCTGAGTCCAACTATTAATATGAAGATGACATCCATTGTGGTCTTGTACATTTTGTTGCCTTTCCGGGGTGAAGGACATTGGTGACCATTTGTTTCCTCTGGAACGGTCGATTGGTCATGAACTTCCTGGTCCAGGTAGTCACTGTGTCATTCATGTTGGTGGTTGATCCTCAGGTAGTTAGGGAGGAAAATAAACAAGAAGTTATATATTTAAAATCACGTTTCAATTTTAGACCTGATTAATTGACTTAATAAAGGGCATTAGCAATTCTACTTCCTACAGTCCCTCTCTTTACCTCTGGAAACTAGTTATTTCTAGGTTGTTTTATGTTGTTAAGGTTGACCACCTTCTCTTTCTGTTCTGCAATCATAGTCCTATCACTAGCCTTTTGTCATGGTCATTCAATTCACAAGTTGCTTATTTTTTAATTTCTTGGCTGACTAAATTTTATTATGAAGACTTTTTTTTTTAAAGAGCTCAGAAATACTGTATTCTTTAAGTTCTTCAGCATGTGTCTTTTGCCTATTTTGATTGGGCAATAATTTAGCTGGCTATAAAATTCTTGGATTATACTCTATTTCCCTTAGAAATTATAGGCACCCATCCACTGACATTTCATTGTGCTTTATTTTATTTTATTTTATTTTTTGAGATGGAGTCTTGCTCTGTCACCCAGGCTTGAGTGCTGTGGTGCAATCTCGGCTCACTGCAAGCTCTGCCTCCCGGGTTCACACCATTCTCCTTCCTCAGCCTCCCGAGTAGCTGGGACTACAGGCGCCCACCTCCACGCCTGGCTAACTTTTTTGTATTTTTAGTAGAGACGGGGTTTCACCGTGTTAGCCAGGATGGTCTCGATCTGCTGATCTCGTGATCCACCGGCCTTGGGCTCCCAAAGTGCTGGGATTACAGGTGTGAGCCACTGTATGAGCCCAGCCCCATTGTGCTTTGTACTAACCCCCTTTCCCTGGCCTCTTCCAGCTTGTCTTCTTCTCTCCCAGTAGTTTCTTCATGAAGAGGCCATGTGCTATATTCCATGAGATATTTCACACTCAAAGAAGACTTCTTTTATACTCTTGTGATAATTTGTCTGGGAATCACTGTCTTGATTTGTAAGGGAGTTTGTAATAAATACAATAAAAGAGAAACACAATATATTTTGAGACATCAGAGAAGGGAGAAACCAATTCTATTAATATTTGGGGTTAGCAGGGAAGGCTTAGTTAAGAGGTAACATTTGAACTAAGCCTTGAAATAAGGGAAAGATTTGGCCATGCAGAAATGGCGAGAGAGTAGAAGCAAGACATGATGGTTAGTGTTATGTATCAATTTGACTGGGTTGTGGGGTGCCCAGATATTTGGCTACACATTATTCTGGGTGTGTCTCTGAGGTATTCTGGATGAGTATAACATTTAATTGGTAGACTGAATAAAGCAGATTGTCCTCCCCAGTGTGGGTGAGCCTCATCCAATCCATTGAAGGCCTGAACAAAACAAAAAGGTAGAATCACAGAGAATTTGCTCTTTTTACCTGATTATATTTGAGCTGGGACATCAATCTTCTCCTGACTTTACATGTGGACTCGAGTTGGAACTATATCATTGGCTGTCCTGGGTCTCCAGCTTGCTGGCTGCAGACTCCAGGACTCCTTAGCTTCCATAACCAGGTGAGCCATCCCTTACAACAAATCAATCTGTCTCTCTCTATGTGTATATCTCTACCTCTATCTCTCTGCTCTTTCTCTGGAGAACCTAGAATAATACACAAGGTTATATTAGAGAAGAGGATGACCCAAGGAAAAGCATGGAGGCAGAAAAGTGCAAAGAGGGTTTGGGAAGACTGGGGTCCTGATGGGGAGTTTGGATTTCTCTGTGTGTAGCATGGAGAATCCTTGAAAATATTCAAGAGGTGAAAATTGTATTTGTGGAAGAACACCAGGAGTATGTGAAAAGAAAAACACTCACTCCATTTTAACTCCACTGAAGGGGGCATCAACGGGATGCACTGGGGACATGGGTTGGAGGGTAGTTGAGGCCATATCTGGAGGATCTTTACTTCTAAGCTGAGTCTGAAGTTATCTTTCTGGGGAGTGGGAAATTACAAATCTTTGAGCTCCACTCAAGAGATGGTTTTGCTAACAATGGCAGGACGACGGTGGTGGTGGTGGTGGGAAACTGGTAGCATGAATTCTAATTGGGTTTCTGTTATTCTAGCCGAGAAAATTGGGGAATGGACTTTCAGTAGAATAATACAGATCTGGGAATCAACTGCATGGAGGAGGTAGTTATAGGTGATGAGATGTCTCAGGGACAAAGTTTGGTAGAAGGAGAAAAGATACTAGGCTGCTACAAAAATAATTGCTGTTTTTGCCATTATTTTTAATGGCAAAATCCGCAATTACTTTTGCACCAACCTAATAGGATGCAAACTTCGGAGCCATCTGCATCAGAGGGATTGATGAAGATCAACAAAGTTTGGGAACACAGGAAAGGAGCGGGGAGGGTAATGACTTGAGGGCATAGCAGGGATAATCAAGGTTTTTCTTGTTAGCATGTGGAGACTTAAGCATGATTATATGTTAATCGCCTGGCACATACACGGTGCAAAATATTTATGAGTGAAATGACAAGTGAAGGTGGTGAGTCATGGGAGTTCCAAGGGAACGGGTGATAAAGGCAGGTCTCAAATGAGGCACAAGTGGAGAAGGTAGCTTGGGAAAGGAGAAGGATGCTTCTCCTTATAACATGGGAAAGGCAGAGGAAGAGGATCAAGATACAGTGATCTAGGGGTGAGATGGAAGTGAGTTGAGAGAACTCAACTCTGGGCTCTGAAACCCCTAGGGCTGGGTTTGGGGGGCTTTGAGATATGGAAGAGGTTTACAGTCAATTGTTATAGCAAATATGGTTTGGAATTTATTTGTGATGCTTAAAAATATTGCTGAACAGAAGTGAAGTCTGCCCTAGAGTTGGATGGTGAGATTATTTAGTGGAACTACCAGATCCCTGTTGTGATTCTTTCCAGTATCATTCAGCAGCCCTTGGGCAGTTGCGAGGCAAGTCGTCAATGGGGTATGGAGATTTTCCAGGTGGGTGTGGTTGAAGGAAGGGAAGAAAGAGTTTAGGAGCACATTACAAGAAGAAGGTGACTGTAAGGTCCAGGCTGAGCAGGAAGGTAAAGCAAGAAGGAAACATGAGGTTGTGAAGAGAAGTTTAGAGGGATGAGGAGGCAGGAGAGGTGAACAGTTGCAGGATGTAGCTAGAGTGGCGATGTTAGATCTTGGGGCCAGAGAGCTTTACAATGATTATGAAGATCAAAGGGCATTAGAATCAAGCTATAAAGAGCCACTGTTTGATGTTGGGATGTGAGGATGCTGCAGGTGGATGTCTGCACATTGATGGTGAGAACATGGTCACCCTGGCCCTGCTGGGTCTTTGCTAAAGAGACTGTGCTCTGTTCTTGGGGCCGTTTTCATCACCTGATTACAGCAGTGGTCCCCAAATGGTGTTCTTTGGACCATCTGTATAAAATGTTCATAGGTCAAGGATAAAATGGAAAAACAGAGAAAATGTCACAGAAATGTGCCCATTGTTGAGAGACCACCAGCTGTCCTTTTTGGAGGATTGTTCTTTATTCTAAAAATGTATATATTCTATTCTATTAAAACATTTTTGTATTGGCATTTTTTTCTCTTTTATGAAATGCCATGGGGTAGAAATTTGTAATGTATCCAATTCTCCTGTCTTCATGTATTGCCCTGTGGTGGGGGAGGGGATGTGGCTAGTACTGGCCAAGAGGCTGGGGGCAGAGGTGCAATGTTAGACTTCTAGCCTGGAGCATTTAATTCTTAGTACAAGACTCTCTAACATTCTTCTCCCTCTGTTCCCTGCTTGGTGATACTCGAGGTATTGCAACCCCCATTAACCTTAGTCTTAGGGCAAGTTTGATGGGAAACAGAGCACCCCACACCTCCCTGCAGATGAAGCATGAGTGAGAAAAACAACTTCTGATGTTTGAAGTTACCAAGATTTGGGAGTTGTTTGTTATTGCAGCAAAACCTCACCTATTCTGACCAATCATGGTGGAATTTCTCTGTGTGTGTGTGTGTGTGTGTGTGTGTGTGTGTGTGTGTGTGTGTAACTGGTAGTTTAAAAAAGTTCCTTCTTACCCAAAAGAAAAAAAAGATAGCAACCTTATGTTGGTTCTCAAATTAAAAAAATATTTTTACTCGTTCATAAAATAGAAAAATCTGAGAATCTGTAGCTTAGAGAACTACAGTGTGGGATGTCTATAAAGACCAGGTTATTTTATCAGCTCCTAACACCCCTTAATAGAAGCTTAGCCAAGACTTGCACTATTTCAGTCTTTCCCATTCCACATTCCATGGACTCTTGAAGAGACATTGATGAAACGGTGCAGCCATGAACCACCCTCACTCAATCCTAGTGGCAGAATCCCCCTTTTACTGCAGAATGAGCTTCTTGCTACAGTGATACTTGAACCCCTTAGATATATCCTGTACTAATTATATTAAAACACGACCAATGCTTTTGCTTTGTTGTCCCCCAAATTAAACACCTTAATCATGAGAACCCAGAGAATTGGATTTAGTGTAACTGTTTCCAAACTGTCAGTAAGAACATAATTTATATTTTTCTCCAATTCAATTAAAAGAAAATTGACAATAAAAAGCTGATCAATACGTGTAGCTCAGGAGGTAGAGCCTGCTTTGAGATGCAGAAGTGTTTTTTTTTTTTTAGATCTATATTCTTGAGTAAAGAAAAAATCCATCTTTCTTTCCTAGAGGGGAAGAGTTTCAGAGCTGGGCTTGGCAACAGCCTGACTATCAGAGGCTGAATTAAACAAATAGATACCTCCCTGGAGTGAATGGTGCGTTTCTCCTGTTTGGGGAACCGTGCTTTTATGGGGCAGTTTGCGTTCTGTCTTGGTCTCCGGATGTGTGTATCTGTGGGTGGATGTCTGCATGTAAATGGAAGTGTATACCTGTGTGGGTGTGTACAAAATTCCCATGTGAATCTCAGCTTTGTGGGGATCTCCAGTTCTTGAGCCCAGTAGATGCCATTTGAAGAAAAAATCACTTGAAAATGAGACAGAAAGAATAGAAACTAAATCCTAGCTCTAAAGGCACCAGGCTGATTAAAAAAAAAAAAAACTCAGGTTCTTCTTTGTTTTGGACTCTACCTACCTCTAAATGACATTTCTGTTTCCTATGAGATGATTAGAATGAAAAAGATCCTGAGCCCGAAAGAGCAGATACTGTGTGATAGTGTGTATATCAGGGTGTCAGCTGTGACACTGCTGACATTTTAGCTCAGCAATTTCTCTGTTCTATGTGTGGGGGTTCCCTGTGCATTTCAGGATGTTGAGCGGCATCCCTGGATCCCTGGACTCACTGGATGCAGTAACACAACTCCCCCCAAGTAGACACAACCCTCAGTGTCTCCAGATATTCCCTAATGTCCCCAGGGGGCAAAATAGCCCCATCTGAGAACTGCTGCTTTCATAAAGTACAATGTCAGGTGAAATAGGTGGAGGCTGTTTGTAGTCAGGGGTTAGTAGAGATGGAAGAGACCCCAGGAATATCCTGGAAGGGGCTGTAATATTTTGTTTCTTGAATTGGGTGTCAGTAATATGGAGATGTTCAGTTTTTTGTTGTTGTTGTTGTTGATTTTGAGGCAGGATCTTGCTCTGTCACCTAGGCTGGAGCACAGTGGCACCGTCATGGCTCACTGCAGCCTCTGCCTCCTGGGCTCCAGCAGTCCTCCCACCTCAGCCCTCCCTAGTAGCTGGGACTACAGGCAGGTGCCACCACTGTTGCCTAATTTTTTATTTATTTATTTTTTGTAGAGAGGAGTGTCTCACTATGCTGCCCAGGCTGGTCTCAAGCTCCTGGGCTCAAGCAATCTGCTCACCTCGGCCTCCCAAAGTGCTGGGATGGCAGGCATGAGCCACTGCTTCTGGCCAGTATGTTCAGTTTGTAAGAAAAGTACTGTGTTGACCTCTTCTATGTGCACATTTCTTTAAGTAATAATTCAATAAAGCATTTAGAAAAATTGGTCATAATAGGAGTAATTTGTAGAGTGATTGGCATGAAAGCTGATCACCTTAATTTGAACTACTCTGAAATGAGCACCAGGGGCCACCAAGAGGACCATTTCAAGGTGTCATAGCCAAGGAGAGGAGTGTGTTGTGTACATCTCTGCATAAAGGATTTGCTGGTTACATGGAAGGATGAAGCCTCCTTCTGAGGACAGAGGCAGCAAAGCAAGTGGAAGCCCAAAGCATTGAGCTTTCCAAATGGACTTTGCTAAAATCTTGTGGATGGCTCATGCTCTTAACATACACCCATGTACATATTGTCCATATAAACATTAATTCTGTAACAAGGCCCACACTTAAGGGTTTTTTTTTTTTCTTTTGTGACAGTCTTGCTTTATTGCCTAGGCTAGAGTACAGTGGCATAATCGTGACTCACTGCAACCTCCGCCTCCTGGGTTCAAGCAATGCTTGTGCCTCAGCCACCTGAGTAGCTGGGACTACAGGTGCAGAACACCATGCCTGGGTAATTTTTGTATTTTTAGTAGAGACGGGGTTTCACCATGTTGGCCAGGCTGGTCTCAAACTCCTGGCCTCAAGTGATCTGCGCACCTCAGCCTCCTAAAGTGTTGGGATTACAGGTGTGAGCCACTGCACCTGGGCCCATACATAAGGTTTGAGTTGAGATAGAGAAACTCTGGCAGGACTGAGGAATTGGGCCACAGTCTCTGGGAAATATGCACAATTTCTGGAATCTTCTCTACTTCCAGAATTCCCACTTTCTGTCTCCTGTTTATTCAACAAACTTGTATGGAACCACAGTGTGTCTAGAACTTGCCAGGTGTGGAGGATAAAAAGATGACTGAGACCGGACATGGTGGCTCATGCCTGTAATCCCAGCACTTTGGGAGGCCAAAGCAGGCGCATCACTTGAGGGCAGGAGTTTGAGCACAGCCTGGCCAACATGATGAAACGTCTTTACTAAAAATACAAAAATTAGCCAGGCATGGTGGCATGCACATGTAGTCCCATATACTTGGGAAGCTGAGACAGGAGAATCGCTTGAACCCAGGAGGCAGATGTTTCAGTGAGCTGAGATCACACCGCTGCATTCCAGCCTGGGAGACAGAGCAAGATTCCATGGCAAAAAAAAAGATGACTGAAATACAGACTCCCTCAGAGTTGACTCTAACACAAGCTAGGTAAGAGCCCAAGGTCTGGCTGGGCAGACACCTTGATCGGCCTCATCCTGCAGCGTCTACTAGAATGAAGAACACTTTTTTCTTTACCCATGAAAATGTTTTGTGCTTCATACCCACAAGTGCAATTTGTGTTAATTCTGCAAAATTTGCCGCATAACTCTGCCTGTATTCTTAGCATTTTTCCTTTGAGAGATTTCTCAGCACATCATCTTTGGACTATGTGGAATTGGAAATTTACTTAGAGTCAACAACAAGTACAGGAAAGTCAGTTCTTAGTCAAGAGTTAGGTTTTCAAAGACAGTGGATAAAATAAAAAATTAACATTTGATGTACAGTTAAGATTATACGTGCAAATCCCCTCATCATTCATAAAGTTTAGCAGTCAGTCTTACCGTGGCTCACCAGGTCCAATCCATACTTCTTCCTCCACGATTGGAGCAGAGGGTGATTTTTTTTCTGAGCAACTGATGAAGTCATTTAGAGACCATTTGCAGTAGAAACCATGTGTACTAGAGACCAATCAATGTGCCCTCATGGCAGCATTTCTGCCTCTCTCCGTCTTTGTTCTTGCCAAGTACCCACAGTTCATTTTCCATAGATTGAAAGAGCCCAAGTTGGGCTTATATCTAGGAGTACAATTGCTAGGTCATTTGGTAACTCTATGTAGAATTGTTTGGGAAGTTGTTAAACTGTTTCTCACAGTGGCTACACCATTTTAATTCCTACCAGCTGTGTATGAAGGTTCTAGTTTCTCTGCATCCTCACCAAAACTTGTTATTTTCTGTTTTTTTTTTTTTTTTTTTTTTTTTTTGAGACAAAGTCTTGCTCTGTCGCCCAGGCTGGAGTGCAGTGGCACAATCTCAGCTCACTGCAACCTCTGCCTCCAGATTCAAGTTACTCTCCTGCCTCAGCCTCCCGAGTAGCTGGGATTATAGGAACCTGCCACCATGCCTGGCTAATTTTTGTATTTTTTTAGTACAGACAGGGTTTCACCATGTTGTCCAGGCTGGTCTCACACTCCTGGCCTCAGGTGATCCACCTGCCTCGGTCTCCCAAAGTGCTGGGATTACAGGCATGAGCCACCACACCAGGCCAATTTTCTCTATCTTCGATTCTAGCCATGCTTATGGGTATGAAGTGGTATCTAATTGTGGTTTTGATTTCTGTTTCCCTGATGATGAATTTCATTGAGCATCTTTTCATGTGCTTATTGACCACTTGTATGTCTTCCTTGGAGATGCGCAGTATTTTCATATTCAAAAATGAAAGCACAGGTCCACACAAAATTTTGTACATGAATAATTGCAGTAGCATCACTCCTAATAACCCAAAGAGAGAATTAATCCAAATGCCCGTCACCAGATGAAGAGATACACCTATTGTTGTCTACCCACATGGTGGAATATTATTTGATCACAAAAAGGAGGATAGTACATACGCTACAGCGTGGATGAATCTTCAAAACAGATGAAAGATCACATTCTACATGATTTCATTCAGATGGAAATCTACAGAAATAGGAAGTCGATTAGTGGTTGCTTAGGGGTGGTAGGGGCATGGGAGGATGGGGGTGTTAGCTAAAGGGTATGAGGTTTCTTTTTGAGGTCATGAAATGTTCTAAAATTGACTGGTAATGTTTGTGTATATCTCTGAATATATTGAAAACCATTGAAATGTAAAAAATGCAAAGAAAAAACAGCCCAAGTTGCAATTTTATTCAACGCTTGATTGGCTTTAAAAATAGATTCCAGGCTGGGCATGGTGGCTCACACCTGAAATCCCAGTGCTTTGGGAGGCTGTGGTGGGAGGATTGCTTGAAGCCAGGAGTTCCAGGCCAGCCTTGGCAACATGGCAAGACCCTGTCTGTACAAAAAAAGAAAAAATAAATAACAGCTGGGTGCAGTGGTCCACACTTGTAATCCCAGCACTTTGGGAGGCAGAGGCGGGCAGATCACCTGACATCAGGAGTTCAAGAGCAGCTTGGCCAACATCCTGAAATCCCGTCTCTACCAAAAATATAAAATTTAGCCTTTTGGTACTCCAAGCAGCACCATGGCGGTTGTTAAGAACAAGTGCCTTATGAAAGGTGGCAAAAAGGGAGTTAAGAAGAAAGTAGTTGGTCCATTCTCTAAGAAAGATCAGTATGATGTGAAAGCACCTGCTATGTTCAATATAAGAAATACTGGAAAGACTTGGTCGCCAGGACCCAAGGAACCCAAATTGCATCTGATGGTCTCAAGGGTCTTCTGTTTGAAGTGAGTCTTGCTGATTTGCAGAATGATGAAGTTGCATTTAGAAAATTCAAGCTGATTACTGAAGATGTTCAGGACAAAAACTGCCTGACTAATTTCTATGGCATGGGTCTTACCTGTGACAAAATATGTTCCATGGTTGAAAAATGTTCAACGATGGTTGAAGCTCATGTTGATGTCAGGACTACCGATGGTTACTTCTTTCATCTGTTTTGTGTTGGTTTTACTAAAAAACACAACAATCAGATACTGAAGACCTCTTATGCTTAGCACCAACAGTCTGCCAAATCCAGAAGAAGATGATGGAAATCATGACCTGAGAGGTGCAGACAAATGACTTGAAAGAAGTGGTCAATAAATTGATTCCAGACAACATTGGAAAAGATACAGAAAAGGTTTGCCAATTTATCCTCTCCATGATGTCTTCATTAGAAAAGTAAAAATGCTGGAGAACCCTGGGTTTGAAAGGCATGGAGCTTCGTGGTGGAGGTAGTAGTTCTGGAAAACCCACTAGGGACGAGACACATGCTAAAGTTGAATGAGCTGATGGATAGGAACCACCAGTCCAAGAATCTGTTTAAAGTTCAGACTTAAAACAGTACCAAATAAAAAGTCCTATTTGTGAAAAACAAACAAGAAACAACAATGAAAGAGCAAAATTACGCTGATGTGGTGGTGTATGCCTGTAATCCTAGCTACTCAGGAGGCTGAGGCATGAGAATCACTTGAACCCGGGAGACAGAGGTTGCAGTGAGCCAAGATTGCACCATTGCGCTCCAGCCTGGGCAACAGAGTGAGACTCTCTCCAAAAGGAAGAAAAAAAAAAAAAGTATCCGGGCTTGGTGGCATGCGCCTGTAGTCTCAGCTACTCTGAAGGCTGAGACGGGAGGATGGATTGAGACCAGGGGTAATTTGAAGCTGCAGTGAACTATGATTGTGACAGTGCACTCCAGCCTGGACTGCAGAGCAGGACCCTGTCTCTTGTACATACACACACACACACACACACACACACACACACATACACATACACACATACATACATACCCAGGTTCTACCTCTGGTGATTCTGACTCAGTAGGGTGGGGTATCCCCTAGGGATCCTGCTGTCCAGCCTGGTCTGGGATCCACTTTTCATTGGGAACTGAGACACTGGCTGTGAGCCTTTCTGTCCTGAGATGTAGAGGTCATGGCGATGCAGGTTCAAGCTTAAGGAGACCTGACTGTGCGTTAGGTATTGTGCTGAACATCATCTCTTACTCTCACAGCAACATCCTTAGAAGGTTAATGATGTATCCGTGCTCTACAGATGAGGAACTGAGCTTTCAGAGGAGTTTAGCTTGTTTAAAACTATTCTTCCTATTGGAAACTTTGTACCCTTTGACCAGTGTCTCCTATCCCCTCCCTTTCCTTCACCCCAGCCCCTGATAACCACTGTCCTACTCTCTATTTCTGTGAGTTCAACTTCTTTAGATTCCACATACAATAAAATCATGCAGTATCTGTCTTTCTGTGCCTGGCTTATTTCACTTAACACAATGTCTTTCAAGTTCATCTATGTTGTTGAAAATGACAGGATTTCTTTCTTTTTTAAGGGTTAATAGTATTCCTTTGTGTGTATATAGTACATTTGCTTTATCCTTTCATCCACTGATGGACACTTAGGTTGATTCTATATCTTGGGTATTGTGAATAGAGCTGCAGTGAACATAGGAATTTAGGGATCCCTTCGACATATTGATTTTGATTTTTTTTTGGTCTATATCCAGAAGTTGGGTTGCTGGATTATATGTTTTGAAATCTATAGCACAGCAGCGTGACTATAGTCAATAATAATGTATCTTTCAAAATAACTAAGTGGGTACATTTCAAATGTCGCATCATGAAAATTGTCAGTAAATTAGGGGATGGACGTGTTCATTAGTTTGATCTAATCATCCCACATTGTATACATATATCAAAACATCCCATACATGGGTACAATTATGATTTGTCAATTAAAATAACGTTAGTTAAAAAAAATAAGTAACTTGTTCAAAGCCCCAGTTGGGATTGATGGAGCTTGGACATGCACCAAGGCTGTTGCTCTGATGCCCACAGAGTCCTTTGTCGACGAATGTTGAAGCCCTACCTGAGATTTCTACTGAGATCAGTGTAGGGATTCAATGTCTCAGAATCATCCCATCCTCCAGGGCCCACAAGTCCATGACAGCTGCCTCTACCCCTGACCCTACTGACCTGAAATTTGGCCCCTGCTTTCATTTCCAGGAGCATACAACACTTACACCAAGCATTGATGGGTTTTGTTGACTTCATTTGAGATGTGGGGCCGTGGAGAGGGTCCCATGATCCTTGCTTGGTGTTGGCCAACTCATTGACTTCTCTCCTTTGACTTCACCCTTCCCTTTTCAACTCACCTCCTCTGTCATGGATTGCTCTGGGAATTCTGAGCCCTGGTTCCTTTATTTTGCAGATAACCTTCACTCTTCTCTGCAACGAATCCCAAAAGTGTGTAGTTGAGCTGACTGCAAGGTGCTTGACACGCAAGAGAATTTACAAATGGGATTCGGCCTCTGGAAAGTGGTGGTAGTTCCAGATTTATGTGGATGTTACTTTGTTTTTCCCTATAAGATCTATTCTTTAAACTATCAAGCTCTTGGCTCCTGGCTGCAGTCGTTTGCTGGTGGCAGTGGGCTGGGTACTGCCACCGGGGAGAAATGCTGTCCACTTAGAGAAAGGGAAACTGGTTCTCTTTAAGAGGCAGAGGGAGGTTTCCAGTGCCAGTTTGTTTGGAGGCAAAATGGCTGTTGTAGTAAAATTGCCCAAACTTGGGCTGGTGCCTTGTGTGTTTAGAGCTCAAAGCCACGATTGTTTTCTTTTTCTTTTCTTTTTTTTTTTTTTTTTGGTGGTTGGTTTTCCATCCTTTTGCTTGGCAGGTTTCTGCTAATAGCTTCAACCTCAAGAGTCCCATTATACAGACACTAATAGCACCTACTATGTGTCAGTCTGTAGTGCCTACTATGTGCCAGGCATTGGAGATAATATAATGATGAACAAGATAAACATGACATTTGGAAAAGAGAGTCTGGTTCCCACTCTCAGCCCACCCCAAAGAGAGGCCAGAATTGGGCTTCCAAAGAAATCAGATGCCCTTGCATCACCTCCCTGAAGAGGACGGGTGAAGCTTTGGTGTCTGCAGAGAATTTGGCTGGACAATCCCCCAGTTTTGGAACGATGGGAAGGAGCTGCCATCTGTGTTTAAGATGAGAAGTGGGGGAGTGGCTGGATATCAGCAGAAGCCAAGATGAAGAGAAGGTTTTTGTGAGTTCCTATGCATAGTGGAGACCTGTTCTAGTGAGGGTCCCTGGGGCTGAGCCTGTGGGTCAGTGGAATGATGCTGTGAGGAGGGTCTTGCTATAGCAGGTGGCCCAAAGAAGGTTGATGGATCATGAGCAGCTGGAAGAATGGAGAGTTCGGGGGATGTAGTTCCTACCTGGCTTTCCAACAGTGTGTAAGCCCAGAATTCTTACATAAGCCCATGGAGAAGGGAAAGGAATACTGGTAACGACAAGATTGAATTCTCCACCTGCCAGGCATCCAGAGACTCAGAGCAGATTTAAGTGAAGTTACAGAAATAGGAATGTGACATTTCCTACATCCGGGTGTGCTGGAGCAAATATATTCCTTCTCTGGTTTGTGGGGAAGGAGAATGCTAACAGACAAGACTCCAGGATTTTGCTCTTAAACCTGGTGCCTACAGATGCATTTTCTACTGGATGCAGACAGAAGCTCCATATAGACATATCCATCGCTGCATCTCTCATGCCTTCTGTTCTCCCTAATTTTCCCTTTTTCACCCACAGAGGAAGAAAGTTCCAGCATCACTTCTGGCCTCTCAAGAGTGAGTTAGGTGGCCAGGTGGGGTTATTCATGCCTGTAATCTCATACTGAAGGGGTGGCCTGCCCCTCCACACCTGTGGGTATTTCTTGTCGGGTGGGATGAGAGACAGAAAAGAAATCAGACACAGAGACAAAGTATAGAGAAACAACAGCGGGCCCAGGGGACCTGCGCTTAGCATGCTAAGGACCTGCACTGGCACAGGTCTCTGAATTCCCTCAGTTTTTATTGATTATTATCTTCATTATTTCAGCAAAAAGGAATGTAGTAGGAGGGCAGGGTGATAATAAGGAGAAGGTCAGCAACAAACGTGAGCAATAGAATCTATGACATAATGAAGTTCAAGGGAAGGTACTATGACTGGACGTGCATGTAAGCCAGATTTATGTTTCTCTCCACCCAGACATCTCAGTGGAGTAAAGGATAACAAGGCAGCATTGCTGTAAACATGTCTCGCCTCCCACCATAGGGCGGTTTTTCTCCCATCTCAGAACTGAACAAATGTACAATCGTGTTTTATACCGAGACATTCAGTTCCCAGGGGCAGTCAGGAGACAGTGGCCTTCCTCCATCTCAACTGCAAGTCTTTCCTCTTTGACTAATCCACCTCAGCACAGATCTTTTATGGGTGTCACGCTGGGGGACCGTCAGGTCTTTCTCATCCCACGAGGCCATATTTCAGACTATCACATGGGGAGAAACTTTGGACAATACCCAGCTTTCAAGGGCAGAGGTCCCTGCGGCTTTCCACAGTGCATTGTGCCCCTGGTTTATTGAGATGAGAGAATGGTGATGACTTTTACCAAGTATACTGCTTGCAAACATTTGGTTAACAAGGCACGTCCTGCACAGCCCTACATGCCTTAAACCTTGATTTCATACAACACATGTTTTTATGAGCTCCAGATTGGGTCAAAGTGGTTGGGGCAAAGTGGCTGGGGCAAAGCTACAGATTAACAACATCTCAGCAAAGCAATTGTTTAAAGTACAGGTCTTTTTCAAAATGGAGTCTCTTATGTCTTCCCTTTCTATGTAGACACAGTAACAGTCTGATCTCTCTTTCTTTTCCCTACATATCCCCATTTTCGTTTTGACAAAACCACCTCCATCATCATGGCCCCTTCTCGCTGGTCGCTGTCTCTCTGGAGCTGCTGGATACACCTGTAGACTAAAAATAGAAAGGACAGACATACAAGGATTAATAAAAAATTTGCAATAGTGGAATTTCCGGTGGTTTGAACCCAAGTGACGGGGCAAGAGGACGGTGTGGGTGCTGCGGCACCAAGGCAGTCTCCCACCTCCTTTGTGTCTTAGTTGCTGTTTCTCATAGTTTTCAGTCTTTCTCCTCACCTGCTCACTCGCACCTTTTATCTCTTTGTCTCCCTTCTTTTACGGTCTCTCTCCCCAGTCTCACTTTCTGTGTCTCTCTCTGATCTCTGTCTCTTTTTCTTTCTCTTCCTCTCCCTGGCTCCCAACATGTGCCGTTTCCTTGGTGGATTGTAACTTCATCTGTTCTTCTGATATCACCATTTTGTTCACCCTGCGAGTCGATGATGCTCGACTGCGGGTTTTCTGTCTCTGCAGAGGCACTTTCATTTGCATCTTGATAGGTTCATTGTAGAACTTCAAATGTCTAGTGGGTATCCAAACAGGAAGCTGATTTTCTCCGGGTGAAACACAAGCACAACCTCTCCCCCATATTATCACCTTACCTATTTCCCATATTTTGTTTTTGTTGTCTTTCCACCAAATCAGTTTTCCCTCACGTGGCCTATTATTTTTACTAGTAAAATGTTCTGCAGAAGTAGTGGTCTGATTTCTATGTATGTCTAGAAAATCTAAAGTATAGAGTGTTAGATTAAGTTGCATCTGGGGAGTGCTATACTCCTTATTGTATTTTTCCTTTTTTTGTTTAACCAATTGAGCTTTGAGTGTTCTAAGCAGGACAGGAAAGATCTGCGTCTGGCACAGTCAGCCAGGTCTCCTTACCCTGTGCTTCCCTTTCTGCCTGTGACTGAATGGGCATGTCAGGGTCTAGTAGGGGATCCAGGAGGAGGAAGCCTCATTAACTTCTATTCTGCAGCAATTGATAGACACCCAACTTGAACAGTGGGGGCTTATCGCCTCATATACTAAGACCAGAGATAGCTGATGCCAAGGTTGGCTAAATTAGTAGCTTGAGATGTTAGATTTTTCATTTGAGGTTTCTATGTTGCTGTTGTCTTCCGCTCTTGGTCACAGAGGCTGCCACAATCCGCATGTCAAGTCCTCATGTGACAATATCCAGACACAGCAAGGAAGAGGTAGAGTGTATTCCTGCATGTTTCTTAAAAAAAAATGTTTTTGATAGAGAATAATTGTACACATTTATGGGGTCCATGTGAGATTCTGGTACATGCATGTAATGTGTAATGATCAAGTCAGGGTCTTTAGGATATTAATCACCTCAAACATTGATCATTTCTTTGTGTTGGGAATATTTCAAATCTTATTGCTATTTAGAAATACACAATAAATCTATTTATCAGGATACAAAATCTATGTACACATATCAGTAGCAGTGCTATACACCAACATCTACCAGGCTGAGAATCAAATCAAACCCTTTTATAATAGCTGTAAAAATAAAATACTTAGGAATATACCTAACCAAGGAGGTGAAAGACCCCTACAAGGAAAACTACAAAACAATGTTGAAAGAAATCATAGATGACACAAACAAATGGAAACACATTCCATGCTCATGGATGGGTAGACTCAATATTGTGAAAATGACCATACTGCCAAAAGCAGTCTCCAAATTCAATGAGTTCCTATCAATGTACCATCATCATTCTTTATAGAACTAGAAAAAAAAAAATGCCAAAATTCATTTGGAACTAAAAAAGAGTCTGCAAAGCCAAAGCAAAACTAAGCAAAAAGAACCAATCTAGAGGCATCACATTACCCAACTTCAAACTATATTACAAAGCTATAGTCACCAAAACAGCATAGTGCTGGTATAAAAATAGGCACATGACCAATGGGACAGAGTAGAGAACCTAGAAATAAAGCCAAATGCTTAACAGCCAACTGATCTTTGACAAAGTAAACAAAAACAAAGTAAGAAAAGTACACCCTATACAACAAATAGTGCTGGGATAATTGGCAAGCCACATGTAGAAGAATAAAACTGGATCCTTATCTCTCACCTTATACAAAAATCAACACAAGATGGATCAAAGACTTAAATCTAAGGTCTGAAACCATAAAAATTCTAGAAGATAACATTGGAAAATGCTTCTACACATTGGCTTAGGCAAAGAGTTTATGACCAAGAACCCAAAAGCAAATACAACAGAAACAAAGATAAATAGATGGGACTTAATTAAACTAAAAGCCTCCTGCACAGCATAGGAAATAATCAGCAGAGTAAACAGATCACCCACAGAGTGGGAGAAAATTTTCACAAACTGCATTTGACAAAGAACTAATGTCAGAATCTACAGGGAACTCTAATCAGCAAGAAAAAAATAATCTCATCAAAAAATGTGCCAAGGACATGAATAGACAATTCTCAAAAGAAGATATACAAATGGCCAACAAACATATGAAAAAATGCTCAACATCACTAATTACCAGGGAAATGCAAATCAAAACCACAATGCAATACCACGTGTAAAATAAACAAAAAGAGGGCCGGGCGCGGTGGCTCACGCCTGTAATCCTAGCACTTTGGGAGGCCAAGGTGGGCGGATCACGAGGTCAGGAGTTTGAGACCAGCCTGACCAACATGGTGAAACCCAGTCTCTACTGAAAATATAAAAATTAGCCGGGCATGGTGGCAGTTGCCTGTAATCCCAGCTACTCAGGAGGCTGAGGCAGGAGAATTGCTTGAACCCGGGAGGCAGAGGTTGCAGTGAGCTGATATGGCACCATTGTACTCCAGCCTGGGCGACAGAGCGAGACTCTATCTCAAAAAAACAAAAAACAAAAGACAAAACAAAACAAAAAAAACAAAAATTGATGTTGGCATGGATGTGGTGAAAGACAACGCTTTTACACTGATGGTGGGAATGTAAGCTAGTACCAGCACTATGGAAAACAGTATGAAGATTCCTTAAAGAACTAGAAGTACATCTACCATTTGATCCAGTAATCCCACTGTTAGGTATCTACCCAGAGGAAAAGAAGTCATTATATGAAAAAGATACTTTTGCACACATGTTTACAGCAGCAGAATTCACAGTTGCAAAACTACAGAACCAGCCCAAATGCCCATCAATCAATTTGTGGATAAAGAAAATGTGTTATATATATATATGTATACCATAGAACACTACTTAGCCTTAAAAAGGAATAAAATAATGGCATTCATAACAACCTGGATGGAGTTGGAGACCATTATTTCAAATGAAGTAACTCAGGAATGGAAAACCAAACATTGCATGTTCTCACTCGTAAGTGGGAGCTAAGCTATGATGATGCGAAGGCACAAGAATGAAACAGTGGACTTTGGGGGCTCAGGGGGAAGGTGGGAGGGGGTGAGAGATAAAAGACTATACATTGGGTAAACTGCTTTGCTGATGGGTATGCCAAAATTTCAGAGATCACCCCTAAGGGACGTATCCATGTAACAAAATACCACCTGTTCCCTAAAAACTATTGAAATTAAAAAAAAGAAACATACAATAAATTATTGTAGTCACTTTCTGTGATAATAAACACTAGATCTTATTCCTTCTATTATATATTTTTATACCCATTAATCAACCTCTTTTCAAACCTCTCCTATTCCTAGCCTCTGGTAACTATCATTCTACTCTTTATCTCCATGATATCAATTTTATATAGCTCCAGGGCACACAAGTCCATAACTGTGGTCTCTATCCGTGACCCTACTGACCTGAAATATGGCCCCGCTTTGATTTCCAGGAGCATAAGCTGCTCATATAAGTGAGAACATGCAATAGTTTTCTTTCTGTGCATGGCCTAGTTCACCTGACGTTATGACCTTTAATTCCACCCAATTAGCTGAAAATGACAGGATTTCATTTTTTTATGGCTAAATACTATTCCATTGTGCGTATATTCCCATTTTCTTTATCCATTCATCCATTGATTGACATTTAGATTGATTCCATATCTTGGCTATTGCAAATAGTGCTGCAGTAAATATGGGGGTATGGGTATCCCGTTGATACACTGATATCTTTTTTTGGATATATACCCAGGAGTGGGATTGCTGGATCATATGGTAGATTTGTTCTTAGTTTTTTGAGAAATCTCTGTACTTTTTTTCATAATGGCTGTACCAATTTACATTCCCACCAACAATATACAATAATTTCCTTTTCTTCACATGCTTGCCAGCATTTGTTGTGCTTTGTCTTTTTAATACCCATTCTAACAAGTGTGAGATGATATCTCATTGTGGTTTTGATTTGCATTTCCGTGATGATTAGTGATGTTGAATATTTTTTCATAAACTTGGTGATTTGTATATTTTCTTTTGAGAAATGTCTGTTTATTTTTTGATAGTTTCTTTTGCTGTGTAGAAGCTCTTTCATTTAATTAGATCCCATTTGCCAATTTTTGCTTTTGTGGCAATTGCGTTTGGCATCTTCACCATGAACTCTTTGCCCATCACTATGTACCAGATGGTATTGCCTAGGTTGTCTTCAGCGTTTTTATAGTTATGGGTTTTACATTTAAGTCTGCAGGTCATCTTGAGTTAATTTTTGTGTGTGGTGTAAGGGAGGGGTGTTGTCTTTTCACTCTGTTGATTGTTTTAATTGATATACAGAAGGAATTTAATTTAATATAATCCCATTTGTCTGTTTTTGTTGCTTGTACTTTTTAAGCGTTAGCCATACAATCTTTGTTCTCAAGCGTTTCTCCTGTGTTTATTTCTAGTAGTTTTATAGTTGTGGCTGTTACATTTAAGTCTTTAACTGATTTTGAGTTTATTTTTCTAAGTGATGAGAGATAAGGGTCTAGTTTTATTCTTCTGTGTTTGGATATCTAGTTTTGCTGGCACCATTTAATGAAGAGGGTGTCATTTATTCAATGCATGTTCTTGACAGCTTTCTTGAAAATCAGTTAGCTGTAAATATGTGGATTCATTTCTGGATTCTTTAGTCTGTTTCCTTTGTTTTTGTGTCTGTTTTAATACCAGTACACGCTGTTTTGGTTACTATAGCTTTGTAATATATATATATATGTATATCTATATACACACACACATATATACTTATATATATACACGTATATATACATATATACGTGTATATATACGTATATATATACATATATACGTATATATACGTGTATATATATACATATATACGTGTATATATACGTGTATATATATACATATATATGTGTATATATACGTGTATATATATACATATATACGTGTATATATATACATATATACGTGTATATATACGTGTATATATATACATATATACGTGTATATATATACGTGTATATATATACATATATACGTGTATATATATACGTGTATATATATACATATATACGTGTATATATACGTGTATATATATACATATATACGTGTATATATATACGTGTATATATGTACACATATATGTGTATATATGTACACATATACGTGTATATATGTACACATATACGTGTATATGTACACATACGTGTATATATGTACACATATACGTGTATATGTACACATGCGTGTATATATGTACACATATACGTGTATATGTACACATACGTGTATATATGTACACATACGTGTATATGTACACATACGTGTATATATGTACACATATACGTGTATATATACACATATACGTGTATATATACATATAAATATATACATATATACGTATATACACACATATACATATATACGTATATATATGCGTATATACACACATATACATATATACGTATATATATGCGTATATACGTATATATACATACATACGTACATATATACATACATATATACGTACATACATATATACGTATATACACACACATATACGTATATATATACATATATATACAAATATATTTATACACACACACACATATATATATATATATATATATATATATTTTTTTTTTTTTTTTCTTTTTGAGATGGAGTCTTGCTCTGTCGCCCAGGCTGGAGTGCAGTGGTGTGATCTCTGCTCACTGCAAGCTCTTCCTCCCGGGTTCATGCCATTCTCCTGCCTCAGCCTCCCGAGTAGCTGCTGGGACTACAGATGCCCGCCACCACGCCTGGCTAATTTTTTTTTTATTATTATTAGAGACGGGGTTTCACCATGTTAGCCAGGATGGTCTCGATCTCCTGACCTTGTGATCCACCCGCCTTGGCCTCTCAAAGTGCTGGGATATAGGCTTGAGCCACCTCGCCCGGCCTCTTTGCAGTATATTTTTAAATCAGGTAGTGTGAGTCTTCTAGCTTTGTTCTTTTTGCTCAGTATTGCTCTGGCTATTTGGGGTCTTCTGTGGTTCCATATGAATTTCAGGGTTTTTTTTTTTCCTGTTTCTGTGAAGAATATAATTGATAGGGATTATACTGAATCTCTAGATTGCTTCGGGTAGTATGGTCATTTTAACAGTATTAGTTACTCCAACCCACGAGCATAAGATGCCTTTCCATTTGTTTGTGTCCTTCTCAGTTTATTTTATCAGTGTTTTGTGGTTTTCATTGTAGAGGTTTTTTGGGTTTTTTTTTTCCTCATCCTTGGTTAAGTTTATTCCTAGGTATTTTATTTTTGTAGCTATTGTAAATAGAATTTCTTCCTTGATTTCTATTTTAGCTAGTTTGTTACTGGTATATAGAAACATTACTGATTTTTGTATGTTGATTTTGTGTCCTGAAGCTTTACTGAATTATACATCCTTTTTTAAAAATGTTTTTTATTTTTTATTTTTTATTTTGTGAGAGAGTCTCACTCTGTTTTCCAGGCTGGAGTGCAGTGGTGCAATCTTGGCTCACTGCAACCTCCACTTCTCGGTTTCAAGCGATTCTCCTGCTTCAGCCTCCCAAGTAGCTGGGATTACAGGCACCTACCACCATGCCTGGCTAATTGTATTTTTGGTAGAGACAGGGTTTCACCATGTTGGCCAGGCTGGTCTCAAACCCCCAACCTCAGGTGATCCATCCACCTTGGTCTCCCAAAGTGCTGGGATTACAGGCATGAGCTACCATGCCCAGCCTAATTTATTTTAAGAGTTTTTTGGTAGAGTCTTTAGGTTTTTCTGTTTACAGGTATACGATTATGTCATTTGCAAAGTGAGACAATTGGACTTCCTTTTGTCCATTTGGATGCCTTTTTTTTCTTTATCTTGTCTGATCACTCTGGCTTGGATGTCCCATACTGTGTTGAATAAGAGTGGTGAAAGTGGGCATCCTTCTCTTGTTCCAGTTCTTAGAGGAAAGGCTTTTCAATTTTTCCCAGTGAGTAGGATGTTAGCTGTAGATTTGTCATATATGCCTTTTCTTAGGTTGAAGTGTTCCTTCTATGCTTAATTTGTTGAGAGTTTTCATCATGAAGGAATGGTAAGTTTTACTGAGTGATTTTTCTGCATCTGCTGAGATGATCAGATAGTTTTTGCCTTTCATCTTGTCAATGTGATGTATCACATGTATTGATTTGTGTATGTTGAGCCACCTTTGCATTCCTGGGATAAATCCCACTTGATCATGGTATATTATCTTTTTCATTCATCATTAGATTTGGCTTGGTAGTATTATGCTGAGAATTTTACCATCTGTGTTCATTAGGAATATTGGCCTGTAGTTTTCTCCTTTTGTTGTGTCCTTGTCTTGATTGGATATCAGGGTAATGCTGGCCTTATACAATGAGTTAGGAAGAATTCCTTCCTCTTCAATTTTTGGGAATAGTTTGAGAAGAATTGGTGTTTGTTTTTCTTTATAAATTGGGTAGAAATCAGCATAAAAGCCTAGTCTAGGGCTTTTCTCCTTTGGGAGACATTTTGTTACTGATTCAAACCTGCTATTCATTTTGGGTCAGTTCACGTTTTCTGTTTCTTCCTAGTTCAACCTTGGTAGGCTGTGTATGTCTGGGAATTTATCCCTTTCCTCTAGGTTTTCCAATTTGTTAGCATATGATTCTTCATAATAGCCTCTAATTATCCTTTTTATTTCTTTGGTAACACTTGTAATGTCTCCTTTTTCATTTCTGATTGTATTTATTTTGGTCTCTTTTTTTTTTTTTTTTTTTTTTGGTTAGCCTCACTAGTGGTTTATCAATTTTGTTTAACTTTTCAAAAAACCAACTTTTATCTTGTTGATTCTTTGCATTTTTTTTGTCTCTGTTGCATTTGGTTCTGCTATGTTATTTATATTTTTTCTTTCTACTAATTGTGTGTTTGATTTGTTCTTGCTTTTTGAGTTCCTTGAGGTGCATCATTAGGTTGTTTATTTGAAATCTTTCTACTTTTTTGGTGTAGGCATTTATTGCTATAAACTTTCCTCCTAGTACTGCTTTTGCTGTATCCCATAGGTTTTGCATGATGTGTTTCCATTTTCTGTTTAAAAAATTTTTTTGATGTCCATCTTAATTTCTTCATTGACCCAATGATTATTCAATAGCATGTTTAATGTCCATATATTTGTACAGTTTCCAAATTTCTTCTTCTTATTGATTTCAAGTTTTATTCCATTGTGGTCTGAGAAGATACTTGATATGATTTTAATTTTTAAAATTTTATTGAGCCTTGTTCTGTGTCCTAACATATGGTCTATCCTGGAGAATGTTCCATGTGTTGATGAGATGATTGTATATTCTGCTGCTGCTGGATGAAATATTCTGAAAATATCTGTTAGGTCCATTTGGTCCAAAGTGCAGCTTAAATCTAATGTTTCTTTGTTGATTTTATGTCTAGATGAACTGTCCAATGCTGAGAGTAGGATATTGAAGTTCTCAACTATCATTTTATTGGACTCTATCTCTCCATGTAGATTTAATAATATTTGCTATATGTCTCTGGATGCGCTTGTGTTGGTTGCATGCATATTTGGAATTGTTATACTTTGTTGCTGAATTGATCCCTTTATTACCATATAATGACCTTGTTTGTCCTTTTTACAGTTTTTGACTTAAAGTCTGTTTTATCTGATGTAAGTTTAGCTACTCCTGATTATTTTTGATTTCTGTTTGTGTGGTATATCTTTTTCCATCCCTTCACTTTCAGTCTGTGTGTGTCTTTACAAGGGAAGTGATGTTGGGTCACTTTTTATCCATTAAGCCTGACTGTATCTTTTAGGTAGGTAATTTAACCCATATTCGAAGTTATTATTGATAGGCGAGGATTTATTCCTGTCATTTTGTTCATTGTTTTCTGGTTATTTTGTATATCCTTTTGATATGGTTTGGCTGTGTCCCCACTCAGATCTCATCTTGAATTCCCATGTGTTGTGGGAGGGACCCAATGGGAAGTAGTTGAATCATGGAGGCAGGTATTTCCCATGCTATTCTTTTAATAGTGAATAAGTCTCATGAGATCTGATGGTTTTAAAAGGAGGAGTTTCCCTGCTCAAGCTCTCTCTTTGCCTGCTGCCATCCCTGTAAGATGTGACTTGCCTCTCCTTGACTTCCGCAATGATTTTGAAGCCTCCCCAGCAATGTAGAACTGTAAGTCCATTAAGCCTCTTTCTTTTGTAAATTTCCCAGTCTTGAATGTGTCTTTATCAGCTGTGTGAAAATGGACTAATACAGTAAATTAGTACCAGAAGTGGGGTGTTGCTAAAAGATACCTGAATATGTGGAAGTGACTTTGGAACTGGGAAACAGGCAGAGGTTGGAACAGTTTGGAGGGCTCAGAAGGAGACAGGAAAATGTGGGAAAATTTGGAAGAGATTTCCTAGAGACTTGCCCAAAATGCTGATTGTTATATGGACAATAAAGTCTAGGCTTAGGTTGTCTCAGATGGAAATGAGGAACTTGTTAGGAACTGGCACAATGGTGACTCCTGTTATGTTTTAGCAAAGAGACTGGTGGCTTTTTGCCCCTGCTGTAGAGATTTGTGGAATTTTGAACTTGAGAGATTTAGGGTAACTGATAGGGTATTTGAACTTGAGATTTAGGGTATCTGATAGAAGAAATTTCTAAGCAGCAAAGCATTCAAGAGATGACTTGGGTGCTGTTAAAGGCCTTCAGTTTTATGAGGGAAGCAGAGCATGAAAGTTTGGAAAATCTGCAGCCTGACAATGCAATAGAAAAGAAAATCCCATTTTCTCAAGAAAAATTCGATCTGGCTGCAGAAGTTTGTTTAAGTAACGAGGAGTCAAATGTGAATCCCCAAGACAATGGGGAAAATGTCTCCAGGGCATGTCACAGGTCTTCATGGCAGCCCCTCCCATCAAAGGTCCAGAGGCCTAGGAAGAAAAGATGGTTTTGTGGGCTGGACCCAGGGACCCCTGTTGTGAGCAGCCAAGGGTGCCTGAGTCCTAGCCACTCCAGCTGCAGCTAAAAGGAGCCAAGGTACAACTTGGGCTGTGGCTTCAGAGGGTGCAAGCCCCAAGCCTTAGCAGCTTCCACATAGTGTTGAGCCTGTGGGTGCACAGAAGTCAAAAATTGAGGTTTGGGAACTGCTGCCTAGATTTCAGAAGGTGTATGGAAATTCCTAGATACCCAGGCAGGAGTTTGCTGCAGGGGCAGGGCACTCATGGAGAAACTCTACTAGGGCAGTGCAGAAGGGAAATGTGGGGTCGGAGCCCCCACATAGAGTCCCTACTGCAGCGCCACCTAGTGGAGCTTTGAGAAGAGGGCCACCATCCTCCAGACCCCAGAATGGTGGATTCACTGACAGCTTGCACTGTGTGCCTGGAAAAGCTGCAGACACTCAATGCCAACCCGTGAAAGGAGCCAGGAGGGGGGTTAAACCATACAAAGCCACAGGAGTGGAGCTGTGGCCTTTTTTCTCCCAAGGCCATGGTCATACATCAGTATGACCTGCATGTCAGACATGGAGTCAAAGGAGATCATTTTGGAGCTTTGAGATTTCACTGCCCCACTGGATTTTGGGCTTGCATGGGTCCTGTAGCCCCTTTGTTTGGCAATTTTCTGCCATTTGGAATGACTGTATTTACCCAATGCCTATACCCACATTGTATCTAGGAAGTAACTAACTAGTTTTTGATTTTACATGCTCATAGGCAGAAGGGATTTGCCTTGTCTCAAATGAGACTTTGGACTGTGGACTTTTGAGTTAATGCTGAACTTAGTTAAGACTTTGGGGGACTGTTGGGAAGGCATGATTGGTTTCAAAATGTGAGGATATGAGATTTGGGAAGGGCCAGGGGCAGAATGATATGGTTTGGTTTTGTCCCCACCCAAGTCTCATCTTGAATTCCCACATGTTGTGGGAGGGACCTGGTGGGAAGTAATTGAGTCATGGGGGCAGGTCTTTCCCATGCTGTTCTCATGATAGTGAATACGTCTCACAAGGTCTGATGGTTTTGAAAAGGGTAGTTTCTCTGCAGAAGCTCTATCTTTGATTGCTGCCATCCATGTGAGACATGACTTGCTTCTCCTTGCCTTCCAACGTGATTCTTAGGCTTCCTCAGCTATGTGGAAGTGTAAGTCCATTAAACCTCTTTCTTTTGTAAATTGCTCAGTCTCAGTCAGGTATGTCTTTATCAGCAGTGTGAAAACAGACTAATACACCTTTGTTCCTTTTTTCTCTCATTATTTATGGTTGCAGTTTGGTGGTTTTCTTTAGTGGTGATGTTTGAATCCTTTCTTCTTTGTGTGTCTGAACTACCAGTGAGTTTTATACTTTCATGTATTTTCATGATGGTAGATATTGTTCTTTCACTTCCCAATGTAGGACTCCCTTAAACATTTCTTATAGGACCACAACAAACAAGACACAAACAAACAGTCTTTTGCTTATCTGGGAAATACTTTTTTCCCTTTTATTATTACTATTTTTTTTTTTTAGCAATGGAGTCTCACTCTGTCACCCAGGCTGGAGTACAGTGGCATGATCATAGCTCACTGCAGCCTTGAACTCCTGGGATCAAATGGTCCTCCTGCCTCAGCCTTGAGTCTCTGGAATTGCAGATGTGAGCCACTGTGCCAGGCTCCTTCATTTGTGAAGGATAGCTTTGCTGGGTAGAGTATTTTTGGCTTACATTTTTTTATTATTATTTTTTTTTTGTACTTGTAATATACATCCCCTTTTCTCCTAGCCAGTAAGGTTTCTGCTGAGAAATTCCCTGTTAGCCTGATGGAGATTCTCTTATAAGTGACTTGATGCCTTTCTCTTGCTGTTTTTAGCATTTTCTCTTTGTCTTTTGACAATTTTACCATATTGTGCCTTGGAGAAGACCATTTTGAGTTGTATTTACTTGGTAATCTTTGAGCTTCCTGCATTTGGAAGCATTCAGGAAGTTTTCAGTTATTAGTTCATTAAATAGGTTTTCTATGCCTTTACCCATCTCATCTCCATCCAGAACTCCCAGAATTTCAGTTTTTGGTCACATATGTGTCCCATATGTCATGTAGCCTTGCTTCATTCTTTTTTCTTTCTTTTTGTCTGACTGGATTATTTTAAAAGACTAGTCTTCAGGTTCAGAAATTCTTTGTTTTGCTTGATCTAGTCTATTGTTAAAGCTGTCAATTATCTTTTGTATTTATTTCAATGATTTATTCTCTTCCAGGATTTGTGTTTGGTTCTTTGTTATGTTGTCTATCTCTGTTGAATTTGTCATTCAGATCATGAATAGTTTTCCTGTTTTTTTTTTTTTTTTGTATTCATTATCTGTGTTCTCTTGTATCTCCCTGAGTTTCTTTAATAACATTATTCTGAATTTTTTTCAGGTATTTCATAGATTTTCTTTTCATTGGATCTGTTGCTGGAGAATTATTGTGCTTCTTTGAGATGTTATGTTTCCTTTTTCATATTTCTTGCATCCTTATGTGACTATCTGTGCCTCTGACATAACAGTCATTTCTTCCAATTTTATGGATTGGCTTTTATATGGGAAAGACCTTTTCTTACAGCTGTATCTACAGTGTTCATTGGATATCACACTTTGGCTTTGATTCTGGGTGGGTACAGTGGTATAGTTTGCATATGATTCCTTCAGCTGTAATTGGCATGGGTGGTGCCTGTGAGTCATTCAGTGGCTTAGACTGCAGTGGTTTTTTTTGGTGGTTGTTGAGATGGAGTCTAGCTCTGTCACCAGGCTGGAGTGCAGTGGCACAATCTCAGCTCACTGTATCCTCTGCCTCCCGTGTTCAACCAATTCTCCTGCCTCAGCCTCCTGAGTAGCTGGGACTATAGGCACGTGCAACCATGCCCAGCTAAATTTTGTATTTTTAGTAGAGACGGGTTTCACCATGTTGGCCAGGCTGCTCTCGAACTCCTGACCTCGTGATCTACCCGCCTCGGCATCTCAAAGTGCTGGGATTACAGGCGTGAGCCACCACACTTGGCCAGACTGCAGTTGTTATTGGAGGCTGTGGTGAGGCTTTGCTGAGGATGGGGATGCCAGGAAGTCTTGTCCTTCAGCATCAGTGGTAGTGGCGGTGGACCAGGTGTGTCAATACTAGGGACCATGGGCAGCGTTTGTGGGCACTGATGATAGCCTGTCTGTGTGGGCCAATCCCTGGGACTCCAGGTGGCTTCTTTGGTTGCTGGCAGTGGGCCAGATGGGCAGGTGCACCACTGGGCTCCTGGGTGGTGTGTGTGGCAGGCTGATCTCTAGTTCTCCAGGTGACCTATACAGGTTCTGGTGGTGGGTAGGCAGGCGTTTCCTCAGGCCTCTCAGTAGTAAGTGTGAGCACCAGCTCTGGAGGCAGGTGAGTCAATCTCCAGGTCCCCGGATGGTACATTCAGGCACCAGCATATTCCTATGCATTTCTAGATAAAAGTATTTTTCAGAAAACCTGAGCATATGTCCTATTAATACAACTTACCCTCATCAGCTCTGCATGAGAAGAAGGCGGAATTCCCTCAGTAGAACAGTCAGAATGGAATCACAGACTTGTTTTGAGCCAGTCACTGGTGAGGGGGGGTAGGATAACATGATAAGCTCAGAATCTAAACCTTAGACTAGGGAATGGCAAACTTTTTCCATAAAGAGGCAAACGGTAATATTTTAGGCTTTTTGTCTAGATAACCTCTTTTGTAGTGACACAGTGGTGCCATCGTAGCCTAAAAGCGTATGTAGACAATGGATAAATCAATGGACCTGGTTTTATTCCAGTAAAACTTAATTTATACAGTCAGAGGGCCAGATTTGGCCCTTGGTCTGTGGTTGTTTAGAGCAGTCAAAATTTATTCCCTGGGGCTGGGCCAACTTTTTCTTTAAAAAAAAAAAAAAAAAGCAACCCACTGTCAGAATAAAACAAGGTTTCTATTTAAAAAGAAGAAGAGGCTGGGTGTGGTGGCTCATGCCTATAATCCTAGCACTTTGGAAGGGTGAGGCAGGAGGACTGCTTGAAGCCAGGAGTTTGAAACCAACTTGGGCAATATAGTGAGACCCTCTGTCTGCAAAGAATAAAAAAATTAGCCAGGCATGGTGGCACATGTCTGTAGTCTTAGCTACATAGGAGGCTGAAGGGGAAGATCACTTGAGCCCAGGATTTTGAGGCTACAGTGAGCTCTGACTGTACCATTTGTACTCTAGCCTAGGCAAAGAGGGAGAACCCAAAAACAAACAAACAAAAAGTTGGTTTGGGCGGGTTGGAGAAGAAAGTATTTCTGAATTTCTGGGTAGGTTACTGGTAGTGTCAGGCCAAACTAGCTCTACAGTCATATTCATTATAAATAAAGGCAACTAGAAGATCTCCATCTAGCTATTAAAATTGGTTAAAATCTACAGAGATAAAGGACGGTGACTCTTGTGTCAGTTAGTTGTTGTCACAAAATGCTGCATAACAAGTCACTCCAAATCTCAGTGGCTTAATACAACAATCGTTTATTTTCATGGATCTATGGGTCAGCTGAGGATTGGTCAATCTAGCATGAGCATGTCTGGGAAGCTCGACGTTGCTCTTGCTGTCTCTTCTGCTGGAAGCAGCAGTCTGGCCTGGGCTTGTTCTCATGGTGATAGCAGGAGTGAGTGAGCAGAAATGAATTCACACTTTCCAAGTTTTTGGTCATACAGATTAATATTCCAGTGACCAAAGCTAGACACATGACTAAACCCAACATTAGGGACTGGAGAAATATACTCCGATTCTTCAGTGGGAGGAACTGCAGAGACAAATGGCAGAATCTTGGATACAGGGAGGACACGGATCCATTAATGTACCTTAATCAATCGCAACCCTCTAACCACCAATACAATTAAATAAGTATTTGTTGAATGCACTTGTGCCTGAATGCTTCTGGCTGCAGCCCAGGCAATGGGGGCCTGACTGGGGAGGGACCATAGCAGGGACTCGATGTCCTGCAGGTCTGCATGTAATTGTGCACGGCCGACTCCTCATTGGTCATGGCTGACTTGCTTTATCCTGCGTCCCCAAGGGGCAACGATTGGCTGATTATATTTCTGAACAATTTTGACAAAGTTGTTTTCAGGAGCCCAGGAAGCAAATCAGTTGTAGATTTGAATTTTTCAGGGGATCAGAATTGTTGAATATATATATAGTCTTTTACATGCTGATAATTATTTCCACATCACAAAGAAGGCTGGCTATTAGGAGGCTGCTGTTCATTTCCTTTGCCCCGTGAACTCATGAGCTGTGGCTATGTGGGGGGCACTCAGTTGTTAGAGCTGTTTCCCTTCATAATAACATCAGCCAACATTCTAAATAAATGCAGGAAATTAAATAGTCTTCCCCAGACAGGTACTTTGCCCTTCTAAAGTGAATTACACATTCTAAAATAAAACACAGTCACATTAAAAAAACAAAAGGTCTTTGTGTCAGGTTGGTCTGGCTTCAGCAAAGATAATATTTGCCTCCAGAGTAGAAGATCCGTGGAATCCACGGTATTACATATGGCAGCCCCACATCTTGTTTCCTTTTCTTTTTTTTGTTTTTAACTAAAAGAGTTGTCAATTTTATTTTCACATTTCCCAATACAAATGAAAACTGCATCTTTTTTGGTCCCACTTCTCCCCTCCAAAACTATTCTCTTTGATAGGGCAAGAGGGCAAGTCTTCCTTATGCTGTTAAGAAAACTCGACATCACAGCAGCATGATCTCCTGGTGAAGGGAGCAGGTAAATATAAAATTCATATAGGCCAGGCGCAGTGGCTCACACCTGTAATCCCAGCACTTTCAGAGGCTGAGGCGAGCGAGTCACGAGGTCAGGAGATTGAGACCATCCTGGCCAACATGGTGAAACCCCGTTTCTACTAAAATAAAAAAAATTAGCCGGGCATGGTGAATACGCCTGTAGTCCCATACTACTCAGGAGGCTGAGGCAGGGGAATCGCTTGAACCCGGGAGGTGGAGGTTTCAGTGAGCTGAGATCATGCCACTGCCCTCCAGCCTAGGCGACAGAGGAAGACTCTGTCTCAAAAACAAAACAAAACATTACAAACAAAAAAAACACAACAATAACAACAACAAAACAACACTGATGCAATGAGGCCTCCCCTCTATCCTTATCTGTCTGGTCGAGTCATTCTGGGCTGACTGGGCACCATCATGAGACGGGCAGGAGGTCTTATCATTGGGCACCCAGGCATCACAGGCATGTGGCCTCCCATGGGCGGCCTCATTCCAGGAGCAGGTCCCACTGGCATCATCCCAGGAGGAGGAGGGCCCATCTTTGGCATCATGGGCGGGCCCCCCATATGGGCTGCTGCCATCATTCTGAAATGTGCGAGAAGTGTCAAATACACATTAGATTGTGAAGACTTAATATAAAAAGAAAGCAAAGTATTTTGTTACTGTTAAAAAATTTTATACATGTAGACCTGGTATTTTGGATAGATTTGTTTAAATCTGTGATATTATTCCAATTACCTTCACTTCTTTTGTTTTACTTTTTAAAGTGTGGTTATTACAAAATGCAAATGTAAATATGTGGCTTGCATCATATTTCATCACACTTAGTGTGGACCCTGAGGATCTAGGGGAGTTATGAGCCTTAAGTTGAGGGTGACCCAGGTCAACGTGAATTGCTCTGAAAGAGAAGCAAAGGGCTTAAAGAGAATGTATAAATGGAGAGAGGGAGCTCAGTCTCACAGGGTGAGGAAAGGCTTTCTTTCTTACACAGTCTGGCACTTCTTCAAAAGCTTAAACACAGAGTTCTATGACCCAGCACTTCCACTCCAGTTTATGAAAGAAATGAAAATATATGTCCGTCCAGAAACTTGTACACAAATGCTCATAGCAGCATTATTCATAATAGCGCCAAAGTGAAAACAACACAAATGCTTGTCTACTGATGAGTGGAGAAATAGAACATGGTTTGACCATGCAATGGAATATTATTCAGTCATCAAAAGGAATGAAGTACTAACACGTGCTACAACACGGATGAACTATGAGAATATTAAGCTAAGTGGAAGAAACCAGTCACAAAAGGTCACATATTCTAAGATGTCATTTATATGAAATGTCCAGAACACGCAAATCTATGAAGAGAGAAACCCTGCCTCTACTAAAAATACAAAATTAGATGGGTGTGGTGGCACATCCCTGTAATCCCAGCTACTCTGGAGGCAGGAGAATTGCTTGAACCCGGGAGGCGGAGGTTGCAGTGAGCCGAGATTGTGCTACTGCACTCCAGCCTGTGACAGATACTCTATCTCAAAAAAAAGTAGATTGTCAGGGCTTAGTGGGAGGAGGAAATGGCAGGAACCTGCTCATGGATACAGGGTTTCTTTTTGGGGTGATGAAAATGTTTTAAAATTGATCATGATGGTGGTTGCCGAGCTCTGTGAATGCACTGAAACCATTGATTTGTTCACTTTAAATGGGCAAATCATACGGTACCTGAATTATATTTTAATAGTTATATTAAAAAAGTAAAATCTTCCTTGAAGTGATGCCACTTAAGGAGAGGCCTAGAGGGTGGGATGAGTTCACTATGTAGAGAAATGAGGAACAGCATTTCAGGGTGAGAAACAGCATAGTGAAGTCCCTGAGGTTGGTAGGCATAGAGCAGATTTAAGGGACCTTTTTTTTTGAGACGGACTTTCACTCTTGACGCCCAGGCTTGGGTGGAGTGGTGCGATCTTGGCTCATGGCAACCTCTGCCTCCCGAGTCCAAGCGATTTTCCTGCCTCAGTCTCCCGAGTAGCTGGGATTACAGGTGCCATCCACCACACCTGTCTAATTTTGGGATATTTAGTAGAGATGGGGTTCCACCATGTTGACCAGGCTGGTCTCGAACTCCTGAACTCAGGTGATCCAGCCGCCTCAGCTTCCCAAAGTGCTGAGATTACAGGTGTGAGCCACTGCGCTCAGCCAGATTTAAGGGACTTTAAAGAAGTTTGTGTGGCTGAAGCCTGCAGGCCAAGCGAGAGAATCAGGAAATGAGGCTGGAGAAAGAGAGGGGCTAGGTCATGGAGGGTCTCACATTAGGGTGTGGAAACTTCACACGAGTGGTCCCACCTTGGGCATCCCACCTAACTACTCTGTGTCCCAGCTTCCCCACTGGTGAAATAAAGGGCTGATGTAGGGATGGACTGAGATAGGGTGTGCTCAGTAAAGGTGACCTTTTATCTTTTTTTTTTTTTTTTTTTTTTGAGATGGAGTCTCACTCTGTCGCCCAGGCCGGAGTGCAGTGGCGCGATCTCGGCTCACTGCAAGCTCCACCTTCCACGTTCACGCCATTCTCCTGCCTCAGTCTCCCAAGTAGCTGAGACTACAGGCGCCCGCCACCACGCCCAGCTAAAATTTTTGTATTTTTAGTAGATACGGGGTTTCACCGTGTTAGGGAGAATGGTCTGGATCTCCTCATGTCATGATCCGACCGCCTTGGCCTCCCAAAGTGCTGGGATTACAGGCGTGAGCCACCGCGCCCGGCCGAGCTTTTATCGTTGTCAACCCACACAGCAGAGGGAGCCATTGAAAGCGAGTGATCGGTTTGGATGCACCTTCTGAAGTGATCGCTTTGGTCCCTGTGAGGAGTGCAGATTGTCACAGGGCCAGGGGAAGACAGAGGCCAGTGAGGAGGCCTTTGCAGTCAAACAGCTGGAGGTGATGGTGGCTTGGTTTATGGTGGTGTCAGGAGAGTGGCTGAGCAGTGAACGGATCTGAAAAGATTTAGGAGGTAAAACCCACGTGACTTGGTCACTGAATGTGGGTTGGGTTGGCTGGAGGGAAGGTAAGAAAGAATGAGAAGAAAAACATACTCAAGTGGGCCCTCCAGCCTAAGGTTACTTGAAGTCCCTTTGTGAAGAGGAATGTTTGTGTTTATGATGAAGATGTCTAGACTTTCAAAGGCCATTTGCAGTATTTTTTTAACAGCCAACAATTCCTCCTTCCCTATGACCTAAACATATGAATTTTTTTTTTTTTTTTGCCCTAACTTATCACAGAGGGATGGATGTTTATTTGCTTTAATGAAAAATGCAGAATGCCAATAAGAAAGCATATTAAATTAATCTGGATTGCTGGGAGGGAGTTAAATCTGTTTCGATGTGCACCAGTGTTACTATACTAGTTTGGTCTAAACCCATTTCTGACCTGCGGCTGCAGGAGGTTGACTCCCAGCTTGCTTTCATTTGAAAGATCCTAGCAACAAGTACACTTGGCATTTCCAGCCAAACCCACTTTGTGCAGCGAAGGAAAAGTTGAGGAGTGCCTCTGTTGTTTTCCCCCAAATCATTTGGCAGAAATGTGGCTGGGAGCTTCATTGCTGATTTTTTCAGTTTTAATATTGCTGTGGAAAGCCTGTACCAACACTCAGCCATGTTATTAATCCACAGCTCCAGTCTGGGCTGTGATTTGTTTTTCCTTTGAGTGACACAACCTTTTTTTCCATTAAGACTCAATGCAAATAGACACTCATGCACCATCACCATAACTCCCCCTGATTGGCGGAGGGAAATCAGTGGAATGATTCTAGTTTGGTGTTCATATCGGAGGGTTTTATTTATCTATTTTGAGACGGAATCTCTCTCTGTCGCCAGGCTGGAGTGCAGTGGTGCGATCTCGGCTCACTGCAACCTCTGACTCCCTGGTTCAAGCGATTCTCCTGCCTCAGCCTCCCTAGTAGCTGGGCTTTCAGGCATGTGCCACCATGCCCGGCTAATTTTTTGTATTTTTAGTAGACACGGGGTTTCACCATGTTGGCCAGGATGGTCTTGATCTCCTGACCTCGTGATCTGTCCGCCTCGGCTTCCCAAAGTGCTAGGATTACAGGCGTGAGCCACTGCGCCTGGCCTTGAGTTGTTTTTAAAAGCATATTTCTCTCAAATTATCTCCGGGGTGTCCCACTGTGACTTGGGAAAAGGTTGGATTTTCTGGAGGTGGAAAGTCAAACTTCAAATACAATTTGGAGGCTGCCACTGTGGCTCATGCCTGTAATCCCAGTACTATGGGAGGCTGAAGTGGGTGGATCATTTAAGGCCAGAAGTTCGAGACCAACCTGGGCAACATGACGAGACTTCGTTTCTACTAAAAATACAAAAATTAGCCAGGCGTGGTGGTACATGCCAGTAATCCCAGCTACTTAAGAGGTTGAGGCAGGTGTTATTGCTTGAACCTGGGAGGCAGAGTTGTCCTGTGTCCAAACCCCATGAGGCGTATCAGCTGGCTGAAGATAAAATCGGTCACGCAGTGTTGGGATTGGGGTTGCTGTTATCATCCCTCCTCCCCACCCCTGCTAGGCATCCACAAATAGTCGTCTTCAATGAGACGTCCCTCCTGCCCCTGGCTGCCTTATTTCATCTGCACCCAATCGTATCCATTGCTTGTCAGTGGGTCTCAACCTTGGCTGCATCTTGGAATCTCCTGGGGAGAAGAGACAATACCAAGGCTCTCTCTCACTTAGCATGATGTTTCCAGGGTCCATCCACATGTAGTAGGCACCAATATTTCCATTGTATGGATACCGCACATATTGTTTGTTCATTCGTCAACCAAATGGCCATCTTGGTTGTTGCTACCTTTTGGTTATTATATATATTGCATGATTCCATTTATGTGAAAGGCCGAGAGTAGGCAAATCTATAGAGGCAGAAAGCAGGTAAGTGGTTGCCAGGAGCTGGGGGAAAGGGGAGGGGATGGAGAATGCTTGATGGATACAGGGTTATTTTTTGGGGGGGCGGGGGTGTTAATGAAAATGTTTTGGAACTAGACAGAGATGATGATTGCTTAATATTGTGAATGTATTTAATGATACTGAAGTGTATGGTTTCATACAGGGACTTGTATGTTATGTGAATTTTGCCTCATTAAAAAAATACTGCTAGGAGCAATGGCTCATGCCTGTAATCCCAGCACTGTGTGAGGCCAAGGTGGGCAGATCACCTGAGGCTGGGAGTTCGAGACCTGCCTGGGCAGCATGGTGAAACCCTATCTCTATTAAAAATACAAAAATTAGCCAGGCGTGGCGGTGCACACCTGTGATCCCAGCTACTTGGGAGGCTGAGGTAGGAAAATGGGTTGAACCCGGGAGGCAGAGGTAGCAGTGAGCTGAGATCGCACCACTGCACTTCAGCCTGGGTGACAGAACAAGATTCCATCTCAAAAAAAAAAAAAAAAAAAAAAAACACACACACACACACAAACCAAAAATACTGATGCCCATGTTTCATCCCCAAGAGATTCTTTAATAATTGATCTGGGCTGCAGAGCCCGGGCATTGGGGGTTTTAAAATCTCCCCAGGTGATTCTGATGTGCAGCTGTGGTTGAGAATCTCCTTCTGGAATGAACTTGTTCATGTTTTACTTGTGTTGTTTTCTAGCCTGCCAATGTCTTTCTGTTTCCGTTCACATCTTTGGGTTGTAATTTTTACAATGCAGTCTTAACAACCAGCTGCCTCAAAATGCACTGGGATCCCTCGTAACCAGGTAGCTCCCCATCTCTAACTCTGACCTGCTAAGACAGAATCTTGTGCGTGTGGCCCAGGACTGTACATATTGAAACAGGCAATGACCTGGGAACTATTTCTGAACACCCCTAGGTTTCCCGTGTTTGCCCTTTCCTTTCACATTTGGACCCCTTTGTGTGCTGACCACTGGGCTGTTTCACATGGACATAACATAAAAAAGACAGGCCAGGTGCATTGGCTCATGCCTGTAATCCCAGCACTTTGGGAGGCCGAGGTAGGCGAATCGCTTGAGGCCAGGAGTTCAAGATCTGCCTGGCCAACATGAGTAAACCCCGTCTCTACCAAAAATATGAAATTAGCTGGGTGCGGTGATGCACACCTTTGATCCCAGCTACTCAGGAGGCTGAGGCTGGAGAATCCCTTGAGCCCAGGAGGCAGAGACTGCAGTGAGCCGAGATCGCACCACTACACCCCAGCCTGGGTGAGAGTGAGACTCTTAAAAAAAAAAAAAAAAAAAAAAAAAAAAAAAAAAAAAAAAAAAAAAAAAAACAAAGAGACAGAGATGATCCTTCCTTTATGGAGCTCTCAGTAAAACAAGAAAGCTCATGATGTCCTGTCATTTGTCAGAAATATATTTGGTATATGTAGCTGGGGTCACATGCTTGACATGCCTATTGAAAGCTTCTGGGTAGGAAGAGAACAATCATCACAGCATCACAGCCTGGCATAACTGTCTCCCAGGACAGGTCTCCCTGGGGAGACTGAAACCACAACTCTGAAATCAGAGCTTAAATCCAGGTTCTACATTTCACTCAGTAATGTACATGATGTAGGACAGTTTTCATATTAGTTATCTATTGCTGTGCAACAATATTACTGCAAACTTTGTGGCTTGAGACAGCACACAGTTATCACTATGTGGTTTCTGTGGGTCAGGAATCCAGGCGTGACTCAGCTGGGTTCAGTGCAAGGCTACAACCATAATGTCAGCCAGGGCTCAGTTCTCATCTGGAGGCTTGACTGGTGATTGATCTGCTTCCAGGCTCATCTGGTTGTTGGCAGCATTCAGTTCCTTGCAGGCTGCTGGACTCAGGGCCCCAGGTTCTTGCTGTCCTCAGCTTCTTGCCACATGGGCCTCTCCATCTGGCCACTCATGACATGGCAGCTCACATCTTCAAAGCCAGCAAGATAACCTCCTAGCAAGACAACTTAACATCCTATCTAACATAATCACTACATCCCATCACCTCTGCCATATTCTCTTGGTTATAAGAAAGTCATTGGTCCCTTTGTCAGATGAGTTGATTGCAAAAATTTTCTCCCATTCTGTAGGTTACCTGTTCACTCTGATGGTAGTTTCTTTTGCCGTGCAGAAGCTCTTGAGTTTAATTAGGTCCCATTTGTCAATTTTGGCTTTTGTTGCCATTGCTTTTGGTGTTTTAGACATGAAGTCCTTGCCCATGCCTATGTCCTGAATGGTATTGCCTAGGTTTTCTTCTAGGATTTTTATGGTTTTAGGTCTAACATTTAAGTCTTTAATCCATCTTGAATTGATTTTTGTATAAGGTGTAAGGAAGAGATCCAGTTTCAGCTTTCTACATATGGCTAGCCAGTTTTTCCAGCACCATTTATTAAATAGGGAATCCTTTCCCCATTTCTTGTTTTTGTCAGGTTTGTCAAAGATCAGATAGTTGTAGATAAAGCGGCATTATTTCTGAGGGCTCTGTTCTGTTCCATGGGTCTATATCTCTGTTTTGGTACCAGTACCATGCTGTTTTGGTTACTGTACCTTGTAGTATAGTTTGAAGTCAGGTAGCGTGATGCCTCCGGTTTTGTTCTTTTGGCTTAGGATTGACTTGGTAATGCCAGCTCTTTTTTGGTTCCATATGAACTTAAGTAGTTTTTTTCCAATTCTGTGAAGAAAGTCATTGGTAGCTTGATGGGGATGGCACTGAAACTATAAATTACCTTGGACAGTATGGCCATTTTCATGATATTGATTCTTCCTACCCATGAGCATGGAATGTTCTTCCATTTGTTTGTATCCTCTTTTATTTCTTTGAACAGTGGTTTGTAGTTCTCCTTGAAGAGGTCCTTCACATCCCTTGTAAGTTGGATTCCTAGGTATTTTATTCTCTTTGAAGCAATTGTGAATGGGAGTTCACTCATGATTTGGCTCTCTGTTTGTTATTGGTGTATACGAATGCTTGTGATGTTTGCACATTGATTTTTATCCTGAGACTTTGCTGAATTTTGCTATTTTAGTAGAGATGGGGTTTGCTGAATGCAGCCCCCAGTCACGTACTCCCTTCTTGGTCAATCGATCACGACTCTCATGATCACGACCCGCTCACGCGGACCCCCTTAGGGTTGTGAGCCCTTAAAAGGGACAGGAATTGCTACTTGGGGAGCTGGGTTGTTAGAGACGTGTGCCACCACTCCCAGCTATTTTTTGTGTTTTTAGTAGAGACGGGGTTTCCCCATGTTGGTTGGCCAGGATAGTCTCGATCTCTTGACCTCGTGATCCGCCCACCTCGACCTCCCATAGTGTTGGGATTACAGGTGTAAGCCACTCCACCCAGCCCAGTGAAGGCTTTTCATACTTGCTTGTCAGCCTCCTGCATCCTACTCCAGCACCTGGCGCTCACAACCTGTGGGCTGCTCTCATCCGTGATCATCTCTCCCCAGGCCTGCTGTTCCTCGAGGAAGGAAGTTGTAATGGGCAGAGTTCTAGGACAGCCCCCAAGAGAACCACTCCCTTATATCTGCTCCCTGTATCATCTCTTCTTGAGTGTGTGCAGAGCTTGTGATTTGGCCAAGGGGAAGGAATTTTGCAAATGTGATTATGGTCACACTTGCTTTGTTAAGCACATTTGCTCAGCTGACTTTGAGTTCATCCAAAGCAGGATGATCTTAGGTGGGCCAGACCTAATCAGGTGAGTCTTTTAAAGGTGAAGTTTCAGAGATTCAACCCTTAGCCTCCAAGGAGACAAAAATGGCCATGCTGTGAACTGTCTTTGGAGGTGGCAGCTCTAGGAGCTGAGGGCCTTCGTTCTACAATTGCAAGAAATTGAATTCAGTCCACAAACTGAATAAGCTTGGAAGAGGACACTGAGCATCTGATGAGACCCCAGCTGACACTCTGGTTGCAGTATTGTGACCCGGAATAGAAGACCCAGTTAAACCCTGCCCAGAGCCTTGGCTCATGGAAACAGATAATAACTGGATGGTGTTTTAAGCTGCTCAGTTTGCACTGGTAAATCCACCAACAGGAAAATAATATAGAAGTTAAATGGGCCAGGCATGGTGGCTCATGCCTGCAATCCCAACACTTTGGGAGGCTAAGGTGGGTGGATCACAAGGTCAGGAGGTCGAGACCATCCTGGCCAACATGGTAAAACCCCGTCTCTACTAAAAATACAAAAATTAGCCAGGCGTGGTGGCATGCACCTGTAGTCCCAGCTACTCAGGAGGCTGAGGCAAGGGAATCACTTGAACCCAGGAGGTGGAGGTTGCAGTGACCCGGGACCATGTCACTGCACTCCAACCTGGGCAACAGAGAGAGACTCCATCTCAAAAAAAAAAAAAAAAAAAAAGTTAAATGAATACTTTTGACCATTGATGGAAGTTGCTTTCATTCCCTCTTACTTAATCATCTTTATCTTAGCCCTGAAAGAGGGATGCTTTAATCCCATTTGTAACAAGTGAGTCTGAGGCCCAGGAAAGTGATAGAATTTAGCAAAGTCCACCTTGCTACCTGGTGGCCCCAGCTAGAACTCTGCCCCAGGTCCATATACCTAAAGTCATTACAGCGTCCACTAAAATTTTGCCCCTCTCTCGATGCCTTCCTCTTTAGAAGCCTGTTCCTTCAGGGATAGATCCCAACTCAGTGTTACAAGGTACTGAACTCTGATTTTCACAAAATATAATAACTGCCCCCCAAAATTAATAATAGTATTTTTGAGCTGGGCACGGTGGTTCATACCTGTAATCCCAGCACTTTGGGAGGCTGAGGTGGGCGGATCATGAGGTCAAGAGATCGAGAGCATCCTGGACAACATAGTGAAACCCCGTCTCTACTAAAAATACAAAAATTAACTGGGAGTGGTAGCAGGCGCCTGTAATCCCAGCTACTCGGGAGGCTGAGGCAGGAGAATCGCTTGAACCCAGGAGGCAGAGGTTGCAGTGAGCCGAGATTGCACCACTGCACTACAGCCTGGCAACAGAGCAAGACTCCGTCTCAAAAAAAAAAAAAAAAAAAGTATGTTTGAGTCCTTATGTGTCAACCACTGGGCTATCCCAACACCAATAGCTATTATGATTATGATTAGTTTTTCCATTTTATTGATGAGGAAACCAACACATAGAAAGGTAAAGGAACTTGCCAAAAGTGATGGTCACACAGCCAAAGAGCTGTAGAAGCAGCACAGGAATCCCAGCAAACTCACAGCCAAGCTCTGCTTTTCACCTTCACATCATACAGTCCTCAGACTAAAACCCTAACTCTGACCTTCCAAATCAAAAATCGTACTCAAGGCCGGGTGCGGCGGCTCACGCCTGTCATCTCAGCACTTTGGGAGGCCGAGGCAGGTGGATCACCTGAGGTCAGGAGTTCCAGACCAGCCAGGCCAACATGGTGAAACCCCATCTCTACTAAAAATACAAAACTTAGCCAGGCATGGTGGTGGGTGTCTGTAATCCCAGCATTTTGGGAGGCTGATGCATGAAAATCACTTGAACTCAGGAGGCAGAAGTTGCAGCGATCCATGATCATGCCACTGCACTCCAGCCTGGACAAGAGAGTGAGACTCTGTCTCAAAAAAAAAAAAAAAAGAATTGTGCTTAATAATAGCTTGGAAGTGCACATATCTTCTATGAAGTTTGATGGACTACAATTAGCTTCAAAACACAAATAAGTAACTGTGTTTAAATGAGGCCTTCTGTGTAATATCTAGGGAAAATCAATGTGGCTATTCATATTTTGTTTCCCCTTCCAGGCACAGAGAAGTTGCCCATGACTCTGTGATCCGTTTTGTCCAATGAACCATGAGCAGCAGCAACTTGAGTCACCTCCAGGTGGAAGTGTTAAGAGGCTGCTCTATGATCCACCACATTCCCTTTGCCCTGAAGTGGTGATCAAGGACACATGCAGAGATGGGGCTTTTGTCAGCCTGGATCCCTGAGTGAACACAATGAACAGACCACCCCAGAATGCCCTAACACAGCCCAGACATGCAACGTGACCAAGAATAAGCCTCACTGTGGCCAGGCATGGTGGCTCATGCCTGTCATCCCAGCACTTTGGGAGGCCAAGGTGGGTGGATCATTTGAGGTCAGGAGTTCAAGACCAACCTGGCTAACAGGGTGAAATCCTGTCTCTACTAAGTACAAAAATTAGCCAGACAGTGGTGGCATGGGCCTGTAATCCCAGCTACTCAGGAGGCAGGAGAATCACTTGAGTCTGGGAGGCAGAGGTTGCAGTGAGCTGAGATTGCACCACTGCACTCTAGTCTGGGTGACAGAGTGAGACCCTGTCTCAAAAACAAACAAACAAATACCTCACTGCATGAGGCCACTGAGATTTGGGGTTTGTTGTTACTGCACCAGAACCCAAATCATCCTGACCGCTAGGGTGACCTAACTAGGGTTTCTTACCAAAAGCAAAGGCATTTTTAAAGTTCGTGACATTTAAACAAAAGAGCAAATACCAATATCTACCACTTTGTCAGGCTAAAAAACCCAAAGAAAGCCAACAGCCAGAAGTTAAAATAAACAGATCATTAGGTTGAAAATAGAACTGTCAAAACAGGCACAATTGACTTCATTTAGTGATTGCAAAGAACATCAGGCAAGACACAGGTGTGGTCATCATAACATTTATCACATGCTTCATTGCACATGTTTGACTAAGAAAAACACAAAGTATTTAAGCTCATCTGTAGTTCAAAGTGCCTATCCGTGTATTTATCTATTCATCCTGATTTATTTATTGAGCAACTCTTTTGTGCCAGGCACTGTGCTGTGTTGCGGGAAGTCAGGGACCCCAAATGGAGGGACCAGCTGAAGCCATGACAGAAGAACGTGGATTATGAAGATTTTATGGACATTTATTAGTTCCCCAAATTAATACTTTTGTAATTTCTTATGCCTGTCTTTACTGCAATCTCTAAACATAAATTGTGAAGATTTCATGGACACTTATCACTTCCCCAATCAATACCCTTGTGATTTCCTATGCCTGTCATTACTTTAATCTCTTAATCCTGTCAGTCGAGAAGGATGTATATCGTCTCAGGACCTGTAATAATTGCGTTAAGTACATAAATTGTACATCATGTGTGTTTGAGCAATATGAAATGTGGGCACCCTGAAAAAAGAACAGGATAACAGCAATTGTTCAGGGAATTAGAGAGATAACCTTAAACTCTGACCGCTGGTGAGCCAGGCAGAACAGAACCATATTTCTCTTCTTTCAAAAGCAAATGGGAGAAATATCGCTGAATTCCTTTTCTCAGCATGGAACGTCCCTGAGAAAGAGAATGCGCACCTAGGGGTAGGTCTCTGAACTGGCCCCCCGGGGCGTACCTGTCTCTTATGGTCGAGATTGCAGAGGTGAAATAAACTCCAGTCTCCCATAGCACTCCCAGGCTTATTAGGAAGAGAAAATTCCCGCCTAATAAACTTTGGTCAGACGGGTTGATCTCAAAACCCTGTCTCCTCATAAGATGTTATCAATGACAATGGTGCCAAAACTTCATTAGCAATTTTAATTTCACTTCCGTCCTGTGATCTGGCCCTGTCTCCACTTGCCTTGTGATATTCTATTACCCTGTGAAGTACTTGATGTCTGTCACCCACACCTATTCATATACTCCCTCCTCTTTTGAAACTCCCTAATAAAAACTTGCTGGTTTTTGTGGCTTGTGGGGCATCACGGATCCTACCAATGTGTGATGTCTCCCCCAGATGCCCAGCTTTACAATTTCTCTCTTTTGTACTCTGTCCTTTTATTTCTCAAGCCAGTCGACGCTTAGGAAAATAGAAAAGAACCTACGTGATTATCGGGGCAGGTCCCCCGATATCTGGCGCCCACGTGGTCTTTCTTTTTTCCTAAGTGCATGAGGGAACCGGATTCCCTTTGGTAGGTGCGGTGAAACGTCAATCGGCTTGGTCCACAGATAAGCGTGTTCAACTCCCCGATGAGTGGTGAGTAATCTGTGTAAGGTCTGGGTTAACTGTGGGTCATGTGTAATCTAACAAACTCCTGTTAAAACCGGTAACCATGAAAAATATGATCACTCTATTCAGGGCAGTAGAAAAATACTGTTCTTGGTTTCCTGAAAAAGGAACGGTGTATATAAAATTGTGTGATTGTGTCCGTAAGGCATTCCGAAAACTGATCTCGGCCGGGTATTATGTGCCCATCACTGTTTGGGGTGCTTGGTGCGTGACATCTTCGTGGCTTGCCAATCTCGTGACCCCCTGCAGTTGCCGCAGTTTTCTGCCTTTTCCTCAGTTTCTCTGCCTTTTTCTCAACCTTCCTCTCCCACATGGCCTTCGTTCAGACTCTCCCTTCAGCTACTCCTCCCCTCCCTAACGATTCTGAAAATTCGATTTCTAACTCTGGTAACTTTGGCTTAAAGTTACCCCCTACTTTTCTTACTTCTTCCCACGAAAAGCCGGTACTTCAAACTCCTGCGGCTGTGACTCAAAAAGCCCGGTACCATAAATATGCTAATTCTTCTCTCTTCAAACCTCCAGCATCAAATAATGGCTCTGGGACCAAACTACAATTTACCTGTCATTCTCCAGGCCCTCCCCCATCCACTACAGCCCCTCACCCTCCTGTCGTTTCAGTTCCTCAGCCAGTCTGCATCGATAGGCGCCGCTCAATCTTACCTTTTTAAAAACAATTTAAGGATGCTTGTACTCAGTATGGTCCTACTTTTCCTTATGTTCAAATGGTATTGCAAACTTTTTATACTGAGGTCGTTTTGCTTCCTTTAGACTGTGATCTTTTGGCAAAAAGCTGTTCTAAGTCCATCTCAGCCTGGTGGTAGGAGGAGGCCTGTTTACAGGCTCAGCTAAATCGGAGTAATGGCATTCTAATTACTCAGGCTCAGCTCACAGGCTCCGATAGTTTCTCTGATGCTTATGCCCAATTAAACTTTGATACTCTTACCACAGAACAAGTAACAAAAGTGTGTATGAGAGCTTGGGATAAACTACACTCCCCAGCCCAAGCTCCTGTTTCTTTTACTACTGTTCAACAAGCTCAATTGCTTTTACTACCTAATATCCTTTTAAACAAAGGAGATAAGACAAGTGGCCCTGGGATTCAGCAGGGGCCGCTTTCTAAAGAAAAACTGGAGGCTTTAAATCAATTGGTTTCTGAGCAGTTACAACTTGGAAATGTGGAACCTTCTCTTTCCCCTTGGAATTCTCCTGTTTCTAGTAAAAAAGAAATCAGGCAAATGGCGGATAGTAACCGACTTAAGGGCCATTAATGCTGTAATTAAACCTATGGGGGCCGTCCAACCCGGCATGCCTGCCCCTGCTTTAATACCTAAAGATTGGCCTCTCATAGTTATTGATCTTAAAGAGTTTTTTTTTTTTCATATCGCTTTACATAAATCGGATTGTGAAAAATTTGCTTTTACTGTACCATCTATCAATAATCAGGAGCCTGTAGCTCGTTATCAATGGAAAGTACTTCCTCAGGGAATGCTAAATAGCCCTACAATCTGCCAGCTTTATGTTGGACAAGTGCTTTCACCAGTTTGAGCCCGATTTCCCGAGGCCTATATTCTTCATTATATTGATGATATATTAATTTCTGCCCCCACTGATAAAAAATTAAATGACTGTTACCAAATTTTGAACCGCTGTGTTACAGAGGCTGGATTACGCATTGCTCAGGATAAAATTCAACAGACCACTCCTGTTCAATATTTAGGAATGGTGGTCGATAAACAATGTATTCAACCTCAAAAAGTTCAAATTAGGAGAGATTCTTTAAAAACTTTAAATGACTTCCAAAAACTTTTGGGTAACATTAATTATTTAAGACCTACTTTAGGCATTCCGACCTATACCCTGTCTAACTTGTTCTCTATGCTGCGGGGAGATTCTGATCTCCGCAGCCCTAGGACTTTGACCCCTGAGGCTTTACTGGATCTGGAATTTGTAGAGGAAAAAATCCAGACTGCCCAGTTATCTAGAGTACAGACATTTCAGCCTTTTCAGCTTCTGGTTTTTGCTTCATTACACTCTCCTACTGGACTAATAGTTCAACATAATGATTTAGTGGAATGGTGTTTTCTTCCTCATTCTGTGTCAAAAACTTTATCTAGACCAAATAGCCATACTAATTGGACAGGTTCGGTGCAGAATACTTCAATTTTCTGGATTTGATCCAAGTGTAATTGTAGTTCCTTTAAATCAGCTCGAAGTTCAAGCTGCCTTTCAACATTCTGTACTGTGGCAAATTCACTTGGCTGATTTTATTGGTGTTATTGACGATCATTATCCAAAAAAACAAATTGTTTGATTTTATAAAAATAACGTCTTGGGTGGTTCCTCGATTAACCAAAAATCAACCCATTCCTGAGGCCGTTACAGTATTCACTGATGGCTCTGGTAATGGCAATGCTGGCTATACAGGTCCTGCAGACAAACTTCTTTCTACCTCTTATACTTCTCTTCAAAATGCGGAGTTAATTGCTGTGATTACTGCCTTACAGGATTTCCCCAAACCTTTAAATATTGTCTCTTATTCTACTTAACGTGGGGAAGAGGATATGCTTGTGTTTCACCAGGAGATCATCAATCCCCTGTCTGGGTGCCCACCAGAAGACTCAAGCTTCTTGTGAATACTGACAATCAAAACCACAGTGAAGAGACGTCTGTGTCAGAGACTGCCTTCAGATGTGGTGAGATCTGTGCCGACTCCTCAGAAACAGGCACACCAAATCACAATGGGTGTAAATCAATCCTCCCTGATGACAGTGGAGACCCATCTAACTAATCACACTTATCCTGATTACCTTTCTTTTTCTCCTTACAAACCTAAATATCTCACCATTTCTATTAGCCTGAAAATAACATCCCACTGTTCTTCTCTTTCTCCTTCAGCACTCCATCTCGCTTACACTAGGTTTTATTTAATGATTCTCCTCCTTATACTTTCTGTCTCACCAGTTTCCTCTCACACTGATTTACCTGCTACACATAATTATTCTTCTTGGGCTTAGGTGTCTTTTCCTCCACTTATTCGCTCTCTCACCCGGATAGATGCTCCCGCAGAAATCTACACTAACGATAGTGTGTGGATGCCTGGAGCCATAGACGACCCTTGCCCCGCACAACCAGGAGAAGAAGGCACTGCATTTAATGTTACCATGGGTTATAAATACCCACCTCTGTGCCTCGGACATGCACCTGGTTGCATCCATCTAGAAACTCAGTTCTGGGCTGCTTATCTTTCAGAAACATCAGCTACAGATAAAATGGGACATTTGGCCTCTGGCCTCTCCCTTTCTCCTTTACAACAAATGAAAGGAGGAGTAATGGGAGGTACCCCATACTTTCAATATAAACCTGCAGGAAAACCATGCCCTAAACATTTTGAGGGACCATCTAAAACTTTAATTTGGGAAGATTGTGTTAACTCACATGCAGTAATATTAAAAAATGACTCATATGGTTTAGTAATAGACTGGGCACCATAGGGCTATTTAAAAAACAATTGCTCCTCTGTGGAAGGGAATGCCTGGAGGCTACTTATTTTATTTCTTATCAGGAGAAAGAGAATCATCATTCAAGGATCAGCTCATTCTTTCCCTTAAAATGGGAAGATAAAGGCATTACCCCCGCCCCCTCCAGGCATCCTATGATACTCCCTATTCTGAGCCCAGAACACCCAGAACTTTGGAAATTGGCTATTGCCATGGCTGGACTGCGAGTATGGGAAGGAAAAACTATTTTGACTGTTGTTCCCACTACCGTCCCACTCTCTCAGTATCAACGTAGACCCAGATATTCTGCTTTACTTACCTCCAACCTGACTGTTCCCATACAGAGTTGTGTTAAGCCTCCTTACATGATATTGGTAGGAAATATCAAAATTTGGATGAATAATCAAATTGTCCAATGCGTCAGTTGTCATCTATACACTTGTATTAACTCCCACTTTGACTCCAGGAAAAGTGTAATGTTGGTTCGAGCTCGAGAAGGAATCTGGATTCCGATAACTTTACCTAGACCTTGGGAATCCTCCCCCTCAATACATTTAATTAATGAAGTGGTACAACGAATTCTAAAAGAACCTAAGATATTTGTTTTCACTTTAATCGCTGTTATCATGGGCCTAATTACAGTCACTGCAATGGCCACCACTGCTGGAATGGCATTACACCAGTCTATTCAAACGGCTCATTTTGTTAATGATTGGCAAGCCAATTCCACCCAAATGTGGAATTCTCAACAAGGCATCGATCAAAAATTGGCAAATCAAATTAATGATTTAAGACAGTCTGTTATTTGGCTTGGAGATCGGGTAGTGAGTCTAGAACATCGCATGCAAATGCAGTGCGATTGGAATACTTTGGATTTCTGCATCACCCCTATTCCTACAACGAGACTGATCATTCATGGGAAATGGTCAAAGGACATCTTCTAGGTAGAAAATATAATTTATCATTGAAAACAACTAAATTAAAAAAAAAAACAAATTTTTGAAGCCTCCCAAGCTCACTTATCCATCGTGCCTGGAGCTCAGGCGTTAGATCAGGTGGCAGAAAATCTTTATGGATTAAACCCCAGAACTTGGATTAAGTCTATTGGGGGCTCCACTGTAGTAAATTCTGGAATTATGTTTCTCTGCTTCATCGGCTTGCTTTTAGTGTGCCGTACCAGTCAAATAATCCTGTGTCAAAATCGAGAGAATGAACAAGCCTTCATCGCCATGGCACATTTATATAAAAAGAAAGGGAGAGATGTTGCGGGAAGTCGGGACCCCAAACAGAGGGACCGGCTGAAGCCATGACAGAAGAACGTGGATTATGAAGATTTTATGGACATTTATTAGTTCCCCAAATTAATACTTTTGTAATTTCTTATGCCTGTCTTTACTGCAATCTCTAAACATAAATTGTGAAGATTTCATGGACACTTATCACTTCCCCAATCAATACCCTTGTGATTTCCTATGCCTGTCATTACTTTAATCTCTTAATCCTGTCAGTCGAGAAGGATGTATATCGTCTCAGGACCTGTAATAATTGCGTTAAGTACATAAATTGTACATCATGTGTGTTTGAGCAATATGAAATGTGGGCACCCTGAAAAAAGAACAGGATAACAGCAATTGTTCAGGGAATTAGAGAGATAACCTTAAACTCTGACCGCTGGTGAGCCAGGCAGAACAGAACCATATTTCTCTTCTTTCAAAAGCAAATGGGAGAAATATCGCTGAATTCCTTTTCTCAGCATGGAACGTCCCTGAGAAAGAGAATGCGCACCTAGGGGTAGGTCTCTGAACTGGCCCCCCGGGGCGTACCTGTCACTTATGGTCGAGATTGCAGAGGTGAAATAAACTCCAGTCTCCCACAGCACTCCCAGGCTTATTAGGAAGAGAAAATTCTCGCCTAATAAACTTTGGTCAGACGGGTTGATCTCAAAACCCTGTCTCCTCATAAGATGTTATCAATGACAATGGTGCCAAAACTTTATTAGCAATTTTAATTTCACTTCCATCCTGTGGTCCTGTGATCTCACCCTGTCTCCACTTGCCTTGTGATATTCTATTACCCTGTTAAGTACTTGATGTCTGTCACCCACTCCTATTCATATACTCTCTCCCCTTTTGAAACTCCCTAATGAAAACTTGCTGGTTTTTGTGGCTTGTGGGGCATCACGGATCCTACCAATGTGTGTTGTCTCCCCCGGATACCCAACTTTAAAATTTCTCTCTTTTGTACTCTGCCCTTTTATTTCTCAAGCCAGTCGACGCTTAGGAAAATAGAAAAGAACCTACCTGATTATCAGGGCAGGTCCCCCGATAGTGTTGGGTGGTGGTAATGCAATGATGAAGATGGCAGGCATGCCTCTGCCCTCCAGGAGTTTCTAGGATACAGAGGGGGACAAACAAAAAATAAGTAAATCTATGAAAGAAATATAGGTGGAACCTGCCCCCAATATTTCAATGTAGGTTCTTTCTGTTTTCCATAAGTGTCAGCCAGCTGAGAAATAAAGAGAGACACTACAAAGAGGAATTTTACAGCTGGGCTGCTGCGGGTGACATTACACATCAGTAGGACCGTGATGCCCCCTGAGTCTCAGATGAGCAAGTTTTTATTAAGGGCTTCAAAAAATGCATTCCTTTCCCAGGGTATTACTATTAATATTCCTTGCTAGGAAAAGAATTTAGCGATCTCTCTCCTACTTGCACATCCGTTTATAGACTCTCTGCAAGAAGAAACATATGGCTCTTTTTGCCCAACCCTGCAGGCAGGCAGACCTTATGGTTGTCTTCCTTTGTTCCCTAAAAATTGCCGTTATTCTCTTCTTTTTCAAGGTGCACTGATTTCATATTGTTGAAACACACATGTTTTACAATCAATTTGTACAGTTAACACAATTATCACAGTGGTCCTGAGGTGATGTACATCCTTAGCTTATGAATATAACAGAATTAAGAGATTAAAGACAGGCATAAGAAATTATAAAAGTATTATTTGGGAACTGATAAATGTCCATGAAATCTTCACCATTTATGTTCCTCTGCCATGGCTCCAGCCAGTCCCTCTCCATTTGGGGTCCCTGACTTCCCACAACAAGAAACAATAAGAGGTTAAGGTGGAGAAGAGCAGGTAAGTCCACTTTATAAAGGGGTCAGGGAAGAGCTGTCTGTGGAAGCACCATTTTAGCTGACACCTGAAGGATGGTCTAATTTGGGGAGGTGCAGGGAAAATCATTCCAGGCTGAAGCAGCAAGTGCAAAGGCCGTGTTGTGGAAAAAGGTTTGAAAGTCCAAGAAAACAAAAGGAGGCCATAGTGGCTGAAATAGAGTAGGCCAAGGGCAGGAGATAGGAGAGGGCTGGAGAGGTGGCAGGAACAGGCAGAAGACTCGGGGTCTCGATTTTATTCTATGTACCATGGGCAGGAAAGGCAGGGATGAGACTCAATGGAAGCCTTAAGATCACTGAAGCTGCCAGGTAGGAAATGGATTGCTGAGCATGGAGAGCAGGTGCAGAGTACCAGTTAAGACCAGTTAGGAGGCTGCTGTAGCCCAGCTGAGATAGTGGTGTCCTAGGCAAAGATAATGACAGTGAAGCTACAGAGAGTGGACAAGTTGGATAAAGTTTAGAATCACAGGACTTGCTGACTGGAGAAGAGGGCAAAAGAAGAGTTAGCACAACACATGAGTTATGACCACCTTGAGCAGCTCAGCAGGGGGTGGTGCCATTTACAGAACAGAGATGGCATGGACAGAGCCCATGGAGAAGGAGGAGGAAAAAGAGAGTTTGGCTTTGGTTTTTTTTTTTTTTAAGACAGGGTCTCTGGCTGTGTCACCCAGGCTGGAGTGCATTGGTGCAATCATAACTCTTTGCAGCCTCAAACTCCTGGGCTCAAGTGATCCTCCTGCCTCAGCGTGCCATGTAGCAGGACTACAGATCCTACAGATGCACATCACCATGCCTAGCTTTTTTTTTTTTTTTTTTTTTTTTTTTTTTTTTTTTGTAGATAGGGAGTCTCACTCTGTTTTCCAGGCTGGCTTCCAACTCCTGGCCTCAAGTAATCCTCCCACCTCTGCCTCCCATAGCACTGGGATTACAGCCATCACCTACCACTCCAAGCCATGAGTTTGGCTTTGGATGTAACAAGGTTGAGGTGTTCATGAGTTGACAAGTGGAAAAAACAAGAAAGAAGTTGAGTGTTAAAACTGCTGTTTGAAGGAGAATTCTAGCCTCAAGACAAAAGTTCAGGACTCATTAGCTGAGAAATGGCACTGAAAATTATGTAAATGGATGAGCTCAGCTAGCAAACAAGTCCAGAGAGAGCAGCACTGGGCTATACATCTGGCCTAATGCCGCCCTGCTCCTCCCAATCCCTGTGTTATGCTGGAGAGGGTTCAGCCTCTGGTGAGTTTCACCAAACCCCCACATCTCTTTCTTCTGAGACCTTCTCTAAAATCCCCTCTTTTATACTTAGTGAAATGGGATTCTCTTTTTCCCATCCAGCTTAAGCACAAACTTTTGACTATGAGAAGAATGAGGATGCATTTAGTATCTGTTCTGCATGGCTAATTCCATCAAAGATTTCTCATTATTCATGCCTGGCAGTCTCATTTTCTTCTTTTGCCTCTAAGAGCACAGTCGTAGCCATAATTACTGACATTTTCACTCTTCTAATACCAGCGATTTCCCCCATCTCAGTTCTCAGGAAGTTCTGTTCACAGAATTATCTCCTGAATCCTCACCTGGAGATAGAAATTGTTCTCTGTGGCCATTTCTTCCCCCTCTAATTCTTATCAAAAAACTCAGTGATCTCTGCGCATCAGATATTAAACTCAAGCTCAACAGATCATGATTCTGGCTTGTCTCTCTCTCCTGCCTGTGGGTTAACAGGTATGCAACCTTTGCAGAGGAGACACCAAATTCTCAGGAGGCCAGAGTTTCCAAAGGTACTGGTCACTCTTGCTCTCTTTCTCCTGCTCAGAATTCAGCACTAGAGAGTGTTACACCATTGCACCTGCAGAGGAGTTCATCTGACTCTAGGGACTACAGAGGAGAGAGATGGACAAACTAACAGGCATTCAGAAAATGACTACCACAATGGGGAAGAAAATGAAAGTCAAACCAAATAAGCAATGGTCAACAAAAAAAAAAATCTAGAGGGCAGCTGCAGTGGCTCACACGTGTAATCTCAGCACTTTGGGAGGCCGAGGCAGGTGGATCACTTGAGATCAGGAGTTCGAGACCAGCCAGGGCAACATAGTGAAACCACATCTCTACTAAAAATACAATAATTAGCCAGGTGTGGTGGCGGGCACCTGTAATCCCAGCATTTTGGGAGGCTGAGGTGGGTGGATCACCTGATGTCAGGAGTTTGAGACCAGCCTGGCCAACATGGTGAAACCCTATTTCTATTAAAAAATACAAAAATTAGCCAGGTGTGGTGGCAGGTGCCTATAATCCCAGCTACTTGGGAGGCTGAGGCAGGAGAATTGCTTGAACCCAGGAGGCAGAGGTTCTGGTGAGCAAAGATTGCACCACTGCACTCCAGCCTGGGCAACAGTGAGACTTTGTCTCAAAAAAAAAAAAAAAAAAAAAAAAACAACCTAGAGATGTCCATCCAGGCTGGACAGAATATTCCAGAGCAGAGATTGGGACACTATGGCCCATGGGCCAAATCTGACCTGCTTGCACATGTGTTTGTCAATAAAGTTTTATTGAAACACAGCCATGCACATTTGCTACATATTGTCTACGGCTGCTGGATTTGGCTGTTCTCATGGTATAAAGAAATACCTGAGACTGGGTAATATATAAAGAAAAGAGGTTTAATTGGCTCGCAGTTTTGTAGGCTATACAGGGAGCATGACACTGACATCTGCTGAGCTTCTGTGGAGGCCTCAGGAAACTTACAATGATGGCAGAAAGTGAAGCGGGAGCAAGAGAGTAAGGAGGGAGGTGCGACACACTCGTAAACAACCCGATCTTGCAAGAACTCACTCGCTATTGCAAGGACAGGACCAAAAGGACGATGCAAAATCATTCATGAGAAATCCACCCCCATGATTCAATCTCTTCCCACCAGGCCCCACCTCTAACACTGGGGACAGCTTTTATCTTGGCGTTTTCACTGGCAGCCCCTTCCTCAAGGACTTAACTTGTGTAAGCTGACTCTTAGCAGATCTAAGAATGCAATTAACTGATAAGATACTGTGGGGCGAGCAATATCCACAGTTCCCAGGAATTTGTCCGATTGATAATGCCTAAAGCCCCACGTCTATCACTTTGTAATAGTCTTAAAGCCCTTAGACCTAGAACTCTTTACTTTCCTGTATCAATTTATCCTTTTAACTTTTTTGCCTACTTTACTTCTGTAAAATTCTTTTAACTAGACCTGTTTCCCCTTTCTAAACTGAAGTATAAAAGAAAATCTAGCCCCTTCTTCGGGGCCAAGAAAACGTTAAGAGTTAGCCATTTCTTAGGCACCAGCTAAATAAGGAGACTCTTAATTCATGTGAAAGTGTGGCATTTTCTCCAACTCATTCAAGTACAACATTTGGAGGCCCCAGCGAGAAACGCCATGAGGAGAGAGCCGGGCTCCCCCGGAAGGACGGCCGGCTTGTGGGGGGTGCCACCTAAAAAAAAACCTTCAGGTCCTCGAAAAGTGACCGTCTTCCAGAGGAGAGCGGATCGACTACCCGGTGGGTGCCCATAAAAATTCCACCTCTGAGTCCTCGACTTCTGACCCTGAGGTCACGTAGGTCAGATTTGACTTCAGTTCTAGGAAGAGGGAAGCGGCCCTGATGAGGGTGTCCCTCTTTCGACTCTGCATGTTTCTCTAGGACGCTAGAAGGTAGAGCCCTGGTTTTCTGTTAGGCACCTCTGTGTCTCTTTCTAGGAGGGAAGTGGCCCTGACAGGGGCCCTCCCTTGACTCAGTCCACATCCCAGGATGCTGGAGGACTGAGTCCTGGTTTCCGGCAGACCGGTCACTCTCTCTCTCTCTCTTTCTATCTCTCATCTTTCTCTTGTTCAAGTTTCTTGAAGAATCTCCAAGAAAGAAAAAAAAAAACTGTTATATACTCTGTGTGAATAATGAATGAGTGAGGGAGGACAAGGGCTCGCGCTTGTCCTCCAGTTTGTAGCTCCACGGCGAAAGCTACGGAGTTCAAGTAGGTCCTCACCTCACCTGCGGTTCTGTGGCGACCCCATAAGGCTTAAGGCAGCATCAGGCATAGCTTGATCTGAGCCGGAAGTTTATACCGGCCTGCCAATGCTAAGAGGAGCCCAAGTCCCCTCAGGGGGAGGGGCCAGGCAGTTATCTGACTGATCCCATCACAGGAAACCCTCCCCTTGTCTGTCTAAAAAAAAAAAAAAAAAAAAAAAAAAGGAAGAAACTGTCGTAACTGTTTACATGCACTAAAGTCAATTGTTTGTTTTATATTGATTGTTCTGCTCAGTGTCTATTGTCTTGTTAGTAGTTGTCAGAGTTTTGCATGTCAAGACGTTGATATTGCAAAGACGTCTAAGTAAAAACTTCTTCAAAGCCCTTAGTGCTGATTTTTTGTCACAGGAGGTTAAATTTCTCATCAATCTTTTAGGCTGGCGACCACAGTCCTGTCTTTTCTGCCAGAAGCAAGTCAAGTGTTGTTACAAGAACAAGTGTGAAAAACATTTGCCTGATTAATATTTCTAGCACCATGAAAGTTGTAAGTATTTAGATCGTCATACTCCACGTCCAGGTGATTAGACCTCCTCTAAACTAAACCAGTAGTGAGTTCAAAACAGCCACCCTGCAAATTTCCTTGCTCACCTCTCTCGTCATTCTGTAACTTTTCCTGTGCCCTTAAGTAGAACACTGTGTAAAGAAATGTACGCCCGTACTGCTTTACTTCATTTAGATTCTTACTCTGTTCCTCTGTGGCTACTGTCCCATCTTAAAAATGATCCGAGTAGTCCTTTTCTGCCTTGTCCCTGCCCCCTATCCCGCACATCTCGTTTTACGGTGCGACAGCAAGTTTACCATCTCCAGGACTTGGCTCTGCTCTCACTCCTTAAACCCTTAAAAGAAAAAGCTAAGTTTAAGCTATTTGCATTTAAGTCATAAAGACACCAAAAATATTTAAAGTGCAGATCTAGAAGAAGAAGAAGAACGCCTAGATCAAACTGACCCAGAAGATCTCAGGCTGGCTCTAGTCCTCCTTCCTCAATCTTAAAGCTACAGCAATGTAGCAAGTAGTATTAGCTGTTGTAAGTTTTTCTGCTCTCTCTGGTCATACTGATTCTGTTCTTTCACTATGCCAGTCCCCCAAGAAATAAGTTTCTCTGTCCATGCTAAGTTTAATATCTATGCTCAAATCTTATTAAATTGCCTTCAAAAAAAATAAAAATAAGAAACACTTCCTCCCAGCCTTGTAAAGTTAAAGCCCTCTCCAATGTATGCTGCAGAATTTTTCTCTCAGTTCAGAGGATTATAAAGTCCGCCTAAAAAAGGCAAGCTCCAGACACTCTGCAAAATAAAATGGCCAAAGTTTAAAGTCAAGTGGCCCCCTGAAGGGTCATTGAACCTCACAATTGTTCAAGCTGTGTGGCAGGTTGTTACTGAAACTCCTAGTCACCCTGATCAGTTTCCCTACATTAGCTACGTTTAGTCAGGATCCACTCTCCATGGCTCCGTTCATGCGCCGTTCATAATTCTACCTCCGAGGTCCTCCTAAGCCAGACCGCGTTTTCGCCTCAACCCTCAGTCGGTTCAGCTTCCCCTGTACTGCCTCTCTCTGAAGAAGAGGAGAGTCCCCCTCACCCAATCCCACCGCCTTACAACCAACCTTCTCCCTTAAAGTTATCCCATGTCTCCTCGACGACGTCCTCTGTAGGCTCGCCACCCATTGCCTCTCAGTCATGACCGTGGCAGGAAGAAGTAGTCCCTCTACTACCACTGAGAGAGGCACAAGTCCCTCCAGGTGACGAGCGCTCAGCACCCTTCTTAGTTTGTGTCCCTTTTTCTACTTCTGACTTATATAATTAGAAAACCCATAATCCTCCCTTCTCTGAAAAGCCCCAGGCTTTGACCTCTCTGACAGAGTCTGTACTCCGGACCCGCCCGCCCACCTAAGATGATTGCCAACAGCTCCTTTTAACCCTTTTCACCTCTGAAAAGAAGGAACGTATCCAAAAAGAAGCCAAAAAGTACTTCCTCACATCAGCCAACGGACCGGAAGAAGAAGCTAGAGACCTCCTTGAGGATGTCTTTCCCTCTACCCAGCCTAACCAGGACCCACATTCCTCAAGTAGAAAGGGAGCTTTAGACGATTTTCACTGGTATCTCCTCGCAAGTATTAAAAGAGCCTCTCAGAAACCCATCAACTTGTCTAAGACGACCGACGTTGTCCAAAAGCCCGATAAGTCACCAAGAACGTTTTAGAGCGCCTCCAGGAGGCTTATCGGATTTACACCCCTTTTGACCCGGCAGCTCCCGAAAATAGCCTTGCTCTTAATTTACAATTTGTGGCTCAGGCAGCCCAGGATATTAAAAAGAAACTCCAAAAACTAAAAAGATTTTCTAGAATAAATATCAGTCAGCTTTTAGAAATAGCCCAAAAAGTTTTTGATAATCAAAAGCTTAAAAAACAAAAGCAACACAGGCAACTGGGAAGGCCGCTGATAAAGCATTCAGAAGACAAACAAAAATCTTAGTGGCAGCTATCCAAGAAGTACAGAATGAAGTAGCCCGTTAATTTAGCATTAACTGAAGCCCCTGCTTTAGCCCTCCCTAATATCTCCATAAAAGCCAAGGAGTTGCTAAAGACGTGCTTACTCAGACTTTAAGACCCTAAAGCCGCCCAGTGGCCTATTTGTCTAAGAGGCTAGATCCTGTGGCCTCTAGATGGCCAAGTTGTCTTCGAGCCTTAGCGGCTACAGCAAGCCTGGCCCAAGAAGTTGATAAGTTAACTCTAAGCCAAAATTTAACCCTTACAGCTCCTCACGCCGTAAAGACCTTACTACAAAATGCTTCTGGCAAATAGATGTCAAATGCTCGCATCTTGCGGTATCAAAGTTTACTGTTAGATCAGCCTCGTTTGACTTTCTCTCCCACAAAGTGTTTCAATCCAGCTACACTACTTCCTGACTCAGACTCCACTATTCCTGCTCATGACTGTCAAGAACTGTTAGAAACTATCGAAACTGGCCTATCTGATCTTCAAGCTGTGCCCCTAGAAAAGGCAGATGCCGCCGTGTTCACAGACGGTAGCAGCTTCCTCAAGCAGGAAATATGAAGAGCCAGTGCAGCTGTTACCACGGAGACACATTTGTTGTAAGCTCAAGCTTTACCAGCGAACACCTCAGCACAAAAGGCTGAATTGATCGCCCTCACTCAGGCTCTCCAATAAAGTAAGAATAAACTTATTAACATTTACACTGACAGCAAGTACGCCTTTGCTGCTGTGCATGTACATAAAGCCATCTACCAGGAAAGCAGGCTACTCACCTCAGCAGGTAGCTGTGATCCACCGCAAAGGACATCAAAAAGAAAACACGGCCGTGGCCCATAGTAACCAGAAAGCTGATTCAGCAGCTCAGGTCGCAGCAAGACTTTCAGTCACGCCTCTAAACTTGCTGCCCACAGTCTCCTTTCCACAGCCAGATCTGCCTGACAATCCCGTATACTCAACAACAACAACAACTGGCTTCGGATCTCAGAGCCAATAAAAATCAGGAAAGTTAGTAGATTCTTCCTGACTCTAGAATCTTCATACCCTGAACTCTTAAACAAACTTTAACCAGTTACGTACAGTCTATCACCCATTTAAGAAGAGCAAAGCTACCTCAGCTCCTCCAGAGCCATTTTAAGATCCCCAGTCTTCAAAGCCTAAAGATTAAGCAGCTCTCCAGTGCACAACCTGAGCCCAAGTAAATGCCAAACAAAGTCCTAAACCCAGCCCAGGCCACTGTCTCTGGAAAAAGTCGCCAAGAAAAAAGTAAGAAATTGACTTTACAGAAGTCAAACCACACCAGGCTAAGTACAAATACCTTCTAGTACTAGTAGACACCTTCTCCAGATAGACTAAGGCATTTGCTACCGAAAACGAAACCACCAACATAGTAGTTAAGTTTTTACTCAATGAAATCATCCCTCAATATAGGCTGCCTGCTGCCATAAAGTCTGATAATAGAGCAGCCTTCACCTCGCCTATAGCTCAGTCAGTCAGTAAGGCGTTAAACATTCAACAGAAGCTCCATTGTGCCTATCAACCCCAGAGCTCCAGGCAAGTAGAACGCATGAACCACACCCTAAAAAACACTCTTATAAAATTAATCTTAAAAAAACAGTGTAAATTAAGTAAGTCTCCTTCCTTTAGCCCTACTTAAATTAAGGTGCACCTCTTACCAGGCTAATTTCTCACCTTTTGAAATTATGTATAATAGGGCACCGCCTATCTTGCCTAAGCTAAGAGATGCCAAATTAGCAGAAATATCACAAACTAATTTATTACAGTACCTATAGTCTCTCCAACACGTACAAGATATTATCCTGCCACTTGTTCCAGGAGCCCATCCCAATCCAATTCCTGACCAAAGTCCTGCCATTCGTTCCAGCCAGGAGACCTAGTGTTGTTAAAAAGTTCCAAAAAGAAAGACTCACTCCTGCTTAGAAAAGACCTCACAACGTCATCTTCACGACTCCAATGGCTCTGAAAGTAGATGGCATTCCTGCTTACATTCATCACTCCCGCATCAAAAAGGCCAACAGAGTCCAACTAAAAACATAAGTCCCCAAGCCTAAGTCAGGACCCTTAAAACTGCACCTAAGTCAGGTGAAGCCATTAGATTCATTCTTTTTATCTACCTCACTCACTTGTTTTTGCCCATTACATCCTCTGTGCCTTCCTACTCCTTTCTCCTCACCTCTTTCACAACAGGACTTGTACTTGCAAACACCACTTAGAAGGCCAGTACCTCCAAGGAAGTGTCCTTTGCAGTTGACTTATTTGTACTCTTCCCAAAGCCAGCCCATACCCACGAAAAGCAACACAATCTGCCAGTTCCAGGAGCAGGAAGTGTCGACTTTGCAGCAAGACTCAGACACTCCAAGAGCCAAACTAAGTGTAGAAGCTCCAAAAGTGCAGAAAAAAGACTCCAAAATATTTACTTTTACCTCTGTCCTAGAAATCACCCTGATGCTAGCTGTCAAGATACTTATCAGTTTTCCTGTCTTGATTAGACATGTGTAACTTTAGCCACCTGCTCTAAAAGATCAACCAGATCTTCAACTCTTTCCATAAGTCCTGCTTCTCATCCTAAATTATATACTAGAAGAAATTGTAATCCTCTTACTATAACTGTCCATGACCTTAATTCAACACAACAGTATCATGGCATGTCATGAAGATTAAGATTTTATATCCCAGGATTTAATGTTAAGTCTATGTTCACCATCCAAAAAAAAACTAGTCTCATAAAGCCCACCCAAGCCAATCAGGCCTTTAACTGATCTAAGTAACCCTATGTTCCAGAAACACCCTGAGAAAGTTGATTCAACTGTTCCTCCACCATTCTTAGGCATAAAAGATACACTCCAGAAAGTGCAAGAAAATCTAGATAAGCACCAACAAGAACAAGAAAATAACATCCCCTAGTATCAAAGCATGTTCAACTAGAACCCAGAGCTAACTATTCTAATTACTAAGTTAGCCAGACCCCCTCCCCATCCTACTATTAAGTTTAATTTTTGGACCTTGTATATTAAATTAGTTTATTAATTTTGTAAAACAACGTATACCTTCTGTCAAACTTATGTATCTTAAGACTCAAAATAACCCCCTCGTTATAACTGAAGAATCAACGATTTGATTCCCCAAAAATACAAGTGAGGAATGTAATGCCCAACCTTGTTTTTACTAACCCTGTTCTTAGACTCTCCCTTTCTTTTAATCACCTAGCCTTGTTTCCACCTGAATTGACTCTCCCTTAGCTAAGAGAGGCAGACAGACTCCATCTTGGCTCTTTCACTGACAGCCCCTTCCTCAAGGACTTAACTTGTGCAAGCTGACGCCGAGCACATCGAAGAATGCAATTAACTGATAAGATACTGTGGTGAGCAATATCCGCAGTTCCCAGGAATTCGTCCAATTGATAACGCCCAAAGCCCCGCGTCTATCACCTCATAATAGTCTTAAAGCCCCTAGACCTAGAGCTGTTTACTTTCCTGCAACAATTTATCCTTTTAACTTTTTTGCCTACTTCTGTAAAATTGTTTTAACTAGACCCCCCTCCCCTTTCTAAACGAAAGTATAAAAGAAAATCTAGCCCCTTCTTCGAGGCCGAGAGAACTTTAAACGTTAGCCATTTCTTAGCCGCCGGCTAAATGAACAGACTCTTAATTCGTCTTAAAGTGTGGCATTTTCTCTAGCTCGTTCAAGTACAACACATCCAGCAGGCACGTAATCCACTCTAAAATGCCATCCTGGGGTAGTGAAGATGATGATGCTGGAAATATCCTTAAATGGCATATGGATGAGTACCCCCAGAGGCATACATGTTGAGCTAAGTACTTTGCTGATGAAGGGTACAAGTTGAAGGGGTTTTGAAAGGCAGAGTGAGGTTCTTCAGAAGGCTGTTGCTACAGAAAGACAGGAGGAGAAATTACATGGCCAGATAGAGTGGCATGACCATTGGATAAGGGCTTTTTGTTTGTTGGTTTTTGAGATGGAGTTTTACTCTTGTTGCCCAGGCTGGAGTGCAATAGCACGATCTCAGCTCACCGCAACATACGCCTCCCAGGTTCAAGCGATTCTCCTGCCTCAGCCTCCCTAGTAGCTGGAATTACAGGCATGTACCACCACTCCCGGCTAATTGTGTATTTTTTGTAGAGATGGGGTTTCTCCATGTTGGTCAGGCTGGTCTTGAACTCCCGACCTCAGGTGATCCACCCGCCTTGGCCTCCCAAATTGCTGGGATTACAGGCGTGAGTCACCGTGCCCAGTCTGGATGAGGGTCTTTAGCAAAGATGGAAGTTTTGGTACCTTGCAGTTTAGTCTCTTCATTTATGTCCTCCTGAAATCTTCAGGAATTGCACTATTTTGTCAATACTTCTGGGGTCATACTTAGGGGGACTTAAAGGAGATGTGATGTGGCAGCCTTTGACTTAAGGGAGTATCATACTAGCTCAAAGAGATCTGGGTACATGCCAGTTGAACCAACTCTTCTGAGGATGTGATAGATCCTGGGAGGCCACTCTGATCCTGCCAACGTTGAGGCCAGATGAGTCTTTGAAAAACATGGTTTGGCTTAACACCAGCACTTACTCTAACACCCACCATGAATCTTGCTGAACTGAAGCTATACAAATACCTTTTCAAAAGATTTTTTTTCATTCCAGATCCTTCTTAGAAATTCCTAAGGCTCAATGCTTTGTGGAAGATTCTGAGAAAGAAAATAGTTTCCGATCTTTGGGATTCCCGAGATGGTCCAATCTGCAAAAAGTTCATTGCCATTTCCATCAAGGACACTGAGAACAAGAGTCTTATCTGGATTGGATCCTGGGAATTGAGAAGCTTCAGCAGGTGGGAAATGCACCCTCCACAGGCTCACACCCTTGTGGGCTGTTTCAGTTACCTATTGCACCTAAAATTAGAAACTTTAAACCACCAGAAGCCATTATTGCTCATGACCCTGTGAGTTGCATGGGGACTTCCTGGCTGGTTTAACCTGGGCTCATTTGTGTGGCTACCTGCAGCTGGAGGGCCAGCTGGGCGGAGCATCCAGGACGGCCTCATGCATGTGCCTGGCAGTTGGTGCTGGTTGTCAGCCGGGGAACCTTGTTTTCCTCCATGTGGCCCCTAGCCCTCCAGAACCCCTCTCCAAATGTCCCTTTAAGCAGGATAGCCAAGGTTTGCTTGGTGCCAGCATCCAAGAGGGCAAAAATATGGAAACTACGAGAGGGCTCTCAAGGCCTAAGACTATTTGCACCCCAAAAATATGAGGTCTCAGTTAATTCAGAAAGTTTATTTTGCCAAGGTTAAGGACTCACGCCTGTGACACAGCCTCGGGAGGTCCTGACAACATGGGCCTAAGGTGGTGGGGACACAGCTTGGTTTGATACATTTTAGAGAGACATGAGACATCAATCAATATGTGTAAGATGTACATTGTTTCAGTCTGGAAAGGCGGGACAACTCCAGGTGAAAGTGAAGGTGAGACAAGGGGAAGGGGCTTCCAGGTCATTGGTAGTTAAGAGACAAATGGTTGCATTGTTTTGAGTTCCTGATTAGCCTCTCCAAATGAGGCAATCAGATATACATTCATCTCAGTAAGCAAAGGGTTAACTGAATAGAATGGGAGGCAGGTTTCCTTTAAGCAGTTCCCAGCTTGACTTTTCTCTTTAGCTTAGTAACTTTTTTTGGGGTGTGCGGACAGAGTCTCGCTCTGTTGTGCAGGCTGGAGTGCAGTGGTACGATCTCGGCTTATTGCAACCTCCAACTCCAGGGTTCAAGAAGTTTCCCTGCCTCAGCATCCCAAGTAGCTGGGATTACAGGCGCCTGCCACCACGCCTGGCTAATTTTCATATATTTTAGTAGAGATGGGGTTTTGTCATGTTGGCCAGGCTGGTCTTGAACTCCTGACCTCAGGTGATCTGCCCGCCTCAGCTTCCCAAAGTGCTGGGATTACAGGCGTGAGCCACGGAGCCCAGCCTAGCTTAGTGATCTTGGGGCCCCAAGGTTTATTTTCCTTTTACGGCTAGAAGTTGGTCACCATCAATTTGACAGCATTCCACTGACCAAAGCAAGTCATAGGCAGCCCAGATTCATGTAGAGGAGTATAAATTTTCCCTCTTTAAGGAAAGATTGGTTCAATTATACTGCACGAACATTTGCAGAAAGTTGTACCCATCTTTGGAAACCACCACACACACACACACACACACACACACACACACACACACACCCCTTTACATGCAACCCTCCCTTGAGGTGCATCTACTTCCAGGCAGAACCAAAACTTGACAGTACTCGACAGAAGAAAAGTAGCGTCCTAAATGCCAGTTCTCTTCTTACTCAACTTCAGCCTCATTATAAGCAGATTCTAACAGTTTATGTGTCTTGAGAAACATTTTAATTAATCTTTGGAATTTAAGAATTTCAATTCATAGCAGTAGCCTATGCATAGGAAATATGCATATTGTAAGTTTTTCCTTTCTGATAAATCACGCTGGGGGAACGACAATGTAACTTTTTTTTTTTTTTTTTTGAGGAGTCTCACTCTGTTGCCCAGGCTGGAGGGCAGTGGCATGATCTCAGCTCATGCAACCTCCCCTTCCCTGGTTCAAGCAATTCTCCTGCCTCAGCCTCCTGAGTAGCTGGGATTACAGGTGCACAAGACGGGGTTTCACCATGTTGGTCAGGTTGGTCTCGAACTCCTGACCTCTGATCTGCCCACCTCAGCCTCTCAAAGTGCTGGGATTATAGGCGTGAGCCACCGGCTCACGTATACTGTGACAGTATATTGAAAGTTTCTCTTTTTTTCAAATAATTAACAGGTTTAACAGAATGTATCTCCTGATCTATTCCTTTCACTGCAGACATCTATTGCCTTTTCAGCCTAGCAGCCCTCCCCTCTATAGAGAGTCACACTTCCTACTCCAGTCATGTGGATCTCATGGGGGCTGCCATGTTCTCAAATGACTCCACCTCCCTGGCCTCAGTTGATTGGTCCAGGGATGAGCATCTGGCCTAAATTGGCCAATCAGAATTCTTCCCTTGAATATTTTTCCAAACTGGAACTAGACCAAGTTAATCATTCTCTGTGATGACAGGAATTGTGTGTAGTGAGAAATACAGGAGCTTTTGTGGACACGTTTCTCACCTTATGGAGAAAAGGCTTGAGTAAGAAGAAATTAAGCCAGTATGCAGACAAAGCTAGAGACAGAGATAGAGAGAGAGATCTTGTGGTAAGCCCCTTGGTTTTTGTCATTTTAGTACATGCTCGATACTGCATACAACCAAGACTTTCACCTGAGGGCTTTCTGAAAGTCAGGCATGGAGTATGGCAGAAAAGCCACAGAAGCTGGGCGCAGTGGCTCACTCCTGTAATCCCAACACTGGGAGGCCGAGGCAGGTGGATCACGAGGTCAGGAGTTAGAGACCAGCCTGACCAACGTGGCAAAACCCCGTCTCTACAAAAAATAAAAAAATTAGCCGGGCATGGTGGCAGGCGCCTGTAATCCCAGCTACTGAGGAAGCCGAGGCAAGAGAATCGTTTGAACCTGGGAGGCAGATGTTGCAGTGAGCCGAGATCATGCCTTTGCAGTCCAGCCTGGGTGACAGAGCAAGACTATGTCTCAAAAAAAAAAAAAAAAGAAGAAGAAGAAAGCAAAGCCAGAGAGTTGATGCCCTGGGACCAGTCCTCAGCCAGTGACGGATGGGAGCCAGGCTATAAATGCTTCAATATCTTTGCCCCCTGGATGGAACAACTTTGAAATGTATTCCACATCACCTCTCAGAGGTCCCCAGTGGGGTCAAATCCTAGTTGCCTAGAGTGGTAAGCTGCTCATTGAAGCCCCCTGTGTGGCCTCCTACCTTTCCATGAATCAATTCCTCACTCCCCTATTGGTGTCCCCTGGAATCATCTCCTAAATAATCCACTTGCAATCCTGTCCCTCTTTCAGGATCTGCTTGGGGTTGGGGTTGGGGAGTGCAGAGAAAAACATGATCCCTTTTCCACTCCACACTAGTAAGATGAGTTTCTGTCACTGACAACCAAGAGTTCTCACTATTACCTCCTTCTGAGATAATTCCTAAAATGTATTTGGGAATTTCCCCACCTCCACCCCACTGCATATGTCATCAATATGTAGATTTCTTAACAAAGTTTAATGGTATTCTTTGATCAACCTCAAGTTTCACAAAACACACTGCACTTTCATAAGGGCTCCCCAGGACTGACAGATCAGCCGTTCAAAAGAAGGGAAGTGTCAGAGATGGCTCTCCTGGACTCGCGTATTTTTCAGTAGAATCTGGGTCAGGATGTTGTGGTCGGGAGATGCTTCTGGATCTCTGGGACCCACAAGCCTGCGTGTCATGGTGGAGTATTAGGACAACTTGAAAACATAGTGGCAGGAGGAGGCTTCCTCTCTCCCCTGCAGTTCATCCTCCAGCACACCCAATGTGCTCAACAGATATTGGTTAAATGAATAATGGGGCCGGGCATGGTGGCTCACGCCTGTAATCCCAGCACTTTGGGAGGCTGAGGCAGGTGGATCACCTGAGGTCAGGAGTTCAAGACCAGCCTGGCCATAGAGGCAGGAGAAGCACTTGAACCTGGAAGGCGGAGTTTACAGCACGCTGAGATGGCACCACTGCACTCCAGCCTGGGTGACAGAGCAAGACTCAAAAAAAAAAAAAAAATGGATTTATTCCTTCCAAACTGAAACTCACCAAAAGAAGACCAACACGCATGACAATGTTGTGGCCATAATCACCACAGTGACAATAATAAATATAATCAACTCTCGAGCCAGCCACCTCCACTAAACCTAGTGGATCACATCTAGTGTTTCACTTTGGGGATATTTTAGTGGTCATCGTAGATTGTCGCCTGACTGCTGGCTGTTTCTACCATGTTTCAGGAATATAGAGATGTGTACAGATGGCCCCTAAAATTAATTAGTATGCAATTCTCAAAGAGCCAAACTGTACCCCAAAAGCTACTGGAATGAAAAAAAAAAAGTTTTAATTCTCAAAGAGACAAACTAGATAGTAGAAGCATTTATGTTCCCTTGGAGAATCTTCCCACCAAGGACTCAAAGTTGTCTCCAGACCAGGGAATGCCTGGGGCCTTGGACTTTCCCAATTCTGGTATCACCTCCCATTCTCCTTTAGGTCCAGCTTTCTCAGAGGGGCATGCATTGTTCATTGCCACCAAGGGTATCCAAGGACAGAAACTGAAGATAATAGTGCCTTATTGTCTCTCAGTCATCTTTCTCTCCCACATGCTGGAAAGAGAGCCAAGTCCAATTTATCCAATTACAAAATAGCAACATTGGCATCATGAGATCAGCTAACAAAACTTTCAGAGGCAATCTATCTTCCTACCAAAAGTAACCAACATCTGTGGAGCACTGACCATGACTAAGGGTCAACATAAGTGGTTTGCATGCTACATGCATCAGGATGGACTAGGTTATGCTGCAGTAACAAATTAACCCCAGAGTCTCAGCAGCTTAGCAACCAAGGTTGATTTCTTACATTCCATGTCCACAATGGGTTGGCTGGGTATGGTGTGCTCCATATGGCCACTCAAAGACCTAGAATGATGGAAATTCTACCATCTTAATGTAAGGATTCTCCCCTAGTTACTGCACCAGGAGATGAGAGAATGAGATAGTTATTTCCAAGCCCTCAAAAGCTGTAGACTAGAGGTGATGTCAGTGACTTCCACTTATAGAGCATTGGACCCTGGCATGGATCCATCTAACTACGGGGGTCTGGGGAATACAGGGAGCAGATGGAAATCCCATGAGCAGTAACCATTCCTGCCAGCATGCATTATTTCATCTGAACCTCACAACCCTATGGAATATATAACAGAGGCTTGGAGAGTTATGGGACCTGCCCCAAGGCATCATAGATAATGAGTTGCAGAGCTGAGATATGACCTTCGGCCTCCTCACCCACCTCCTCACCCACCCCCACCCCCACCGAAAGAATCAAACTACGCAAATAACTGGAATGAAATTCTCAGGCAATTTCAGCAGGGGAAATGGGGTTATCTCATCTGGGTCTCACATCCGACCTCGTCAAGACAAGACCTTCCCTACACTTCACCTGAACACCTGGACACACTGTCATGTCTTGCCAGTTCTTGTTACTGGAGATCCAATGATGATGTCTTTATACAATTTATAGGTCTTTCTATAAGTGTCAAGATAAATGTCATCTCTGTACCTGCCTATCTTTCAGAGGTAGGCAAGCTTCTATGTAAAGTGCTAGATAGTAAATATTATAAACTTTTCAGGACTCATCTGATCTCCATCCTATATATTTTTTTGTTTTTATTTTTGTTTTACAAATTTTTTTTTTCTTTTTAGATAGGGTCTAAAAAGAAAATAAAACTTATCCATGTTGTGATATGGATGAACGTTAGGGTTAGTGAAAGAAGCAGACATGAAAGGTCATATATTGTAGAATTCCATTTATATGCAATGTTCAGACTAAGCCAATCGACAGAGATAGAAAGTAGATGAGAGGTTTCCAACGGCTGCAGGAGGGAGTATGCAGAGTGACTGCTGAATGGATATGAGGCTTCCAACTGAGGTGTTGAAAAAGCCCTGAAACTAGGTAGTGGTGATAATTGCACAACATGATAGATGTACAAAATGTCCCTGAATTGTACACTTTCAGATGCACAAAATGATAAATGTTGCATATATTATACCACAATTTTATTCATTTATTTTAGAGATACAGTCTCACTCCGTCACCCAGGCTGCAGTGCAATGTCACAGTCATAGCTCACTGCTGCCTTTACCGCCTGGACTCAAGCAATCCTCCCACCTAGTCTTCCAAGTAGCTGGGACTACAGGTGAACGCTACCACACCCAGCTTTTTAAATTTTTTTATAGAGTTGCATTCTCAGTATATTGCCCAGATTGGCCCAAACTCCTGGCTTCAAGTGATTCTCTCATCTCAGCCTCCCAAAGTGCTGGGATAACAGGTGTAAGACATCAGGCCAGGCAATTTTCAATTCTTATGCAAAATTTTCAACTAATTCCTAGGATTGAAAAAAATGTCGATCAACATGGGGATTAGAGGAAAAAATAATTTTAAACAAGAGAAAAAATTAAATGAGATGATGTACATGTATACAGTGCCTGGCCTCATGATCAATGACTCCACTGCAGCTTTTTATTTCTTTTTCCATACAGGGTCTCACTCTGTCACCCAGGCTGAGTACAGTGGCATAATCATGGCTTACTACAGCCTCAACCTCCTGGGCACAAGTGATCCTCCCACCTCAGCCTCTCAAGTAGCTGGGACTACAGATGCACACAATCACACCTAGCTATTTGTGTTGTTGTTGTTATATTTTTTGGTAGTGGCAGGGTCTCACCATGTTGCCCAGGCTGGCATCTCGAACTCCTGGGCTCAAGCGATCCTCCCACCTCAGCTTCCCAAAGTGCTGGGATTACAGGTGTGAGCCACCATGCCCATCCTGTTGTAGCTATTTTAATAGTGCTGGTGAACAATAATTTGCTCTCCCTATAAAAACAGAACATACTAAGCCAAGGAAAGCACCAATCTAGTTTGTTCTCCCCAGATCTTCAAAGTGTTGGAATTAGTATAAGAGTCCAAAATATTTCATGTGGTTTGATTTTTTTTTTTTTTTTGGAGATGCAGTCTCGTTCCATCGTCCAGGTTGGAAGGCAGTGGAGCAATCTCAGCTCACTGCAACCTCCGCCTCCCGGGTTCAAGCAATTCTCCTGCCTCAGCCTCCCGAGTAGCTGGGATTACAGACATGTACCGCCACGCCTGGCTAATTTTTGCATTTTTAGTAGAGATGGGGTTTCTCCATGTTGGCCAGGCTGGTCTTGAACTCCTGACCTCAAATGATCTACCCGCCTTGGCCTCCCAAAGTGCTGGGATTACAGGTGTAAGCCACCATGCCCGGCCAGCTTGATTTTTTACTGTGGTAAAATACATACAAAATCTATTATTTTAGCCATTTTCAAAGGAAAAATTCAGTGGTATTAAGTGCATCCCCCACATTGTACAGCCATGTCCCCCATCCATCTCCAGAACGCTTTCATACTGTCCTGCAAATATGCAGCACCTTGCTACACTCCAGGTTGTTTGTCCCACAACAGAGCTGGGCTGAATTACTAATGCGGACTTTGTTTAACAACGGACTAAAGAGGGAGAAGCCCATGAACACTGTGAGGAGTGCATGACAGGTGCTTGTGGGATGACATGACTCGGCGCCCTCCAGCTGCTGCTGCCACCGCCTGTCCTGCTGGGCGGCCACCCCCTCGCAGGGAAGAAGAACACTCACAACTGCTGCTGATCTCCTTCCAGGGCTTCCGCTGGGACTAGGATCAGGATGTGAACACCCCCAACCTGGACCATCTGGCCAGGGAGGGCGTCAAGGCCAAGTACCTCATGCCGCCCCTTGTGACAATGACCTCCCCGTCCCACTTCACTGCCATCACAGGTAAGCGCCACTCTGCCCATTTCACCCGATGCCCATCAAATCCCCAGCGTCCGTCATTCCCTGTGATAAGAAGCAAAAGCTCGGTCAGCTCTAGGGAGGTTGAGGTTGCTCCGGGGTCTCACTCTGTTGCCCAGGCTGTAGCTCAGTGGCATAATCACAGCTCAGTGGAGCCTCAAGCTCCTGGTCTCAAGCAGTCCTCCCTAGCTCAGTCTCCTCAGTAGCTGGGGATACAGACAAGCCACCATGCCTGATTTTCTCATTTTCTTAGAAACTGGGGCAGGGGGTGTCTCACTATGTTGCCTGGGCTGGTTTTGAACTCCTGGCCTCAAGTGATCATCCCACCTCAGCCTCCCAAAGTGCTGAGATTGGAGACATGAGCTACCGTGACTGGCCTGTTCTTTTTTTTTAAAGTAAATAAGGCCGAGCATGGTGACTCACCCCTGTAATCCCAGCACTTTTGGTGGCTGAGGTGGGTGGATCACCTGAGGTCAGGAGTTCAAGACCAGCTTGCCCAACATGGTGAAACGTCACCTATCCTAAAAATACAAAAATAAGCTGGGCGTGGTGGCAGATGCCTATAACCACAGCTACTCTGGAGTCTGATACAGGAGAATCACTTGAACCCAGGAGGTGGTAGTTGAAGTGAGCCGAGATCATGCCATTGCATTCCAGTTTGGGCAAAAGAGCAAGATTTTCTCTCAAAAAAAAAACAAAAGTAATAAAAATAAAAAGGTAAATAACTAAAATCACTTTTAAATAATTGTATAAAAATAATAAAACACTGACATTTACAGAGCTCAGTTAGATGAGGTGACTCATACCTTCCAATGGTGTCTTGGTTCTCTTACATAAGAATTCAAATGTCTTTCTGTGGCCCAAAAGATCCCACACAGCCTGGCCCCTGGCCTATCTTCTGCCAGCCTCTCTCATCTCTCTCCCTCTCCTTCACTTCCTTCCGGATCACAAAGGCCTTTGCCTGTGCCTTCTGCCCTGCTCCCTCAAGCCCCAGGGCCTTGGCCTGTGCTAGTCCAGTCCCTCCAGCTCACCAGGAGCATACAGTCCAGTCGGGGAGACAGACACCAGACACCCAAACAGGCACATACATCCTGTAACAACTCAGGAGGCATCAAGGAGGAAAACGAGTTTTCCAGGCACAGACTACAGGCGTAAACTGGTTTCAAACTAGAGAGGGAGAAAGGGGGTCTCTGAGCATGGGGCAGTTGAGCTGAAAGAGATCTCAGGGGACCAGAGGAAGGAAAAGTGTTCCAGGCGAGGGAAGAGCATGTGTGAGGTCTCTGAGACAAAGACCTGGTCATTTCAGAATCCCAATGGCCACTAAAATAGAGGGATTCCAACCTAAAAAGGAGGAAGAGGAGGCTGCTGGAAAGCAAAGGACTCTGTGTAAGAATCATAATAGCAGGAGTGGAGCCAAGATGGCCGAATAGGAACAGCTCCAGTCTACAATTCCTGGCGTGAGCGACCCAGAAGACAGGTGATTTCTGCATTTCCAACTGAGGTACTTGGTTCATCTCACTGGAGAGTGTCAGAAAGTGGGTGCAGGACACTTGGTGCAGTGCACCGAGCATGAGCCAAGCAGGACAAGGCATTGCCTCACCTGGGAAGTGCAAGGGGTCAGAGAATTCCCTTCCCTAGTCAAAGAAACGGGTGACAGATGGCACCTGGAAAATCGGGTCACTCACACCCTAATACTGCACTTTTCCAATGGTCTTAGCAAACGGCACACCAGGAGATTATATCCCATGCCTGGCTCAGAGGGTCCTAAACCCATGGAGCCTCACTCATTGCTAGCACAGCAGTATGAGATCAAACTGCAAGGTGGCAGCAAGGCTGGGGGAGGGGCGCCCGCCATTGCCTAGGCTTCAGTAGGTAAACAAAGCAGCTGGGAAGCTCCAACTGGGTGGAGCCCACCTCAGCTCAAGGAGGCCTGCCTACCTCTGTAGACTCCACCTCTGGGGGCAGGGCATTGGCAAACAAAAGGCAGCAGAATCCTCTGCAGACTTAAATATCCCTGTCTGACAGCTTTGAAGAGAGAAGTGGTTCTCCCAGCACACAGCTGGAGATCTGAGAATGGACAGATTGCCTCCTCAAGTGGGTCCCTGACCCCCGAGTTGCCTAACTGGAGGCACACCCCCGTAGGGGCAGACTGACACCTCACATGGCCGGGTACTCCTCTGAGACAAAACTTCCAGAGGAACAATCAGGCAGCAACATTTGCTGCTCAACAATATCTGCTGTTCTGCAGCCTCAACTGCTGACACCCAGGCAAACTCCAACAGACCTGCAGCTGAGGGTCCTGACTCTTAGAAGGAAAACTAACAAACAGAAAAGACATCCACACTTAAAACCCCATCTGTACGTCACCATCATCAAAGACCAAACGTAGATAAAGCCACAAAGATGGGGAAAAAACAGACACACACAGGCTCAAATAAAGGGATGGAGGAAGATCTACCAAGCAAATGGAAAACAAAAAAAAGGCAGGTGTTGCAATCCTAGTCTCTGATAAAACAGACTTTAAACCAACAAAGATCAAAAGAGACAAAGAAGGCCATTACATAATGGTAAAGGGATCAATTCAACAAGAAGAGCTAACTATCCTAAATATATATGCACCCAATACATGAGCACCCAGATTCAAAAAGCAAGTCCTTAGAGACCTACAAAGAGACTTAGACTCCCACACAATAATAATGGGAGGCTTTAACACCCCACTGTCAACATTAGACAGATCAACAAGACAGAAAGTTAACAAGTATATTCAGGAATTGAACTCAGCTCTGCACCAAGCGGAACTAATAGACATCTACAGAACTCTCCACCCCAAATCAACAGAATATACAGTCTTCTCAGCACCACATCGCACTTCTTCCAAAATTGACCACATAGTTGGAAGTGAAGCACTCTTCAGCAAATGTAAAACAACAGAAATTATAACAAACTGTCTCTCAGACCACAGTGCAATCAAACTAGAACTCAGGATTAAGAAACTCTCTCAAAACTACTCAACTACATGAAAACTGAACAACCTGCTCCTGAATGACTACTGGGTACATAATGAAATGAAGGCAGAAATAAAGGTGTTCTTTGAAACCAACGAGAACAAAGACACAACATACCAGAATCTCTCGGACACATTCAAAGCAGTGTGTAGAGGGAAATTTATAGCACTAAATGCCCACAAGAGAAAACAGGAAATATCTAAAATTGACACCCTAACATCACAATTAAAAGAACTAGAGAAGCAAAGAGCAAACACATTCAAAAGCTAGCAGAAGGCAAGAAATAACTAAGATCAGAGCAGAACTGAAGGAAATAGAGACACAAAAAACCCTTCAAAAAATCCATGAATCCAGGAGCTGGTTTTTTGAAAAGATCAACAAAATTGATAGACCACTAGCAAGACTAATAAAGAAAAGAGAGAAGAATCCAATAGACACAATAAAAATTGATAAAGGGGATATCACCACCAATCCCACAAAAATACAAACTACCATCAGAGGATAGTATAAACACCTCTATGCAAATAAACTAGAAAACCTAGAAGAAATGGATAAATTCCTCGACACGTACACCCTCCCAAGGCTAAACCAGGAAGAAGTTGAATCTCTGAATAGACCGATAACAGGTTCTGAAATTGAGGCAATAATTAATAGCTTACCAACCAAAAAAAGTCCATGACCAGACGGAATCACAGACGAATTCCACCAGAGGTAAAAGGAGGAGCTGGTACCATTCCTTCTGAAACTATTCCAAACAATAGAAAAAGAGGGAATCCTACCTAACTCATTTTATGAGGCCAGCATCATCTTGATACCAAAGCCGGGCAGAGACACAACCAAAAAAGAGAATTTTAGACCAATATCCCTGATGAACATCGATGCAAAAATCCTCTATAAAATACTGGCAAACCGAATCCAGCAGCACATCAAAAACTTATCCACCATGATCAAGTGGGCTTCCTCCCTGGGATGCAAGATTGGTTCAACATTTGCAAATCAGTAAACATAATCCAGCATATAAACAGAACCAATGACAAAAACCATATGATTATCTCATTACATGCAGAAAAGGCCTGTGACAAAATTCAACAACCTTCATGCTGAAAACTCTCAATAAATTAAGTATTGATGGGACGTATCTCAAAATAATAAGAGCTATCTATGACAAACCCACAGCCAATATCATACTGAATGGGCAAAAACTGGAAGCATTCCCTTTGAAAACTGGCACAAGACAGGGATGCCCTCTCTCACCACTCCTATTCAACATAGTGTTGGAAGTTCTGGCCAGGGCAATCAGGGAGGAGAAGGAAATAAAGGGTATTCAATTAAGAAAAGAGGAAGTCAAATTGTCCCTGTTTGCAGATGACATGATTGTATATCAAGAAAACCCCACTGTCTCAGCCCAAAATCTCCTTAAGCTGATAGGCAACTTCAGCAAAGTCTCAGGATACAAAATCAATTTGCAAAAATCACAAGCATTCTTATAAACCAATACAGACAAACAGAGAGCCAAATCATGAGTGAACTCCCATTCACAATTGCTTCAAAGAGAATAAAATACCTAGGAATCCAACTTACAAGGGATATGAAGGACCTCTTCAAGGAGAACTATAAACCACTGCTCAACGAAATAAAAGAGGACACAAACAAATGGAAGAACATTCCATGCTCATGAGTAGGAAGAATCAATATCGTAAAAATGGCCATATTGGCCAAGGTAATTTATAGATTCAATGCCATCCCCATCAAGTTACCAATGACTTTCTTCACAGAATTGGAAAAAACTACTTTAAAGTTCATATGGAACCAAAAAAGAGCCCGCATTGCCAAGTCAATCCTAAGCCAAAAGAACAAAGCTAGAGGCATCACACTACCTGACTTCAAACTATACTACAAGGCTACAGTAATCAAAACAGCCTGGTACTGGTACAAAAACAGAGATATAGACCAATGGAACAGAACAGAGCCCTCAGGAATAATGCCACATATCTACAACCATCTGATCTTTGACAAACCTGACAAAAACATGAAACGGGGAAAGGATTCCCTATTTAATAAATGGTGCTGGGAAAACTGGCTAGCCATATGAAGAAAGCTGAAACTGGATCCCTTCCTTACACCTTAGACAAAAATTAATTCAAGATGGATTAGACTTAAATGTTAGACCTAAAACCATAAAAACCCTAGAAGAAAACCTCAGCAATATCATTCAGGACATAGGCATGGGCAAGGAATTCATGTCTAAAACACCAAAAGCAATGGCAAGAAAAGCCAAAATTAACAAATGGGATCTAATTAAACTAAAGAGCTTCTGCACAGCAAAAGAAACTACCATCAGAGTGAACAGGCAACCTACAGAATGGGAGAAAATTTTTGCAATCTACTCATCTGACAAAGGGCTAATATCAAGAATCTACAATGAGCTCCAATAAATTTACAAGAAAAAAACAAACAACCCATCAAAAAGTGGGCAAAGGATATGAACAGACACTTCTCAAAAGAAGACATTTATGTAGCCAAAAGACACGTGAAAAAAATGCTCATCATCCCTGGCCAGAGAAATGCAAGTCAAAACAACAATGTGATACCATCTCACCCCAGTTAGAATGGCGATCATTAACAAGTCAGGAAACAACAGCTGCTGGAGAGGATGTGGAGAAATAGGAACACTTTTACACTGTTGGTGGGACTGTAAACTAGTTCACCCATTGTGAAATTCAGTGTGGCAATTCCTCAGGGATCTAGAACTAGAAATACCATTTGACCCAGCCATCCCATTACTGGGTATATACCCAAAGGATTATAAATCATGCTGCTATAAAGACACATGCACACGTATGTTTATAGTGGCACTATTCACGATAGCAAAGACTTGGAACCAAGCCAAATGTCCAACAATGATAGACAGGATTAAGAAAATATGGCACATATACACCATGGAATACTATGCAGCCATAAACAATGATTTCATGTCCTTTGTAGGGACATGGATGAAGCTGGAAACCATCATTCTCTGCAAACTATTGCAAGGACAAAAAACCAAACACCGCATGTTCTCACTCATAGGTAGGAATTAAACAATGAGAACACATGGACACAGGAAGGGGAACATCACACACTGGGACCTGTTGTGGGGGCGGGGGAGGCGGGAGGGATAGCATTAAGAGATATACCTAATGTTAAATGACGAGTTAATGGGTACAGCACACCAACATGGCACATGTATACATATGTAACAAACCTGCACGTTGTGCACATGTACCCTAAAACTTAAGGTATAATACAAAATAAAAAATAAGATAAAAACTTCGGCTGTTGACTCCAAATATCCTGCTTCATCATCTCTCTACTCCAGAAACTTTTCACATGCTTACAAAGGGTGTTCGTTTCTCCTCTAAGTATTTGCTCCCCAGCCCCACCTGCAAGAAGGTGGAAGTAGGGCCTCTGCCTGGGATGGTAACTCTCAAATATAAGGCAAGACCTGTCTCTCCACCAGTATCCCCAGGACTGAAGGACTGTGAAAGTCTGCATATTGATCAAGCTTCTCCCTCCCTTATCTGAAGGGACTTACTTCCTTCAAGACACTTTTCCTCTTTCCACCTAGCTCCATGCCCCCATCCAGTCATCTTCCAACCCATCTCTCCCAACCTGCATGCCACACAAGAGGGGCGTGACCACAGCACCTGGAAGTTCATTAAAACTGAATGGTGTGTCAGGCCAGGTGCGGTGGCTCATGTCAGCAACCCCAGCACTTTGGGAGGCTGAGGCAGGCAGGTCACTTGAGGTCAGGAGTTCGAGACCAGCCTGGCCAAAATGGAGAAACTCCATCTCTACTAAAAATATAAAAATTAGCTGGGTTTGGTTGTGCTTGCCTGTAGTCCTAGCTACTTGGGGGGCTGAGGAAAGGGAATCACTTGAACCTGGGAGGCAGAGCTTACAGTGAGCCAAGATTGCGCCATTGCACTCAAGCCTGGGCGATAGAGTGAGACTCTGTCTCAAAAAAAAAAAAAAAAAAAGAAAAAAGAAAAAAAAGAAATCGAATGGTGTGATTAGCTTATGATTTTTTAAAAATGGAATGATGTATTCATTTTCTAAGCTGCATAACAAATCAACACAAATTTAGCAGCTTAAAACATCCATCTATTACCTCTCCTTTCCTGTGGGTCAGGAGTCTGGGGGTGCAGTTTAGCTGGGCCCTCTGCTTAGGTACTTACAAGGTTGTGATCAAGGTGTTGGCTGGAATTAGTGTCTCATATGAGGCTTGGGGTCTTCTCCCAACCTCACATGGTTGTTGGCAGAATTTATTTCCATGCAACTGTGGAACTCATGTGGCTTGCTTCTTCAAAACCAGCCAGGCATGGTGGCTCACGCCTGTAATCCCAGCACTTTCGGAGGCCGAGGCAGGTGGATCACCTGATGTCAGGAGTTCGAGACCAGCCTGGCCAATATGGTGAAACCCCATCTCTACTAAAAATACAAAACTTAGCCGGTCATGATTGTGCACGCCTGTAATCCCAGCTACTTGTGAGGCTGAGGCAGGAGAATCACTTGAACCCAGGAGACAGGGGTTGCAGTAAGCCGAGATCGTGCCACTGCACTCCAGCCTGGGCAACAGAGTGAGACTCCATGTCAAAAACAAACAAACAAACAAAAACCAAAAACCAGGAGGAAGGAGTCTCTCTCCTCCAGACCCTCATTGAAGATCTCACCTGAAGATGTCAGGCCCACCCTGAATAATCTCTCTTTTGATTAACTCAAAGTGAATGGATTAGGGGCTTAGTTACATCTGCAAAATCCCTTCAACTTTTCCATAGGTATAGATTAGAAGCAAGCCACGGGTCCTGCCTACACTCCAGGGGAGAGGAGATTACACCTGGCATTTATCCAGGGCAAGAACCTAAGGGGTCATCTCAGAATTCTGCCTTCCAAATAGATCCTCGGTGGAGCTCACGAGCCTGGGCGAGCACCAGCCTTTGTTTAAAGGCAACAGAGAATGATGCCCTGGCTCAGATCTCCAGCAAGCCTCCAGAATGATGGTCCAGTCTCTGAACCCTGGGCCAAGGCAGCAGGAGGTTTGGGTGCACATGGGGGCTTCCCCCACTTTGAAGTGAGTCGTCACATCTGTATTAGACCCTAGCTGTTGCTTAGGCAAAAATGATGATTTAGAAGAAGATGGAGAGAAGAGGAGAGTTAATTTAAAAGTACTTGTATTCGGCCGGACGTGGTGGTTCACGCCTGTAATCCCAGCACTTTGGGAGGCTGAGGCAGGCGGATCACGAGGTCAGGAGATGGAGACCATCCTGGCTAACACGGCGAAACCTTGTCTCTATTAAAAATACAAAAAATTAGCTGGGCGTGGTGGCGGGTGCCTGTAGTCCCAGCTACTCAGGAGGCTGAGGCAGGAGAATGGCGTGAACCCAGGAGGCGGAGATTGCAGTGAGCCGAGATCGCGCCACTGCACTCCAGCCTGGGCAACAGAGCGAGACTCCGTCTCAAAAAAAGAAAAAAAAAAAGAAAGTACTTATGTTCATTCCCTAGGGCTGCCACAACCAAGTACTAAAAGCTGCGTGACTTGAAACCAGAGAAACTGATTGTCTTGTGGCTCTGGTGGCCAGCAGTCTGAAATGGAAGTGCCAGCAGGGCCACGCTCCCTCCTGCGCTTGTCGGGGAGTCCTGCCTTGCCTCTTCCTACCTTCCTGTGGTCTCCTGGCAGTCTTCAGTGTTTCTTGGTTTGCATACGCATCAGTCCAATCTTCCGGCCAATCCATGGACGCCTTCCCTGTGTCTCTGTGACTCGGCGTGTCCTCTCGTCTTTTATAAGGACACCAGTCGTTGACTTAGGGCCCTCCCTACTCCAAGATGACTTCATCCTAATCAATAGCGTCTGCAATAACCCTATTTCTTTCTTTTCTTTCTTTCTTTCTTTCTTCCTTTCTTTTTTCTTTCTTTCTTTTCTTTCTTTCTTTCTTTCTTTTTTTTCTTCTTTCTCTCTCTCTCTCTCTCTCTCTCTCTCTCTCTCTCTCTCTCTCTCTCTTTCTTTCTTTCTTTTGAGACGGAGTTTCACTCTTTTTGCCCAGGCTGGAGTGCAATAGCACGATTTCAGCTCAATGCAACCTCCGCCTCGTGGGTTCAGGCGATTGTCCTGCCTCAGCCTCCCTAGTAGCTGGGATTACAGGTATGTGCCACCACACCCAGCTAATTTTGAATTTTTAGTAGAGACGGAGTTTCTCCATGTTGGTCAGGCTGGTCTCAAACTCCTGACCTCAGGTGATCCGCCTGCCTCGACCTCCCAAAGTGCTGGGATTATAGGCATGAGCCACCACGCCCGGCCCGCAATAACTCTATTTCTAAATAAGGTCACATTCTGAGCTACTAGAATTTAGGATTTCAACATGTTTTGAGGAGGACTCAATTTAACCCATAAGAATACTATGTGGGCCACACATGCTGCTTCACATCTGTTATCCCAGCACTTTCGGAGTTTGAAGCAGGAGGATCATTGCTCAGGGCATAGGGGACACCAGGTGCATAAGACCACAGCGTTGACTGGTGTGGGGGCTCACACCTGTAAGTTTGGGAAGCTAAGGCAGGACGATCACTTGAGCCCAGGAGTTTGAGGCCAGCCTGGGTGACATAGTGAGATCTCATTTCTAAAGAAAAAATAATAATAATAATTAGCTGGGCATGGGGGTAGCGGCCTACAGTCCCAGCTACTCAGGAGGCTGAAGCAGGAGGGTCGCTTGAGTCCAGAAGATCAAGGCTGTGGCGAGCTGTGATTGCACCACTGCACTCCAGCCTGGGCAATAGAGCAAGCCCTGTCTCAAAAAAAAAAAAAAAAAAAAGTCATCTCCTTTGTCTTCTGATTCCGTGAGCTCTCATAGAAAGGAAGTGAAGCAGTGAAAGCATCCCCCCAAAAGGGAGTTTTCAAAACCAGCCTAAGCAACATAGCAAGACCTTGCCTTTAGAAAGTATTTAAATTTGAAGGAAAAAAAAAAGCAGTACTATAGCACAGAGGTGACAGCTACAGGTGTGGCTACATCCAGGTCCTAAAACTATATCATCAGAATGACCCCCTCACCCTCCCCGCGCTTTCCATTTTACTTTCTTAAGCATGAACATGAAATTTCCAAGATTGTCTCTCCTTTGGCTAATCTGCTTCTCAGACCCAATCACTGTGGCCAGGGTGGTGGAAGGACACTGGCATCCAGGCTGGGACCACATGCCCCAGATCCAGATCAGGGTGGGGAATGGCCAGTGGCACACATGCCGTTGGGGACTAGTGACTCCTCAGCGGAAAATCAGGAACTATCTTTGGAGAGGAGCGATAGAAGAAAGGCTGACACAGTGCAATGTGTCTCCTGCACCAGCCTGGGCCTTGATGTCTTGAGTACTGATGACACAGTACTCAGTCCAGGGCAATCCCAACTCCATCTATGGGGCTGCCCACAGTACATGGACCGCCTCACTGGATTTGCTGACCACATGTGCAAACAGCCACCTCCCAGCCCCACTCCCCGCAGTCCCCCTGAACCCTGTCAAAATTCCCCTCAGTTCTCACCAAGACTAAAAGCAATTCTGAGGGTGAGCGGCTCATTCTGCTAGTTTAACTCTCTCGATTCCTTCCCTCTCCAGAACTCTGTACTTACTGCTCCGTCACTGGTAATGACAATGAACATCTTCACAATCTCAGGTTTTATTGCAAAGTGATTGAGGACCAGTTAGAATAAGTTATGCTGCAGAAACTAAAGAAATCCCGTCAAGCAAATTGTGTGTCATAGAAAGTCTTAGGACAGCCGTGTATATTTTCTCCCCCAATGAATCAATTGAAAATGAGAAGCTCTTACCGCCATGTTCCGGGCAGAAGCTATCAAAAGTATAAGCCATGATATTATAATTTGATGATTTTTCATGCGTCAAATGGTTATGGCCCAGGGGTGAAAAGTGGATGCTCCGTAACTAGATGATGGTCAAGAGTTATAAAAATGAGGTCCTCTCTGTTCAACATTTCTCCTTTCTTGAAAGGATACTCAATATCATGCTCAGGGCCTCTAATGGCCAGAAATAAAGTTCCTCCCAGTTCCAGAGCACCCCAGGATAACCCCAAAACCAGAGCAACTGCTTATTTCCATATAGACTATATACTGTGCAACTCCCGGGGTGGCATTTTCATAAATATGTGGGTGGCGCCCCCTGGAGGTAAGCAATGCACAACTTGCACAAATGGTAAGACACCGTATCCCAAAGTCCACAAAGAAGAGCTAAGCAAAACTCCCATCGATGTTGCCATCGGTAATGAGTCTGCCTTTTCTTCATGGGACAGTAGCAAAAACAATTTGGCCAAGTGTGCTTGGATGATCTCTAAGATGGAATCAGGGTCTCTCACTTTCAGCACTATTGACATTTGGGGCTGGATCATTCTTTTGTCTTAGTGGGAGTTGTCCGGGGCATTGTAGGATGCTTAGCAGCATCGCTGGCCTCTACCCATTAGCTGCCAGTAGCACCACCTCCTCCAGCCGCAACCACCAAAATTGTCTCCAGACATGGCCACGTGTTCTCTGGGGGGCAAAATCACCCCCTGGCTGAAAAGCCCTGAAGTAAAGACATAATATGCAGATCACATGTAAGTAAGGGAGCCTAAGGGCCACACAGGTGATGCTGTACCCATGACAAAGACAGAGTCTTAAAGAGGTTAGAGAGGTGGAGAAAGAGAAAGGAAATGAAGCCCCAGTTGCCTAGAGCAACAGATGCTGACTAGATGTTGTTGATAGTCATCTTTAAACTGAGCTAAAAGATGCTGAGAAGCCATCAGCTCCCATCCTGCTCTCCAGGGACAACGCTGCTGAAAAAGGCCTGGAGATCAACAAAGCCCCAAACACAGGTGCACTGAACAAAGAAACCAGAGATTGAGACAAAATGACATTCCCTCAAAGACTACACATTTCCAAGAGGAGAGAAAAAGTGGAGTCATGAAAAACAGTTGAGGCTGGATAGAGTGACTCACACCTGTAATCCCAGCACTTTGGGATTACTCCCAGTCTGAGACGGGAAAATTGCTTGAACTCAGGAGTTCAAGACCAGCCTGGGCAACGTAGCAAGACCTTGCCTCTAGAAAAAGGGAAAAAATTAGCCAGGTGTGGTAATACATGCCTGTGGTCTCAGCTACTCGGGAGGCTGAGGTGGGAGGATCACTTGAACCCAGGAGGTAGAGGCTGCAGTGAGCCGGGATCGCACCACTGCACTCCAGCCTGGGCTACAGATCCTGTCCCAAAAAAGAAAAAAAATAAACCAAATTAAGGCCAGGCACGATGGCTCATGGCTGTAATCCCAGCACTTTGGGAGGCCGAGGTGGGCAGATCACGAGTTCAGGAGATTGAGACCATCCTGGCTAACACGGTGAAACCCCATCTCTATTAAAAATACAAACAATTAGCCGGACATGGTGCTGGGTGCCTATAGTCCCAGCTACTCTGGAGGCTGAGGCAGAAGAATGGAGTGAACTCGGGAGGTGGAGCTTGAAGTGAGCCAAGATCACGCCACTACACTCCAGCCTAGGCAAAAGAGCAAGACTCTATCTCAAAAAAAAAAGAAAAGAAAATTAAAAATTTTTTTGAGACCAAGTCTCACTCTGTCACCCAGGCTGGAGTGATCTCCAGCTCAATGGATCTCCGCTCACTGCAACCTCCGCCTCCTTGGTTCAAGTGATTCTCAGTTCTCAACCTCGTACCTCAACATGACTACAGGCATGTTTTCACCATGCCTAATTTTTGCATTTTTAGTAGAGATGGGATTTCACCATGTTGTCCAGGATGGTCTTGAACTCCTAGGTTAAAGCAATCTACCCACCTCAGCCTCCCAAAATGCTGAGATTACAGGCATGAGCCACCGTGCCTGACCTCTAACTTTTCATTATGGAAATTTCCCATATGCACAAAAATCAGGGAGAGAATTACACCATGAACCCCCATGCACCCATCATCCCACTGCAAGAACTTGTCAACATTTCGCCAATCTCATTCCAGTTCCCACTTTTCTTTTCCTTCTTGCTATTTTAGGATATTTTAAAGCAAATTCCAGACATTTCATTTCACCCACATCCATAACACACCAGGGTGCATTCTTGATATAAGGATTTTGTTTTGTTTTATAACCCCCCATGCCATTGCCACAGTTAATAGATTTAACATGAAGAAACTAAGATTCTTGCAGGTGGAGAAAAGATCTAATTACCACCTTAAAGCCTCACCTACTAGCGCTTCTCAGATCTGAACGTGTATGCAAATCACCTGGGCATCTTGTTAAAATGTAGATTCTGGCCCAGCAGGTCCTTCCGGGTGAGCCCTGAGAGTCTTCAATACCAAAAGCTCCCAGGTGACGCAATGCTGCGGGTCCATGAATCACACAAGAGGAAGTGTCGGGTCGTCCAAACACCCACAACAACTGGGTGCGAAGTCCTGACCGTTCCTGACTGCAGGGCCTTCAGTGAACGGGGCAGCTGGGGACCATTTGGGAAAGAAGGGAGGTTTTTCCTATCAGCTCCAGGCCTTGTAGAACTGCCAGGGAATAACAGACACAAGGTCAGCAAAGTCTAACCAACAGCACGAGTGCATTCATATTCCACAACCACTGCAGCAAAGAACCATGAAATGGGTGGCTTCAAACAATGTCTGTGCCGGGTGCCGTGGCTCACACCTAAGTAATCTCAGGACTTTGGGAGGCTGAGTTGGGTGAATCACTTGAGGCCAGGAATTCGAGACCAGCCTGGCCAATATGCCAAAACCTCGTCTCTACTAAAAATACAAAAATTAGCCATGCATGGTGGCAGGCACCTGTAGTCCCCACTTCTTGGGAGGCTGAGGCAAGAGAATGGCTTGAGCCTGGGAGGTGGAGGTTGCAGTGAACTGAGATCACGCCACTGCACTCCAGACTGGGCAACAGAGCAAGCCTCTGTCTAAAAAAAAAAAAAAAAAAAAAAAAAAAAAAAATTAATTGTCTGGAGGCCAGAAGTCCAAAATCAATCAAATGTCAGCAGGAGAATGCTCCTTCAGAGGTTCTAGGGGAGAATCCATTCCTTGCGTCTTCCAGCTTGTAGAGGCTACTAGAATTCCTCAACTTGTGGCTGCATGATCCAATCTCTGCCTCTGTGATCACCTTGCCTCCTCCTCTTCTGTCTGGGTCTCCTCCTCTGGAGGAAGAGTGTCAGTCCTCTGAGCCCAAGCTAAGCCATCATTATCTCCTGTGACCTGCATGTACATATCCAGATGGCCGGTTCCTGCCTTAACTGATGACATTATCTTGTGAAATTCCTTCTCCTTGCTCATCCTGGCTCCAAAGCTCCCCTACTGAGCACCTTGTGGCCCCCACTCCTGCCTGCCAGAGAACAACCCCCCTTTTTCCTTTACCTACCCAAATCTTATAAAATTGCCCCACCCCATCTCCCTTCACTGACTCTCTTTTTGGACTCAGCCCACCTGTACCCAGGTGAAATAAACAGCTTTACTGCTCACACAAAGCCTGTTTGGTGGTCTCTTCACATGGATGCATGTGAAATTTGGTGCCGTGACTGGGATCGAGGGACTTCCCTTGGGAGATCAATCCCCTGTCCTCCTGCTCTTTGCTCTGTGAGAAAGATCCACCTATGACTTCAGGTTCTCAGACCGACCAGCCCAAGAAACATCTCACCAATTTCAAGTCTGGTAAGCGGCTTCTTTTTACTCTCTTCTCCAACCTCCCTCACTATCCCTCCACCTCTTTCTCCTCCCAATCTTGGCACCACACTTCAATCTCTCCCTTCTCTTAATTTCAATTCCTTTCATTTTCTGGTAGAGACAAAGGGGACACGTTTTATCTGTGGACCCAAAACTCTGGCACCAGTCACGGACTAGGGAAGGCAGCCTTTCCTTGGTGTTTAATTATTGCAGGGACACCTCTCTGATTATTCACCGAGGTTTCAGAGGTGTCAGACCATGCAGGGATGCCTGCCTTGTTCCTTCACCCTTAGCAGCAAAACCTGCTTTTCTGGGGGAGGGACAAGAACCCCTCAACCCCTTCTCCTTCACCCTTAGCAGCATGTCCCACTTTTCTGGGGGAGGGACAGGAACCCCGACCTCTTATCTCTGCACCCCGATCCCTTATTTCCATGCCCTGACCTCATCTCTGTGTCCCGATCCCTTATTTCCATAACCTGACCTCTTATCTCTGCACCCCAACCCTTTATTTCTGTGCCCCCAACCCTTTCCCTCTATTCTGGAAGGCAAGAACCCCCCACCCCTTCTCTCCATCTCTCTACTCTCTCTTTTCTCTAGGCTTGCCTCCTTCACTATGGGCAAGCTTCCGCCTTCCATTCCCCTTTCTTCTCCCTTACCCTGTGTTCTTCAAAACCTAAAACCTCTTCAACTCACACCTGACCTAAAACCTAAATGCCTTATTTTCTTCTACAATGCTACTTGACCCCAATACAAACTCAACAGTGGTTCCAAATAGCCAGAGAATGGCACTTTCAATTTTTCCATCCTACAAGATCTAGATACTTCTTGTCATAAGATGGGCAAATGATCTGAGATGCCTGATGTCCAGGCATTCTTTTACACATTGGTCCCTCCCTAGTCTCTGTTCCCAGTGCAACTCATCCGAAATCTTCCTCCTTTCCCTCCCACCTGTCCCCTCAGTCCCAACCCCAAGTGTCGCTGAGTCTTTCTAATCTTCCTTTTCTACAGACCCATCTGACCTCTCCCATCCTGGCCAGCCTGAGCTAGGTCCCAATTCTTCCTCAGCCTCCACTTCTCCACCCTATAATCCTTTTATCACCTCCCCTCCTCACACTGGGTCTGGCTTACAGTTTAATTCCGTGACTAGCCCTCCCCCACCTGCCCAGCAATTTACTCTTAAACAGGTGCCTGGAGCTAAAGACATAGTCAAGGTTAATGCTCCTTTTTCTTTATCCCAAATCAGATAGCATTTAGCCTCTTTTTCATCAAATATAAAAATCCACCCCAGTTCATGGCTCGTTTGGCAGCAACCCTGAGATGCTTTACAGCCCTAGACCCTAAAACGTCAAAAGGCCGTCTTATTCTCAATATACATTTTATTACCCAATCTGCTCCCGACATTAAATAAAACTCCAAAATTAAATTCCGGCCCTCAAACCCCACAACAGGACTTAATTAACCTCAACTTCAAGGTGTACAATAATGGAGTAGAGGCAGCCTAGCAGCAACATATTTCTCAGTTGCAATTCCTTGCCTCCACTGTGAGACAAAGCCCAGCCAAATCTCCAGCACACAAGAACTTCCAAACGCCTAAAGCGCAGTGGCCAGGCATTCCTCCAGAACCACCTACCCCAGGAGCTTGCTACAAGTGCCAGAAATCTGGCCACCAGACCAAGGAATGCCTGCAGCCCGGGATTCCTCCTGAGCCATGTCCCATCTGTGCGAGACCCAACTAGAAATCGGACTGTTCAACTCACCTGGCAGCCACTCCTAGAGCCCCTGGAACTCCAGCCCAAGGCTCTCTGACTGATTCCTTCCCAGATCTTCTTGGCTTAGCAGCTGAAGACTGACACTGCCTGATAGATCACCTCGGAAGCCTACAGGACCATCACAGACGCTCTAGGTAACTCTCACAGTGGAGGATAAGTCCATCCCCTTCTTAATCAATACGGAGGCTAACCACTCCACATTACCTTCTTTTCAAGGGCCTGTTTCCCTTCCCTCCATAACTGTTGTGAGTATTGACAGCCAGGCTTCTAAACCTCTTAAAACTCCCCAACTCTGGTGCCAACTTAGACAATACTCTTTTAAGCACTCCTTTTTAGTTGTCCCCACCTGCCCAGTTCCCTTATTAGGCTGAGACACTTTAACTAAATTATCTGCTTCCCTGACTATTCCTGGACTACAGCCACATCTCATTGCCACCCACCTTAACCCACAAGTAGAAGATACCTCTATTCCCTCCTTGGCAACCTATCATGCACCCCTTACCATCTCATTAAAACCTAATCACTCTTACCCCTCTCAATGCCAATATCCCATCCCACAGCATGCTTTGAAAGGATTAAAGCCTGTTATCACTCACCTGCTACAGCATGGCCTTTTAAAGCCTATAAACTCTCCTTACAATTCCCCCATTTTACCTGTCCTAAAACCAGACAAGCCTTACAAGTTAGTTCAAGATCTGTGCCTTATCAACCAAATTGTTTTGCCTATCCACCCCAAGGTGCCAAACACATATACTCTCCTATCCTCAGTTCCTCCCTCCACAACCCATTATTCTGTTCTGAATCTCAAACATGCTTTCTTTACTATTCCTTTGCACCCTTCATCCCAGTCACTCTTCGCTTTCACTTGGACTGACCCTGACACCCATCAAGCTCAGCAAATTACCTGGGCTGTACTGTCGCAAAGCTTCACAGACAGCCCCCATTACTTCAGTCAAGCCCAAATTTCTCCCTTATCTGTTACCTATCTCAGCATAATTCTCATAAAAACACACGTGCTCTCTCTGCCGATCGTGTGTGACTCATCTCTCAAACCCCAACCCCTTCTACAAAACAACAACTCCTTTCCTTCCTGTGCATGGTTGGATACTTTCACCTTTAGATATCTGGTTTTGCCATCCTAACAAAACCATTATATAAACTCACAAAAGGAAACCTAGCTGACCCCATAGATCCTAAATCCTTTCCCCACTCCTCTTTCTGTTCCTTGAAGACAGCTTTAAAGACTGCCCCCACCCTAGTCTTGGTTCCCTGACCGGGAAGCGAGGTAATTGACGGCAGTTGAGGCAGCCCTTTAGGCGGCTTAGGCCTGCCCTGTGGAGCATCCCTGCGGGGGACTCCTGCCAGTTTGAGCGACGCGGATCCTGAGAGCTCTCCTGGGTAGGCAATTGACCCGGTGGAATGCCTCGTCAGAGCAGTGTGTGGTAGGCCCCGGTGGAGGATCAACATAGTGGGTGAACACCGGGAAGGAACAGGCACTTGGAGTCTGGACATTTGAAACTTGGTAAGACTGGTCTTTGGAACTTGCCCACTCTATTTGAGTGGAAGTGTGGCCTGATCACCCACGGCGTGCCTGTACTGGCACTTTGGTTTTTGTTTTTGACTTGAATTGAATTGCTTGATACTTTGGTTTTGGTTTGACCTGGCTTGGATTTCTGGATACTCCGATTTTGGTTTTGATTCTGGTTTGGTGAAAACTGAAAAAGTGTGTGTGTGCCCTTTTTACTCATTCTTTGTTCTGTGGTGTGCGTGTGGTGTGAGCTTGGTGTTTTGTCTCGAGGAAACGTGGGTCAGACACAAAGTAAGCCTACTCTGCTAGGAACTATGATGAAAAATTTTAAGAAAGGATTTAATGGAGACTATAGGGTTACTATGACACCAGGGAAATTTAGAACTTTGTGTGAAATAGATTGCCCAGCTTTAGAAGTGGGTTGGCCATCAGAAGGAAGCCTGGGCAGGTCCCTTGTTTCTAAGGTATGGCACAAGGTAATTGGTAAGTCAGGACACTCAGACCAGTTTCCATACATAGACACTTGGTTACAGCTGATGCTAAACCCCCCACAGTGGCTAAGAGGGCAGGCAGCAGCAGTGCTAGTAGCGTAGGGACAGATAGCCAAGGAAGGATCGTGCTCCACCCGCCGAGGGAAATCAACACCTGAAGATCTGTTCAACCCAACAGCAGAACATGCATTGCAGGAGATGGCACCAGTGATCCCAGTGGTGCCCTCCCCTTACCAGGGAGAAAGGCTCCCCACTTTTGAGTCCACAGTGCTTGGGCCTCCACAAGACAAACATATCCCTAGGCAATCCAGAGTATACAAAAGAAGAGGTGAGGACTCGGGAGGAACCCCTCCCTTGGCAGCTCGTTTAAGACCCAAAACGGGGATCCAAATGCTCCTGAGAGAGCAGCGGTATACAGGGATAGATGAGGATGGTCATGTGGTGGGGAGGCGTGTTTCTGTGTACCAGCCCTTCACCTCTGCCCACCTTCTCAACTGGAAAAATAGTACCCCATCCTATACCAAAAAGCCACAAGCTCTAATTGATTTGCTCCAAACTAATATCCAGACCCACAACCCCACTTGGACTGATTGTCACCAGCTGCACATGTTCCTCTTTAACACAGATGAAAAATGGAGAGTGCTAGAAGCAGCAACTAAGTGGCTAGAGGAACATGCACCGGCTGATTACCAAAACCCCCAAGAGTATGTAAGGACCCAGTTACTGGAACCGACCCCCAGAAGGACCCAAATGAAAGAGAGGATATGCAAAGGCTAAACCGATACAGGGAAGCTCTCTTGGAAGGATTAAAGAGGGGAGCCCAGGAGGCCACAAATGTTAACAAGGTCTCTGAGGTCATTCAGAGAAAAGAAGAAAGTCCAGCACAATTCTAGGAGAGACTGTGTGATGCCTATGGTATGTATACACCCTTTGATCCCGATAGCCCTGAAAATCAATGCATGATTAACATGGCTTTAGTTAGTCAAAGCGCAGAAGACATTAGAAGAAAACTGCAGAAACAGGCTGGGTTTGCAGGGATGAACACATCACAGTTATTAGAAGTAACTAACCAGGTGTTTGTAAACAGGGATGCAGTAAGCCATAAGGAAAACTGCAGAGAGAAGGAACGTCAGGCCCAGCGAAACGCCGACCTGTTAGCGGCAGCAAACAGAGGGGTCCCCCAAAAGAGGCAAGGGAAGGGGGGCCCCGGGAAAGAAACTCAGCCTGGCTGTCAAAGGTTGCAGCGTAATCAGTGTGTTTATTGTAAAGAAATAGGACATTGGAAGAGCAAATGCCCTCAGCTAAAAAGAAAACAAGGTGACTCGGAGCAAGAGGCTCCAGACAAGGAGAAAGGGGCCCTGCTCAACCTGGCAGAAGGGTTATTGGACTGAGGGGGACCGGGCTCAAGGACCCCGAAAGAGCCTATGTTCAGGATGACAGTTAGGGGTAAAGACATTGATTTTCTTGTAGATACTGGTGCTAAACATTCAGTAGTAACCGTCCCGGTCGCCCCCTTATACAAAAAGATTATTGACATCATCGGAGCCACAGGGGTTTCCGCAAAGCAAGTTTCTGCTTGCCCTGGACTTGTACTGTAGGAGGACATAAAGTGATTCATCAGTTTTTGTCCACGCCTGACTGTCCCTTGCCCTTATTGGGAAGGGACTTGCTTAGCAAACAGAGAGCCACTATCTCTTTTACAGAGCATGGCTCTTCGCTGCTAAAGTTACCCGGAACAGGAGTCATTATGACCCTTACCGTCCCCCGAGAGGAGGAATGGAGACTTTTCTTAACTGAGTCGGGCCAAGAGATAAGACCAGCTCTGGCTAAGCGGTGGCCAAGAGTACGGGTGGAAGACAACCCTCCAGGGTTGGCAGTCAACCAAGCCCCCGTACTTATAGAAGTTAAGCCTAGGGCCCAGCCATTTAGGCAAAAACAGGAGCCGGTCCCCAGAGAAGCTCTTGAAGGTATCCAGGTCCATCTCAAGCACCTAAGAACTTTTGGAATTAGAGTTCCTTGTCAGTCTCCATGGAACACTCCCCTCCTGCCTGTTCCCAAGCCTAGGACCAAGGACTACAGGCCGGTACAGGATTTGCGCTTGCTTCATCAGGCTACAGTGACTTTACATCCAGCAGTACCTAACCCGTACACATTGCTGGGGTTGCTGCCAGCTGAGGACAGCTGCTTCACCTGCTTGGACCTGAAAGATGCTTTCTTTAGCATCAGATTAGCCCCTGAGAGCCAGAAGCTGTTTGCCTTTCAGTGGGAAGATCCGGAGTCAGGTGTCACTACTCAGTACACTTGGACCCGGCTTCCCCAAGGGTTCAAGAACTCCCCCACTATCTTCGGGGAGACATTGCCTCGAGACCTCCAGAAGTTTCCCACCAGAGACCTAGACTGCGTGTTGCTCCAGTAGGTTGATGATCTTTTGCTGGGACACCCCACGGCAGTCGGGTGCGCCAAGGGAACAGATGCTCTACTGCGGCACCTGGAGGACTGTGGGTATAAGGTGTCCAAGAAAAAAGCTCAGATCTGCCGACGGCAGGTACGTTACTTAGGATTTACTATCCGACAGGGGGAGAGCAGCCTAGGATCAGAAAGAAAGTAGGTCATTTGCAATCTACCGGAGCCTAAGACCAGAAGGCAGGTGAGAGCATTTTTAAGGGCTGTGGGGTTTTGCGGACTGTAAATCCCAAACTTTGCAGTATTAGCCAAGCCTTTGTATGAGGTCACAAAGTGGGGGGACCGGGAACTTTCTGAATGGGGATGCCAGCAACAGCAAGCCTTTCATGAGTTAAAGGAAAGACTTATGTCAGCCCCAGCCCTGGGGCTACCCGATCTAATAAAGCCTTTTCCATTGTATGTGTCAGAAAGAGAAAAGATGGCAGTTGGTGTTTTAACCCAAACTGTGGGGCCCTGGCCAAGGCCGGTGGCCTACCTCTCTAAACAACTAGACGGGGTTTCTAAAGGATGCCCCTTGTTTGAGGGCCTTGGCAGCAACTGCCCTGCTAGTACAAGAAGCAGATAAGCTGACTCTTGGACAAAACCTGAACGTAAAGGCCCCCCATGCTGTGGTGACTTTCATGAATACTAAAGGACATCATTGGCTAATGAATGCTAGACTCACTAAGTACCAAAGTTTGCTCTGTGAAAATCCCCGCATAACCATTGAGGTTTGTAACACCCTACACCCCGCTACCTTGCTCCCAGTATCAGAGAGCCCTGTCGAGCATGACTGTGTAGAAGTGTTGGACTCAGTTTACTCTAGCAGACCTAACCTCCAGGAACAGCCTTAGGCATCAGTAGACTAGGAACTACACGTGGCTGGGAGCAGCTTCATCAACCCACAGGGAGAGAGATGTGCAAGCTATGCGGTGGTAACTCTGGACACTGTTGCTGAAGCCAGATCGTTTCCCCAGGGCACTTCAGCTCAGAAAGCTGAACTCATTGCTTTCATTCGGGCCTTAGAACTCAGTGAAGCTAAGAATGTCAACATTTACACTCACTCTCAATATGCCTTTTCAACCCTTCAAATGCAGGGAACATTATATAAAGAAAAGGGCTTATTGAACTCTGGGGGAAAAGACATAAAATATCAACAATAAATCTTGCAATTATTAAAAGCCGTATGGAGACCCCACAAGGTGGCAGTTATGCATTGCAGAGGACACAAGCGAGCTTCCACCTTGGTGGGTTTAGGGAATTCCTGCGCTGACTTAGAGACTCGAAAAGCAGCATCTGCCCCCTTCTGGGCATCAATCACAACCCCCCTGCTCCCTCAAGCACCTGATCTGGTACCTACTTATTCTAAAGAAGAAAAGGACTTTCTCCAGGCAGAGAGAGGACAAGTGATGGAGGAAGGATGAATTCGGTTACCGGATGGGAGAGTAGCTGTGCCACAGCTGCTAGGAGCTGCAGTTGTACTGGCTGTGCGTGAAACCACCCATCTAGGTTAGGAATCACTTGAAAAGTTGTTAGGCTGGTATTTCTACATCTCGCATTTGTCAGCCCTTGCCGAAACGGTGACGCAGTGGTGTGTTACCTGCCGACAGCATAATGCGAGGCAGGGTCCAGCCGTTCCACCCGGCATACAAACTTATGGAACAGCCCCCTTTGAAGAGCTCCAGATGGACTTCACAGAGATGCCAAAGTGTAGAGGTAACAAGTATTTACTAGTTCTTGGGCGTACCTACCCTGGGTAGGTGGAAGCTTATCCAACACGAACTGAGAAAGCTCATGAAGTAACTCATGTGCTTCTTCGAGATCTTATTCCTAGATTTGGACTGCCCTTATGGATCAGTTCAGATAATGGGCCGGCGTTTGTGGCTGACTTAGTACAGAAGGCGGCAAAGGTATTGGGGATCACACGGAAACTGCATGCTGCCTCCTGGCCTCAGAGTTCTGGAAAGGTGGAGCGAATGAATTGAACTATCAAAAATAGTTTAGGGAAAGTATGTCAGGAAACAGGATTAAAATGGATACAGGCTCTCCCTATGGTATTATTTAAAATTAGATGTACCACTTCTAAAAGAACAGGATATTCCCCTTATGAAATATTATATCATAGGCCCCCTCCTATATTGCGGGGACTTCCAGGCACTCCCTGAGAGTTAGGTGAGATTAAGTTACAGCGACAGCTACAGGCTTTAGGAAAAATTACACAGACAATCTCAGCCTGGGTAAATGAGAGATGCCCTGTTAGTTTATTCTCCCCAGTTCACCCTTTCTCCCCAGGTGATCGAGTGTGGATCAAGGACTGGAAAGTAGCCTCTTTGTGTCCACTGTGGAACGGACCCCAGACTGTCGTCCTGAGCACTCCCACCGCTGTGAAGGTAGAAGGAATCCCAGTCTGGAACCACCACAGCTGTGTAAAACCTGCAGCGCCGGAAACCTGGGAGGCAAGACCAAGCCCAGACAACCCTTGCAGAGTGACCCTGAAGAAGACGACAAGCCCTGCTCCAGTCACATCTGGAAGCTGACTGGTCCACGCATGGCCGAAGCATGAGGAAGCTCATCGTTAGATTCATTTTTCTTAAATTTTGGACTTATACAGTAAGGGCTTCAACTAACCTTACTCAAAATGGGGACTGTTCCCAGTGTATTTATCAGGTCACCGAAGTAGGACAGCAAATTAAAACAATCTTTCTGTTCTATAGTTATTATGAATGTATGGAAACATTAAAAGAAACTTGTTTGTATAATGCCACTCAGTACAAGGTATGTAGCCCGAGAAATGACCGACCTGATGAGTGTTATAACCCATCTGAGCCCCCTGCAACCACCGTTTTTGAAATAAGAACTGGCCTTTTGCTAGGTGATACAAGTAAAATAATAACTAGAACAGAAGAAAAAGAAATCCCCAAGCAAATAACTTTAAGATTTGATGCTTGTGCAGCCATTAATAGTAAAAAGCTAGAAATAGGATGTGGTTCTCTTAACTGAGAAAGGAGCTAAAGAGTAGAAAATAAATATGTTTGTCATGAGTCAGGGGTTTGTAAAAATTGTGCCTATTGGCCATGTGTTATTTAGGCTACTTAAAAAAAGAACAAAAATGACTCGGTTTATCTTCAGAAGGGAGAAGCCAACCCCTCCTGGGCCGCCGGTCACTGTAACCCACTAGAACTAATAATTACCAATCCCCTAGATCCCCTTTGGAAAAAGGGAGAACGTGTAACCCTGGGGATCAATAGGACAGGGTTAAACCCTCAAGTTGCCATTTTAATTAGAGGGGAGGTCCACAAGTGCTCTCCCAAAACAGTATTTCAAACGTTTTATGAGGAGCTGAATCTGCCAACACCAGAACTTCTGAAAAAGACAAAAAATTTGTTTCTCCAATTAGCAGAAAATGTAGCTAATTCCCTTAATGTTACTTCTTGTTATGTATGCGGAGGAACCACTATCGGAGACAGATGGCCTTCGGAAGCCCGAGAGTTGGTGTCTACTGATCCAGCTCCTGATATAATTCCAGTTCAGAAGGCCCAAGCTAGCAACTTCTAGGTCATAAAACCTCAATTATTAGACAATACTGTATAGCTAGAGAAGGGAAAGACTTTATCATCCCTGTAGGAAAGCTTAATTGTATAGGACAGAAGTTGTATAACAGCACAACAAAGACAATTACTTAGTAGGGCCTAACCCACACTGAAAATAATCCATTTAGTAAATTTTCTAAATTAAAAACTGCTTAGGCTCATGCAGAATCTCATTAGGACTGGACGGTTCCCACTGGACTATACCTGATATGTAGGCACAGAGCCTACATTCGGTTACCTAATAAATGGGCAGACAGTTGTGTTATTGGCACTATTAAGCCGTCCTTTCTCTTATTACCCATAAAAATGGGTGAGCTCCTAGGTTTCCCTGTCTATGCCTCCTGAGAAAATAAAGGCATAGTTATAGGAAACTGGAAAGATAATGAGTGGCCCCCTGAAAGGATCATTCAGTATTATGGGCCTGCCACATGGGCACAAGATGGCTCATGGGGATACCAAACCCCCATCTACATGCTCAACTGGATCATACGGTTGCAGTCCGTCTAAGAAATAATTACTAATGAAACTGGCAGAGCTTTGACTGTTTTAGCTTTGCAAGAAACCCAAATGAGGAATGCTATCTATCAGAAAAGACTGGCCTTAGACTACTTGCTAGTAGCTGAAGGAGTTTGTGGAAAATTTAACTTAACCAACTGCTGCCTACAAATAAATGATCAAGGACAGGTGGTTAAAAACATAGTCAGGGACATGACAAAGGTTGCACATGTGCCTGTAGAGGTTTGGCACGAGTTTAATCCTGAGTCTTTATTTGAAAAATGGTTTCCAGCTATAGGAGGATTTAAAACCCTCATTGTAGGTGTATTGCTAGTGATAGGAACTTACTTGCTGCTCCCCTGTGTATTACTCTTGCTTTTTCAAATGATAAAAGATTTTGTTGCTACTTTGGTTCATCAGAAAACTTCAGCACACGTGTGTTATATAAATCACTATCGCTCTATCTCACAAAGAGACTCAAAAAGTAAAGATGAGAGTGAGAACTCCCACTAAAAAGTGAAAATGCTCAAAGGGGGGAAATATGGTATGAGACCACCACTTCTCCTGTTGTCCTTCCCAGTTTCTCCCCAACCTCCCCTTTTCCCTAGTTTATAAGACAGCGAAAAAGGGAGAAAGCAAAAAGCTGGAAAAAACAGAAGTAAAATAAATACCTAGACGACTTTGGCGCCACCACCTGGCCCTGGTGGTTAAAGTAACAATAATATTAACCCCTGACCAAAACTACTGTTGTTATCGGTAAATCCCAGACATTGTATGAGAAAGCACTGTAAAAACTTTTTGTTCTGTTAGCTGATGTATGTAGCCCCCAGTCACGTTCCTCAAGCTTACTTGATCTATTATGACTTTTTCACGTAGAACCCTTAGAGTTGTCAGCCCTTAAAAGGGCTAGGAATTTCTTTTTCAGGGAGCTCAGCTCTTAAGACACGAGTCTGCCGACGCTCCTGGCCCAATAAAAAAACCTCTTCCTTCTTTAATCTGGTGTCTGAGGAGTTTTGTCTGGAACTCGTCCTGCTACACTAGCTCTCCATGACTCATCCCAACCCTTTTCATTACACACAGCCGAAGTGCAGCGCTGTGCAGTTGAAATTCTTACACAAGGACCAGGATGGCGTCCTGTAGCCTTTTTGTCCAAACAACTTGACCTTACTGTTTTAGGTTGGCCGTTGTGTCTCCGTGCAGCAGCTGCTGCCACCCTAATACTTTTAAAGGCCCTTAAAATCAGAAACTATGCTCAACTCACTCTCTACAGCTCTCATAATTTCCAAAATCTATTGTCTTCCTCACACCTGCCACATATACATTCTGCTCCCCGGCTCCTTCTGCTGTACTCACTCTTTGTTGAGTCTCCCACAATTACCATTGTTCCTGGCCCAGACTTCAATCCGGCCTCCCCCATTATTCCTGATACCACACCTGACCCTCATGACTGCATCTCTCTGATCCACCTGACGTTCACCCCATTTCCCCACATTTCCTTCTTCCCTGTTTCTCACCCTTACCACACTTAGTTTATTGATGGCAGTTACACCAGGCCTAATTGCCACACACCAGCAAAAGCAGGGTATGCTATAGTACAAGCCACTAGCACGCCTCTTAGAACCTCTCATTTCCTTTCCATCGTGGAAATCTATCCTCAAGGAAATAACTTCTCAGTGTTCCATCAGCTATTCTACTACTCCTCAGGGATTCTTCAGGCCCCCTCCCTTCCCTACACATCAAGCTCAGGGATTTGCCCCCACCCAGGACTGGCAAATTAGCTTTACTCAACGTGCCCCGAGTCAGGAAACTAAAATACCTCTTGGTCTAGGTAGACACTTTCACTGGATAAGTAGAGGCCTTTCCCACAGGGTCTAAGAAGGCCACCACGGTCATTTCTTCTCTTCTGTCAGACATAATTCCTCAGTTTGGCCTTCCCACCTCTATACAGTCCGATAGCAGAACTAACTTTAGTAATCAAGTCAGCCAAGCATTTTTTCAGGCTCTTAGTATTCAGTGAAACCTTTATATCCCTTACAGTCCTCAATCTTCAGGAAAGGTAGAACAGACTGATGCTCTTTTAAAAACACACCTTACCAAGCTCAGCCACCAACTTAAAAACGACTGGACAATACTTTTACCACTTTCCCTTCTCAGAATTCCGGCCTGTCCTTGGAATGCTACAAGGTACAGCCCATTTGTTGCAGGAAGTCAGGGACCCCAAACGGAGGGACAGGCTGAAGCCATGGCAGAAGAACGTGGATTGTGAAGATTTTATGGACATTTATTAGTTCCCCAAATTAATACTTTTGTAATTTCTTATGCCTGCCTTTACTGCAATCTCTAAACATAAATTGTAAAGATTTCATGGACACTTATCACTTCCCCAATCAATATCCTTATGATTTCCTATGCCTGTCTTTGCTTTAATCTCTTAATCCTGTCAGCCGAGAAGGATGTATATCGTCTCAGGACCCTGTAATAATTGCGTTAAGTACACAAATTGTACAGCATGTGTGTTTGAGCAATATGAAATGTGGACATCCTGAAAAAAGAACAGGATAACCGCAGTCGTTCAGGGAATAAGAGAGATAACCTTAAACTCTGACCGCTGGTGAGCCCGGCAGAACAGAGCCATATTTCTCTTCTTTCAAAAGCAAATGGGAGAAATATCACTGAATTCCTTTCTCAGCATGGAACGTCCCTGAGAAAGAGAATGCGCACCTAGGGGTAGGTCTCTGAACTGGCCCCCCGGGGCTTACCTGTCTCTTAAGGTCGAGATTGCAGAGGTGAAATAAACTGCAGTCTCCCATAGCGCTCCCAGGCTTATTAGGAAGAGGAAATTCCCGCCTAATAAACTTTGGTCAGACCGGTTGATCTCAAAACCCTGTCTCCTGATAAGATGTTATCAATGACAATGGTGCCAAAACTTCATTAGCAATTTAAATTTCACTTCGGTCCTGTGGTCCTGTGATCTCGCCCTGTCTCCACTTGCCTTGTGATATTCTATTACCCTGTTAAGTACTTGATGTCTGTCACCCACACCTATTCGTATACTCCCTCCCCTTTTGAAACTCCCTAATAAAAACTTGCTGGTTTTTGTGGCTTGTGGGGCATCATGGATCCTACCAATGTGTGATGTCTCCCCCGGACGCCCAGCTTTAAAATTTCTCTCTTTTGTACTCTGTCCTTTTATTTCTCAAGCCAGTCAATGCTTAGGAAAATAGAGAAGAACCTACGTGATTATCGGGGCAGGTCCCCCGATACCCCTTGGATCTCCTGTATAGACACTCCTTTTTGTTAGGCTCCAGTCTCATTCCAGACACAAGACCAACTTGGACTGTGCCCCAAAAAACTTGTCATCCCTACTATCTTCTGTCTAGCCATACTCCTATTCACCATTCTCAACTACTCATATATGTCCTGCTCTTGTTTACACTGGTGGTTTACACTGTTTCTCCAAGCCATCACAGCTGACATCTCCTGGTGCTATCCCCAAACCACCACTCTTAACTCTTAAATAATCTTTGCTGGCAAGGCTATGCTGAACCTCCTTAGGCACTCTCTAATTAGATGTCCTAGGTCCTCCCAATTCTTAGTCCTTTAATACCTGTTTTTCTCCTTCTCTTATTCCGTTTAGTTTTTCAATTCATACAAAACTGTATCCAGGCCATCACCAATAATTTTAAATGAAAAATGTTTCTTCTAACAACCCCACAATATCACCCCTTACCACAAAATCTTCTTTCAGCTTAATCTCTCCTACTCTAGGTTCCCATGCCACCCCAATCCCACTGGAAGCAGCCCTGAGAAACATCGCCCATTGTCTCTCCATAACACCCCCCAAAAATTTTCACCATCCCAATACTTTACCACTATTTCATTTTATTTTTCTTATGAATATAAGAAGACAGGAACGTCAGGCCTCTGAGCCCAAGCTAAGCCATCATATCCCCTGTGACCTGCATGTACACATCCAGATGGCCGGTTCCTGCCTTAATTGATGACATTCCACCGCAAAATAAATGAAAATGTCCTGTTCCTGCCTTAACTGATGACATTATCTTGTGAAATTCCTTCTCCTTGCTCATCCTGGCTCAAAAGCTCCCCTACTGAGCACCTTGTGACCCCCACTCCTGCCTGCCAGAGAACCCCCCTTTTTCCTATACCTACCCAAATCCTATAAAATGGCCCCACCCCTATCTCCCTTCGCTGACTCTCTTTTTGGGCTCAGCCCACCTGCATCCAGGTGAAATAAACAGCTTTATTGCTCACAAAAAGCCTGTTTTGTGGTCTCTTCACACGGACGCGCCAGAAAAAGGGTGTCCTTTTTTTTTTTTTTTTTTTTGAGATGGAGTTTCACTCTTGTTGCCCAGGCTGGAGTGCAATGGCATGACCTCAGCTCACTGCCACCTCCTCCTCCTGGGTTCAAGCAACTCTCTTGCCTCATCTTCCCCAGTAGCTGGGATTGCAGGCATACGCCAACATGCCCGGCTAATTTTGTATTTTTAGTAGAGATGGGGTTTCTCCATGTTGGTCAGGCTGGTCTCAAACTCCTGACCTATGGTGATCCACCCGCCTCGACCTCCCAAAGTGCTGGGATTACAGGCATGAGCCACTGCGCCGGGACAAAAGTGTCCTCTTATAAGGACACTTGTCTTTAGATGTACAGCCTACCTAAATTACTCCAGGATAATCTCGAGATCCTTAATTACATCTGCAAAGACCCTTTTTCCAAATAATGCCACCTCCACAGATTCTAGGCACAAGGATCTGGATATATATTGTGCAAAGCCACCATTCAGCTCACTACACTAGAAAGAGGAAAAACAACGAAGTAACAAAAGGCGCAGAAGAAAGAACAGATGCAGCTTGTGTGGCAGTGGCCATCGAGGCAGGATGGGGTAAAACTGTGTTAACAGAACCCCGAGATGGAACTCAAGTGTGGCCGTCTACTCCCAGCTACTCACAGAGAACGTTTCTGTTTCTGACAGCAGAGTAAGAGAAGGGGTGGGAAGAGAGATAGCCCATTCTCTGTTGGCCTAATTCCTAAGTAATTGTGCCTCTGCCTTCGGGTCATTCTCAAGTCTTGTTCAAGGACAAAATGATTTATTGATGGCCATAATTAAAAAGCAATGCCAACAGAAGCAGCCTCACCATTTTTCATTTGTACTTACACATGAGCGAGAGCAGTTTAGGGAAACGGGTGTCTTCAGGTTCTGTTTTCTCCATCTAGAAAAGGGCTGCCTTCGTGGAATGCTGGTCCTGGGGAGAAGCCTCATTTCTATAGCAGGAATTGATAGAGTTTTAAATTCCGATTGGTACATGGAGCTACCCGTCCTCATTTCAAGCACTTCTGGTTAGTTCTGGGTTCAGTGGGTGAGCAATGAGTAGAACTCTGGGGAGGAGGATTTGGAGTGAGCGTGGTTTTGATCCCCAGAGGGAGTTGTTTTTCCATCAATGTCTTGACTGTGATTCAGAATGGGCTTCTCCGTTCAAGATGGGAGTACTGGGCTAATTTAAGGCCGGTGATTGACTTGATTTGGTGGCTACTTTTATACTAGCTGGTTAACGAGCTATTTTCTTCATTAGTTTCAGGCATATGAGCGTAATGAAGCACTGGACCTCCCAAATTACAAGGAAAATACAGATATAGCTTATGTGGTAGGTTCAAAGGAGTTAGTGAACAAACACAGTAGGGACACAAATTCTTGTTAAAGACATGAATGTATGAAAGTGTATCTATGTCCAAATGGACCCTCTGCAAGCATACTGTTCCACCTGAAAATTAGTACATAGAAATTCAGCAAATGCTTGGACAGGGGATATTCTCAGAAGTATTCTGACTCAATAGCATGGTTTATTTTCATATCACTAAAGTAATTTCTTCTCAAATTGACTCTGGACTAAATCTTATGATACCTACTTGTTCCGATTGTACTTAGCCACCTGCAAATAAGGTGGAGGCAGTGGTAAGAGGAGCTGTTGAATGAAATGAAACATTTGTTGGATGCCTACTGAAGATAAAGCCCTGTGCTTTGTGCCAGGGAGATTCCAGAATAAATGAGGCACAGACCTACTCTCAGGAAGCTTTTGCAAACTAATGGAGAAAACACATCTGCAGGCAATGACTTATGGTATAAGAGGAAATGGGGCCAGATACGGTGACTCACACCTGTAATCCCAGCACTTTGGGAGGCCGAGGTAGGTGGATCACTTGAGGTCAGGAGTTCAAGAGCAGCTTGGCCAACATGGCGAAACCCTTTCTCTACTAAAAGTACAAAAAGAAAAAAAAAAAAAATGAGCCAGGCTTGATGGTGTGCACCTGCAATCCCAGCTACTTGGGAGGCTGAGGCACAAGAATCACTTAAACCTGGGAGGTGGACACTGTAGTGAGCCGAGATCCCACCACTGCACTCCAGCCTAGAAGACAGAGCGAGACTGTCAAAATAAAAAAAAAAGGAAATAAGATTGGTGTTGAATGGGAAATCTAAGGAGGATGGAATGACAGGAGAGCGCCCACTTGCCCAGCTCCAATAACACTTTTGACAGCCATGACAATATTGCAGGGACACCCATTCGTCATGGTATCTGAAGTCCCATGAAAGCTTGAGTCTGGAGGCTGGTTCAGTCTTGACTTTAAGATAAGGGGATACAAGGAATGATTTTCATCTATCCCAAGCCAATAGTCCAGCCAAAAATCTAGGTCTGAGATGATGAGAAAAAGCAAGTCATCAACCATGTCAGCCATTTCATCATCATCATCATCATCATCATCATCATCAAAAACAAAAGACAGACCTGTAACCGTCTTGTGTGCCTGGCTCTCAGTTCACAATATAGAAGTAAATTCTATGGCCAGCGAACAATGAGCAAAATAGCTCTCATCACTCTTGTCTGCCACCATGTAAGACATTCCTTTTGCCTTCCACCATGATTTCGAGACTTCTTCAGCCACATGGAACTGTGAGCCCATTAAACCTCTTTTTCTTTATAAATTACCCAGTCTTGAGTAACAAAATAGTGGTTTGTCCACAACATCAATGAACGATGCTGTTACTTGTTCCAAACACGTATCATTTAAGAGGTTTGGATAAACAACATCCTAAAATAAATAAGCACTAAGCAAACTCAGGGCTACATAATCCCTGTGGTGAGCTAACTGACAATGGGTACAACTGGGACACTTTACCGTTAAATCACCTCTATCTACATGTGCCCAAGCAGTGACATACTTGGTTTTAATCCTAAAAAATCATGGTGCACATTTACTCCTGCCTTCCAACTGGGCTCTAACGTCACCTCCTCAGAGAAGCCCGCTTTTCTGTGCTTCCACTCTGCCTTTTTTCAGCATTTAGTAGAGCATCAGTCACCATCCATATCTGGGAACAATGATTGTAAGAAACAGAAACCCATTTGCATGAGCTTGAGGACAAGAAACACACCTTATCTCTAACAGGCAAACTCATGGGCACAAGAAACAAATGAGAGGCCATGAGAGAATGGAAACTGCAGTTACAGAAACCAAAATTCCTCTTTCTTGCTCTCAGAAGCCCATGGTCTCTTTCTTTTTTTTCTTTTTTTGTTCTTTTTTTTTTTTTTTTTTGAGACGCAGTCTCGCTCTGTCGCCCAGGCTGGAGTGCAGTGGTGCAATCTCAGTTCACTGCAAGCTGCACCTCCTGGGGTTAACGCCATTCTCCCACCTCAGCCTCCCAATTAGCTGGGGCTACAGGCACCCGCCACCACACCCAGCTAATTTTTGTATTTTTAGTAGAGATGGGCTTTCACCGTGTGAGCCAGGATGGTCTCGATCTCCTGACCTCGTGATCCGGCCATCCTGGCTTCCCAAAGTGCTGGGATTACAGGCGTGAACCACCGCACCTGGAAGCCCATGGTCTTTCTTATCAGCCCTGTGGACTTTCTTATCTCTTCTTCTCACTCACAACCAATTTTCCCTTTTTGCTGGTGGCCCACCCTGGCAGCCAGCAGAGCCCACCGCCAGCTGATCAATCAGTTACTGGATATCTTGGAGAGGGAGGGAGGGAGGAAGGAAGAGAGGGAGAGGGAGAGAGAGAGAGAGAATGACAATTGGGCTTCTGGCCAACCAATTGAGTATAGGGAGGGGAAGTACCATGGTACAAATATGGCTCCAAGACCTGCTTTCCAGCATGGCCAGTGAGTAGGGAAATTGAGGGAAGGTACCTGCAAACACAGCAGACATCTCAGAACATGCTCTCTGTTCTTAGTTCTCTCTCCTGCCTTCTCCTAGATTGTAAATATCACAAGACAATCTAGGATAGTACCTGGCTCAAAATATTTGAGAAAGAGGAAAAGGAAGACACTGCATCAAACTGTAGACTACATGGTTTCCTAAATTCACTCTGCAAGTTTTTGGGTTTTTTGTTTTTTGAGACAGAGTCTCGCTCTGCTGCCCAGGCTGGAGTGCAATGGGATAATCTTGGCTCACTGCAACCTCCACCTCCCAGGTTCAAGCAAATCCCCTGCCTCAGCCTCCTGAGTAGCTGGGATTACAGGCACGCACAGCTATACCAGTTAATTTTTGTATTTTTAGTACAGACGGGGTTTCACCATGTTGGCCAGGCTGGTCTCGAAATCTTGACCTCGTGATCCACCCACCTCGGCTGCCCAAAGTGCTGGGATTACAGGTGTGAGCCACCACACCTGGCCGACTCTGCAAGTATTTAAGTGAATGAATGTCAGTCCCTGAGAATCAGAATTTCTTCTGATTTAACGGCATTAAATCTCCCTTAGGTTTAATCCTGGTCAGCAGCTGTGGGGTGTCCTGGGTTTGGGATCAGTGGGATGAGGAACAAGCAGGTTCTCCAAACCACCACGCAGGGAGGGGAGGTGTTAACTAGGCCAAAGATGATGGGTGGGGTATGTGCCTGGGTTTCAAACAGCTTATGCCAGGCCTAAAAACAGACGCTGAGGCAGAAACTGTATTAAGCAAATTGATGACACAATGGAGGAGGTCAAAAAGTTTAATATTGCTAAGAAGAATACAAATACTGATCATGCAATATGTTATTGTTATCATACCATCTCCTGCTACACGCCAGGTTTCCTTTGCCATGAGATAGAAGAGATTTGTGGATCTGACCTAACCCTCCAAATTATAAGGTCTCTGAGAGTGGGCTCATGACATTCATGTTTTATAAATGTGGCATAAAGGTTAATGCTGGCTGCCATGTGACCCAATGCCAGTTTGACGCTGCATTCAAAGAACCATCGTTCCAGCATCCAAGCACACTTAAAGGCAATTGAAATGTTTACCGCCTTCCCTCAAGACAAACACCAAATAAAAATTATTTTCAAAATGCATAGCAACACTTCTTAAAATCTTATTTTCCCATCTCTTTCTCTCTCTCTACCACATTCCCAGGAGTTTCCCAGGAGCAAAACTGTCATAAAGACCCAGGAGCAAAATGATTAGTGACTTCACGATATCTGATTCTCATTTAGTTGGTTTAGAGTGGTGTCCGGGCATACGTATTTTTTAAAATCTTGCTGGGCACAGTGGCACACACCTGTAGTCTCAGCTACTCAGGAGGCTAAGGCAGAAGAATCACCTGAGCCCAGGAGTTTGAGTCCAGCCTGGGCAACGTAGCAAGACCCTGTCTCTGAAAAAAAAGAAAAAAAAGCAAAAACAAATCTCTCTCAGCTTCAGTCAGGGTTGATAACTAGTTGATCAAAAAATTGTGGTAGCCATCCTTCACAATGGACCTTAATATTCCCACCTCCTGGTGTTATTCACTGTGGAATCTGTCTTAGCTAGTCCTCAATTGGGTCTGGTATCCAGGCCCCACCTTGAGAGTCTAGTCCCACCTCCTACCCCACACATGGTTTTACACTTACTTTCAAGACTGGCCTAAAAATGTAAAATGTATTTGTTTTGACCTTGTTTCCAATGAAACAACTGTTCTAAACATTCCTTTAGGATGGTTAGGGAAATTTGAACACCGGCTAAATATTAGAAGATATTTGTTTCAAAATAACCCAGCTTGGTAATGAGATGATGGCGGCTGAGGCTGGTGATAGGCACAGAGGGCTTCATTATCAAATATAAACAAGTGGAAAAAACAGAACTTTTCCATAATACAAATATAAGGTAAACAAGAAAGTGTATTGAGTGCATAAAAAGAATCTATGGTCTCACAGGTATTAGCTTATAATTTGAACATCAAAAATAAAAGTGACAGCCGGGTGCAGTGGCTGATGCCTGTAATCCCAGCACTTTGGGAGACCTAGGTGGGTGGATCACTTAAGCCCAGGAATTTGAGACCAGCCTGAGCAACATAGTGAGACCCCCATCTCTAAAATAAATAAATACAAATAAAAGTGACTAGAATTGATTATAGAACATCAACTCGATTTGAGTCTATAAAGATTACTGGTGGAGGGGGGCAATGGGGAGAAGGAGGAAGAGAATATATTTGTGACCTAGATTATTTTCCTTAGTTTTGAGAGAATCTTTGGGTCTCCTGGGTCTTCTAGCCCAGTATTTATTTTTATTTTTTATTTATTTGTGTATTTTTTTTTTATGTTTTTAGATGGAGTCTCACTCTGCCACCAGACTGGAGTGCAGTGGTGCGATCTCGGGCCACTGCAACTTCCGCCTCCCAGGTTCAATCTATTCTCCTGTCTCAGCCCCCCAAGTAGCTGGGACTACAGGTACCTGCCACTTCACCCAGATAATTTTTTTTTTTTTTTTTTTTTGAGACAGAGTCTGGCTCTGTTGCCCAGGCTGGAGTGCAGTGGTGCAATCTCGGCTCACTGCAAGCTCCTCCTCGAGGTTCATGCCATTCTCCTCCCTCAGCCTCCCGAGTAGTTGGGACTACAGGAACCTGCCACCACGCCCGGCTAATTTTTTTGTGTTTTTAGTAAAGACAGGGTTTCATCGTGTTAGCCAGGATGGTCTCGATCTCCTGACCTCGTGATCTGCCCGCATCGGACTCCCAAAGTGCTGGGATTACAGGCATGAGCCACTGTGCCCGGCCGCACCCAGCTAATTTTTGTATTTTTTGTAGAGATGGTGTTTCACCATGTTGATCCAGGCTGGTCTCAAACTCCTGACCTCAGGTGATCCGGCCGCCTTGGCATCCCAAAATACAAGGATTACAGGCATGAGCCACCACACCCTACCTATTTTCCTTAGTTTTCAGAGAACCTTTGTGTCCCCTGAGTGTTCTAGCCCAGTATATCTCAAACTTTGCTGCATCAAGGACCTTGTTGAAATGCAGGTTCTCATCTGGGAGGCTCAGTGGGCCGGCAAATCTGCACTAGTTTAGGAAGCTCACCCTGAGTATCAAGCTTCAGTGAGGATCAGGCAGACCCCTGCCTACCAACCCCCTCTCAGCTGGGCTTAACTCTGGCTCTCTCCTGCCAGGGTTCCTCCTCTCAAAATAGGAGCTATTTTCAAAAAGTCTCTTGGAAAAAAAGCCCTGTTTTAAAATTGGGGTGTTCAGGATTGGCCATCTGCTCACCATGGGGTTTTAAGACCTTTGCCCAGAACCCTGCAACCAACTTAGAACTGACGTCTTTACTTTTGAAGGCCCCACTCCACACCATATTAAATTCATTAAAATCAACCCCCATTACAGGCATATCTCAGGCATCATGCCCTCAGAAAGGAGTTGCAGCTGATCCCTTGACAATGTTGTAAGGCATTAAACATGCATTCATTTCAGCCTTGCAGTTTTCACATTTAGGAGCCAATTGTCTTAGGTCTAAAGCATTCATGTCGAAGCATTGTTATGGGCCCCAGACACTATGCTTCCCAGCCTTCATGGCCTCTGCAATGCTGGTTCCTACTGCCCCACCCCTGGGTTCTGGCCAGCTAGCCCGCGCCACCTCACTGCTCCCCCATTCAAGTGTGCCTTAAATGTGTGGTTTCCAAACTCATCTACACTTTAGGGTCACCTGAGATTTTTTTTTTAAATCTTCCAAAACCCAGGCCACACCCAAGAACAATTAAACCTCAACTTCTGGAATGGGACATAGACTCCGTTTTTTGTTTTGTTTTGTTTCTGAGACAGGGCCTCGCTCTGTTACCCAGGCTGGAGTGCAGTGGCACAATCATAGCTCACTACAGGCTCCAACTCCTGGGCTCAAGAAACCCTCCCACTTCAACCTCCATGGTAGCTGGGATCACAGGCGGGCAACACCACGCCTGGCTAATTTTTAAATTTTTTATAGAGACAGTATCTCCTTATGTTCTCCAGGCTAGTCTCAAACTCCTGGGCTCAAGTGATACTCCCGCCTCAGCGTCCCAAACTGCTGGGATTATAGGCATGAGCTACCATGCCTGGACATCAGCATCTGTATTTTTTGAAGCACAGACGAGTTTGGGAACTACCGCGCTAGACTGAGCTCGGATTCCTAGCCCTGTCTGACCGTAGGATTCGGCTGGGCTGCTTCTGAAAACAGAGCTCCCCAGGCTCCTTCCCAGGTAATTCTGATTCATTAGGTCTGGGGTGGGCCCCGGAATGTGCATTTTTTATGAGATCCCTCTGGGTGAATCTGGCTAAAGCCAGTTTGGGATCTGAGACCTTGGAGATCATTCCCCAGCTTCCCTCCTAACCCAGTTCCCGGCTTGGCCCACCTCACCCAGGCTGTGTCACGTCTGACTTCGCAGATTACACCTGAGAGGGAAGCCCCAGCCATCACAATGTGAGAACATTTTACAATGACGAGGAAATGCCAAGTACATTTTAAGACTCATTCAGGATTAGCGTTCACCTTAAACTTGACAGACTCAGAGAATGGGCTGGCCACGTGCTGTGCACAACCCTTAGTGCCCTTCTGTGACTAATATTTGGATAATTGATTGTTGGAAGCTCAGGAAGCCTCTCTCTCTCAGAGGGGTTGAAGTTAACTTCTTTATTTCTGAGGTAGGGAAGAAAATGAGGATGTTCTGCCTTTTGCTAGACTGAATACTGTCCTCCAAAAATTCACATTCACCAGGAATCCCAGAATGTGACCTTATTAGAAAATAGGGGCAGGGCATGGTGGCTCATGCTTGTAATCTTAGCACTTTGGGAGGCTGAGGCAGGAGGATCACTTGAGGTCAGGAGTTCGAGACCAGCCTGGCTAGCATGGCAAACCCTGTCTCTACTAAAAACATAAAAATTAGCTAGGCATAGTGGCATGCACCTGTAATCCCAGCTACTTCAGAGGCTGAGGCTGAAGAATCACTTGAACCCAGGAGGCAGAGTTGAAGCGAGCTGAGATTGTGTCACTGAACTCCAGCCTGGGCAACAGAGCAAGACTCCATCACAAAAAAAAGAAAAGAAAATAGGGTCACTGCAGATCTAATTACAAAGAGGTCATATTGGAATAGCGTGAACCTTAAATCGAGTAATAATGACATCCTCATGGGAAGAGAAGAAGAGACAGAGACACACAGGGGAGAAGGCCACATGAGAATGAAGGAAGAGAAAGGAATGATGTGGCCACAAGCCAAGGAATGCCAGCAACCACCAGAAGCCAGAAGAGGCAAGGAAGGATTCATCCCTAGAGCCTTCAGAGGGAGCACGGCCCTGCCGGTTTCAGACATCAAGCTTCTGGAACTGGAGAGAATGACTTTCTGTTATCCTGAGCCACCCATTTGGGGAACTTTGTTAGAACAGTCACAGCCAGGTCATGTGCTCCTGGATGCATCTCAGGCATTAATAAGCTCTGTCCTGGCCAGTCAGGGTTGCTCACCCTTGTAATCCCAGCACTTTGGGAGGCTGAGGTGTGTAGATCACCTGAGGTCAGGAGTTTGAGACCAGCCGGACCAACATGGAGAAACCCCATCTCTACTAAAAATACAAAAATTAGCTGGGTGTGGTGTTGTGCACCTGTAATCCCAGCTACTTGGGAGGCTGAGGTAAGAGAATCACTTGAACCCTGGAGGCAGAGGTTGCAGTGAACCGAGACTGCGCCATTGCCCTCCAGCCTGGGCAACAAGAGCAAAACTCCGTCCCCCCAAAAACATAAGTACTGTCTTGACTGTGGTCATCAAAAATATTTGATTAAGGGTTAGCTAGAAAGCATGACCCTTTCACAGACAGACGGAAGGGCCAAAAGAAAATAGATTGTTTGCAGTGGGGCAAGAAGGATAAGAATCCTATGGAAAAAAAAAATAACAGAGGGATTTGTTTAGTAAGCGCTGGGGAGAGGCATTTGTCTTCTTGCTTAAAAAAGAAACACAGGTTGGGTGCGGTGGCTAAAGCCTTAATCCCAGCACTCTGGGAGGCCAAGGTGGGTGGATCACCTAAGGTCAGGAGTTCGAGACCAGCCTGGCCAACACTGTGAAACCCCATCTCTACTAAAAAGACAAAAATAAAGAAAGAAAGAAATTAGCTAGGCATGGTGGCGGGCACCTGCAATCCCAGCTATTCGGGTGGCTGAGGCAGAGAATCACTTGAACCTGGGAGGCACAGGTTGCAGTAAGCCAAGATGGCATCACTGCACTCCAGCCTAGGCAACAAGAGTGAAACTCTGTCTCAACCAAAAAGAAAGAAAGAAAGAAAACCATAGTTTTAAGTCCACTCAGTGGAGTTTAAAAATACATTCCCATTGCACAGTGCTTTTGGAATCTTTTCTAAACTTCTGTTGCACATGGTCTAATTTGATCTTCATAGCAACTCCCTGAGGTGGATAGGGCAGGCCTTTCTGAACACCTATTTTCTAGTTTGCATTAAAAGAACGGAATTGGCTGGGACCAGTGTCTCATGCCTATAATCCCAAAACTTTGTGATACAGAAGGGAAGTGCTCAGAAGGGAAGAATGTGGTCCCTTTAAATGATATGGAAGTGAGGAAGGGAAGTACTGGGTAGAGGAGGTTGTGGTCCCTGGCTAGGGGTCCACCTCAGGGCCTGTGTCCATGGACCTAGGTGAGGACAGGCATTTTTGTTTTCCTGCCCAGATGTTGCATTTCCCAAGACCACCCTGGCTGCCACATCCCCATTCTGTGCCTATAAAAACCCTGAGACACTAGCAGGCAGACACACAGGCAGCTGGACTTCAAGAGGAGCACATCAGCAGAGGAACACAAGGGTGCTGGACGTCAAGAGGAATGCACCAATGGGCACCGACACACCGCAGGCCACTGACGGCAGAACAACGCAGAGTTTGGCTGGGACATTCGGAGAAGAGTCTGGCCAATCACCCAACTCCAGGGGTAAACCATCTCCCTTCTGGCTCCCCCATCTGCTGAGAGATACTTCCACTCAATAAAACCTTGCACTCTCACGCCTGTAATCCCAGGACTTTGGGAGGCCGAGGTGGGCAGATCACGAGGTCAGGAGCTCCAGACCATCCTGGCTAACACAGTGAAACCCCATCTCTACTAAAAATACAAAAAAATTAGCCAGGCGTGGTGGCGGGTGCCTGTAGTCCCAGCTACTTGGGAGGCTGAGGTAGGAGAATGGCGTGAACCCAGGAGTCGGAGCTTGCAGTGAGCTGAGATCGCACCACTTCCGGTACACCAAGGCAAGAACCCCGGGACAAAGAGAGCCCTCTCTCCTTGCAATAAGGCGGGGGTCTAATTGAGCCGACTAACACAAGCTACCTACAGACGGCTAAACTAAAAGAGCACCCTGTAACACACGCCCACTGGGGCTTCAACTATAAACATTCACCCCTGGACACTGCCATGGGTCTCCCTGCCTGTCTACATGCTCTCCTAGAGGTTTGAGCAGTGGGGCACTGAATAAATGAACCACACCCGCATCGCATGCCCTTCGAGGGGGACAACAGAACTTTTCCCATTTCATCTGAGAGGCCAAGGCAGGAGGATCGCTTGAGCCCATGAGTTTGAGACCAGCCTACACAACATAGCAAGATACCATCTCTACAAAAAAAATAAGTAAACAAAAAAAAAGCATTAAAAATTAGCCAGCTGTGGTGGCACACACCTGTAGTTTCAGCTACTCAGGAGGCTGATGTGGAAGGATTGATTGAGCCCAGGAGATTGAGGCTGCAGTGAGCCAAGATTGAACCACTGCACTCTAGCCTGGGCGACAGAGTGAGACCCTGTTTCGACAACAACAAAAAGAATGGAACAAAATAACTTCTCAAATAGCTAGCAGAGGGAGATCTGGTTCTCAAATGCAGGTTTTCCAGGTTTCAATTCTTGTTTCTAGCAGTATTATGGAGAAACATGATCACTAATACATGAAGGAGAGGAGGTTTCAAGTTCTGATGAAAAGATGGTAAAGAGAGGAGTTAATTGACTAGGAGTGACTAGGAATAGGAAGAAAACGCATGACACTACTTAGAGGAAAGAAGAAAAATAAGCATAGAGGTGACTGAGCAGACAGAAAGGACTTGGAAGAAGCGTGTTTGGCCCTGTCTCTAAATTTTTTCCCTTGCATTAGTAACTTCCCTGATGACTTGGATGAATCTTCTCTTCCAGGGTACCTAGTGTTCCCTTTCTGTCCACTTCTCCTTTCCCAGGGCCCATACAGTCTGGGAAAGCATGCTCTGCAGGCTTCTCATATCTTTCCTTCCTTAATCTGCCCCTAGCATCTCTACATAACACATATACCCCTGGAGTTCCACATGTTCCAGTCTTTGCACTGCAGTGAATTCAAAGAATGGTAGACTCTAGCTGGGCGCAGGGGCTCACACCTGAATCCCAGCACTTTGGGAGGCTGAGGCAGGTCACTTGAGGCCAGGAGTTCAAGACCAGGCCTGGCCAACATGGTGAAACCCCATCTCTACTAAAAATACAAAAATTAGCTGGGCTTGGTGGTACATGCCCAGTAGTCCCAGCTTCTGGGGAGGCTGAGGCAGAAGAATTGCTGGAACCCAGGAGGCAGAGGTTGCAGTGAGCTGAGATCGTGCCACTGCACTCCAGCAGACTGGGCAACAGAGCCCAGTCTCAAAAAAAACACAAAGACAAAACTAAACAAAAAAAAATCAAAAAACAAAAAACGCGCACACACAAAAAAACAAAGGTAGACTCCAATAGGAAAAATTCACTCAAAAGCAACTCAAATAATTATTCAGTCAACCCAGTTCTATCTCAGTTCTTTATTATGTATATAAACTTATTCTGTCCAGATTCCCTAGTTTTCTTTTTCTTATCTTTTTTGTTTTCTTTTGAGACAGGACCTCACTCTGTCACCCAGTCAGGATTATAGTGGCACAATCATGGCTCACTGCAGCCTCAACCTCCTGGGCTGAAGTAGTTCTCCCACCTCAGCCTCCCAAGTAACTGGGACTACAGGTGCATGCCACCATGCTCAGCACCTTTTTGTATTTTTTGTAGAAACGGGGTCTCACTATGTGGGCCAGGCTGGTCTTGAACTCCTGGACTCAAGAAGTCCACCTGCCTCAACCTCCCAAAGGGCCAAGATTACAAGCATGAGCCACTGCATCTGGCTGATTCCTTAGTTTTCTTTTTCTCTTTGCCCATTGCCTGGATTCCATAAGCAGAAGGAAAACCCAGGGACTGACTTTGTAGGCAAGACTCTTTCCTCTTCAAAACGTAAATTGGCTCAAGTGGTACCAAAACTGAAACATGTTTATAACTTAACATCTTTTCTTCCTACCCCTTCAATCTCTTGAGCAATGAGAAAAGGCACTGGGCTCTTTATTTGTGTAGGGAAAAGAAAGAGAGATCAGACTGTCACTGTATCTATGTAGAAAGGGAAGACATAAGAGACTCCATTTTGAAAAAGATCTGTACTTAAAACAATTGCTTTGCAGAGATGTTGTTCATTTGTAGCTTTGCCCCAGCCACTTTGCCCCAACCACTTTGACCCAACTTGGAGTTCACAAAAACATGTGTTGTATAAAATCAAGGTTTGAGGGATCTAGGGCTGTGCAGGACGTGCCTTGTTAACCAAATGTTTACAAGCAGTATACTTGGTAAAAGTCGTTGCCATTCTCTAGTCTCAATAAACCAGGGGCACAATACACTGTGGAAAGCCGCAGGGACCTCTGCCCTTGAAAGCAGGGTATTGTCCAAGGTTTCTCCCCATGTGATAATCTGAAATATGGCCTCGTGGGATGAGAAAGACCTGACTGTCCCCCAGCCCGATACCCATAAAGGGTCTGTGGTGAGGTGAATTAGTAAAAGAGGAAAGCCTCTTGCAGTTGAGATGGAGGAAGGCCACTGTCTCTTGCCTGCCCCTGGGAACTCAAAGTCTCGGTGTAAAACCCGATTGTACATTTGTTCAAGTCTGAGATCGGAGAAAAGCTGCCCTGTGATGGGAGGCAAGACATGTTTGCAGCAATGCTGCCTTGTTATTCTTTACTCCACTGAGATTTTTGGGTGGAGAGAAACATAAATCTGGCTTACGTACATGTCCAGTCATAGTACCTTCCCTTGAACTTAATTATGATATAGATTCTTTTGCTCACATGTTTTTTGTTGACCTCCTTATTATCACCCTGCTCTCCTAGTATATTCCTTTTTGCTGAAATAATGGAAATCATAATCAATAAAAACTGAGGGAACTCAGAGGCCGGTGCCTGTGCATGTCCTTGGTGTGCTGAGTGCCGGTCCCCTGGACCCACTGATGTTTCTCTATACTTTGTCTCTGTGTCTTATTTCTTTTCTCCGTCTCTCATCCCACCTGACTAGAAATACCCACAGGTGTGGAGGGGCAGACCACTCCTTCATCTGGAGCCCAGCGTGGGGCCCTTCTCTAGGGTGAAGGTACGCTAAGAACGTGAGCATTGAGGACAGCCGATGAGAGATTCCCGAGTACGTCCACAGTCAGCCTTGCGGTTAGCTTGTGTGCTGGGAGGAATCCAGGATAACAATGGGGCAAACTGAAAGTAAATATGCTTCTTATCTCAGCTTCATTAAAATTCTCTTAAGAAGAGGGGGAGTTAAAGCTTCTACAGAAAATCTAGTTACGCTATTTCAAACAATAGAACAATTCCGCCCATGGTTTCCAGAAAAGGGAACTTTAGATTTAAAAGATTGGGAAAAAATTGGCAAAGAACTAAAACAAGCAATTAGGGAAGGTAAAATCATCCCACTTACAGTATGGAATGATTGGGCCACTATTAAAGCAACTTTAGAACCATTTCAAATAGAAGAAGATAGGGTTTCAGTCTTTGATGCCCCTGAAAGCTGTGTAATAGATTGTGAAGAAGAGGCAGGAACAGAGTTTAAGAAAGGAATGGAAAGTTCACATTGTAAAAATGCAGTACAGCCTGTACTGACTTGGTCAATGCAGAATGTTGACTATAATCAATTACAGGAGGTAATATATACTGAATCATCAAAATTGGGGGAAGGAGGTCCAGAATTATTTGGGCCATCAGAGTTTAGAACACAATGGCCACCAACTCCTTCTCCCGCGGTTCAGATGCCTGTGATGTCACAATCTCAAATGCCAATCCAGGCACAGTATCCGCAATACCAGCCAGTAGAAAATAAAACCCAACCATCGGTAGTTTATCAACACCAGCCGCCAGCCGCATTTCAGTATCCGCCGTCTCCAGAGGTTCAGTATGGATCTCAGGCGGTGCGTCCTGTGCCAAATAGCAAGGCACTATATCAACAACCCACGGCGATGGCGTTTGATCTTACGGTACCACCTAGTGGACAAGATAGTGCACTGCATGAGACCATTGCTACAGCCAGAAAACAGGGAGATCTTGAGGCATGGCAATATCCGGTAATGTTACAACCGATGCCGGCTGGGAAAGGCAGTCAAGCAGGAGCGTCTGTCTGAGCTGAGACTAGATATGAATCTTTCACCATAAAAATGTTAAAAGATATGAAGGAAGGAGTTAAGCAATATGGACCTAAATCTCCTTATATGAGAACATTATTAAATTCCATTGCTCATGGAAATAGACTTATTCCTTATGATTGGGAAATTCTGGCTAAATCTTCCCTTTCACCCTCTCAGTATCTCCAGTTTAAAACCTGGTGGATTGATGGGGTACAAGAACAGGTACGAAAAAATCAGGCTACTAATCCTGTTGCTTATATAGATGAAGACCAATTGCTAGGAAAAGGTCCAAACTGGGGCACTATTAACCAACAATCAGTAATGAAAATGAGGCTATTGAACAACCAAGGGCTATTTGCCTCAGGGCCTGGGAAAAGATTCAGGACCCAGGAACCTCATGCCCTTCTTTTAGTTCAATCAGACAAGGCTCTAAAGAGCCATATCCAGAGTTTGTGGCAAGGTTGCAAGATGCAGCTCAAAAATCCATTGCAGGTAACGCCCGAAAAGTTATTGTAGAAAAAATGGCTTATCAAAACGCATATCCAGAGTGTCAATCAGCCATAAAGCCATTAAGAGGAAAGGTTTCAGCAGGAGTTGATGTAATTACAGAATATGTGAAGGCTTGTGATGGGATTGGAGGAGCTATGCATAAGGCAATGCCATTGGCTCAAGCAATTACAGGGTTTGCTTTAGGAGGACAAGTTAAACATTTGGGGGAAAATGTTATAATTGTCGTCAAATCGGTCATCTAAAAAACAATTGCCCAGGCTTAAATAAACAGCAAAAAAAAAAAAAAAAAGAGCCACCTGGCCTGTGTCCAAGATGTGGAAAAGGAAAACATTGGGCTAAGGCATGTCGTTCTAAATTTGATAAAAATGGACAACCGTTGTCGGGAAACGGCAAGAGGGGCAAGCCCCAGGCCCCGCAACAAAGTGGGGCACTCCCGATTCAGCCATTTGTTCCTCAGGGTTTTCAGGGACAACAACCCCCACAGTAAATACCACCATTTCAGGAAATCAGCCAATTACAATACGACAATTATCCTCTGCCACAGCAGGCAGTGCTGCAGTAGATTTATGTTCTACTCAGATGATTTCTTTACTCCGTGGAGAGCCCCTGCAAAAGATTCCTACACGGGTATATGGCCCACTGCCACAAGGGATGGTAGGCCTTATTTTAGGAAGATCTAGTCTAAATTTGAAAGGAGTTCAAATTCATACTGGGGTAATTGACTCAGATTATAAAGGGGAAATTCAGTTAGTGATCAGCTGTACTGTTCCTTGGAGTGCCAATCCAGGTGATAGAATTGCTCAGTTACTGCTCTTGCCTTATATTAAAATTGGGGATAGCAAAACAGAAAGAACAGGAGGGTTTGCAAGTACCAACACTGCTGGAAAAGCTGTTTATTGGGCTAGTCAGCTCTCAGAGAATAGACCTGTGTGTACAGTTACTATTCATGGAAAACAGTTTGAAGGATTAGTGGATACTGGGTCTGATGTTTCTATCATTGCCTTAAATCAATGGCCAAAAAATTGGCCTAAACAAAAGCCTGTTACAGGACTTGTTGGTGTGGGCACTGCCTCAGAAGTGTATCAAAGTGCCAGGATTTTACATTGTCTAGGACCTGATAATCAAGAGAGTACAGTTCAGCCTATGATTACTTCTATTCCAATTAATTTATGGGGCCGAGACTTATTAGAACAGTGGCATGCAGAGATTACTATTCCAGTCTCTCTATACAGCCCCACGAGTCAAAAAATCATGACTAAAACGGGATATCTCCCTGGCAAAGGACTAGGGAAAAATGGAGAAGGCATCAAAGTTCCAATTGAGGCTAAGGGAAATCCAGAAAGAAAAGGACTAGGGTATCCTTTTTAGGGGTGGCCACTGTAGAGCCTCCAAAGCCCATTTCATTAACTTGGAAAACAGAAAAGTCTGTATGGGTAAATCAGTGGCCACTACCAAAACAAAAGCTGGAGGCCTTACACTTATTGGCAAAATAACAATTAGAAAAGGGACATACTGAGCATTCATTTTCGCCTTGGAATTCTCCTGTGTTTGTAATTCAGAAAAAATCAGGCAGATGGCGCATGCTAACTGATTTAAGAGCCGTTAATGCAGTAATTCAACCCATGGGGCCTCTCCAACCTGGGCTGCCCTCTCCAGCCATGATCCCCAAAGATTGGCCTTTAATTATAATTGATCTGAAGTATTGCTTTTTTACCATTCCTCTGGCAAAACAGGATTTTGAAAAATCGGCTTTCACTATACCAGCCATAAATAATAAAGAACCAGCCACTAGATTTCAGTGGAAAGTGTTGCCTCAGGGAATGCTTAATAGTCCAACTATTTGTCAGACTTTTGTAGCTCAAGTTCTTCAACCAGTTAGAGACAAGTTTTCAGACTGTTATATCATTCATTATGTTGATGATATTTTGTGTGTTGCAGAAACAAGAGACAAATTAATTGACTGTTACACATTTCTGCAGACAGAGGTTGCAAACGCAGGCCTGACAATAGCATCTGATAAGATTCAGACCTCCACTCCTTTTCATTATTTGGGAATGCAGGTAGAGGAGAGAAAAATTAAACCACAAAAAGTAGAAATAAGAAAAGACACATTAAGAACATTAAATGACTTCAAAAATTGCTAGGAGATATTAATTGGATTCGGCCAACTCTAGGCATCCTACTTATGCCATGTCAAATTTGTTCTCTATCTAGAGAGGGGATCCAGACTTAAATAGTAAAAGAATATTAACTCCAGAGGCAACTAAAGAAATAGAATTAGTTGAAGAAAAATTTCAGTCAGCAAAAGTAAATAGATTACTTAGCCCCACTCCAACTTTTAATTTTTGCTACTGCACATTCTCCAACAGGCATTATTGTTCAAAATACAGATCTTGTGGAGTGGTCATTCCTTCCTCACAGTACAGTTAAGACTTTTACATTGTACTTAGATCAAATGGCTACATTAATTGGTCAGGCAAGACTATGAATAGTAAAATTGTGTGGAAATGACCCAGATAAAATCATTGTTTCTTTAAACAAGGAACAGGTTAGACATGTCTTTATCAATTCTGGTGCAGGGCAGATTGGTCTTGCTGATTTTGTGGGAATTATTGATAATCATTACACAAAAGCAAAAATCTTCCAGTTTTTGAAATTGACTACTTGGATTTTACCTAAAATTACCAGACAAAAACCTCTAGAAAACGCTCTGACGGTGTTTACTGATGGTTCCAGCAACAGAAAAGTGGCTTACACTGGGCCAAAAGAACAAGTCATTGAAACTCAATATCACTCAGCTCAAAGAGCAGAATTGGTTGCTGTCCTTTCAGTGTTACAAGATTTTAATCAGCCTATTAACATTGTTTCAGATTCTGCATATTTAGTACAGGCTACAAAGGATGTTGAGACAGCCCTAATCAAATATAGTATGATGATCAGTTAAATCAGCTGTTTAAATTGTTACAACAAACTGTAAGAAAAAGAAATTTCCCATTTTATATTGCTCATATCCGAGCACATACTAATTTACCAGGGCCTTTAACTAAGGCAAATGAACAAGCTGACTATCTAGTATCATCTGCCTTCATGGAAGCACAAGAACTTCAGGCCCTGACTCATGTAAATGCAACAGGATTAAAAAACAAATTTGATATCACATGGAAACAAGCAAAAAATGTTGTACAACATTGTGCTCAGTGTCAAGTCTTACACCTGCCCGCTCAAGAGGCAGGAGTTAATCCTAGAGGTTTATGTCCTGATGCATTATGGCAAATGGACGTCACACATGTACCTTCATTTGCAAAATTGTCATTTGTCCATGTGACAGTTGATACTTATTCACATTTCATATGGGCAACCTGCCAGACAGGAGAAAGTACTTCCCATGTTAAAAGACATTTATTATCTTGTTTTGCAGTCATGGGATTTCCAGAAAAAATTGAAACAGATAATGGGCCAGGATACTGTAGCAAAGCATTTCAAAAATCCTTAAATCAGTGGAAAATTACACATACAACAGGAATCCCTAATTTCCAAGGACAGGCCATAATTGAAAGAACTAATAGAACACTCTAAGCTCAATTGGTTAAACAAAAAAAGGAAAAAGTAAGGAGTATAATACTCCCCAGATGCAATTTAATCTAGCACTCTATACTTTAAATTTTTTAAATATATATAGAAATCAGACCACTACTTCTGCAGAACAACATTTTACTGGTAAAAAGAACAGCCCACATGAGGGAAAACTGATTTGGTGGAAAGACAACAAAAATAAAACATGGGAAATAGGTAAGGTGATAACATGGGGGAGAGGTTTTGCTTGTGTTCCACCAGGAGAAAATCAGCTTCCTCTTTGGGTACCCACTAGACATTTGAAGTTCTACAATGAACCCATCAGAGGTGCAAGGGGAGGCGCCTCCGCAGAGACAGAGAACCCGCAATCGAACATCATCGACTCGCAGGGTGAACAAAATGGTGATATCAGAAGAACAGATGAAGTTGCCATCCACCAAGAAAGTGGGGCCGCCGACCTGGGCCCAGCTAAAGAAGCTGACACAGTTAGCTGAAAAAAGCCTGGAAAACACAAGGGTAACACAAACTCCAGAGAATGTGCTACTTGCAGATTTAATGATTGTATCAACGGTGGTAAGTCTCCCTATGTCTTCAGGAGCCGCTACAGCTAACTGTACTTACTGGGCCTATGTGATTTTCCCACCCTTAATTCAAGCAGTCACTTGGATAGATAATCCTATTGAAGTATATGTTAATAACAGTGCATGGGTACCAGGCCCCACAGATGACCGTGGCCCTGCCCAACCTGAAGAAGAAGGAATGATGATAAACATTTCCATTGGGTATCATTATCCTCCTATTTGCCTGGGAAAAGCACCAGGATGCTTAATGCCTACAATCCAAACTTGGTTGATAGAAGTACCTACTGTCAGTGCCACCAGTAAATTTACTTATCATATGAAAGAGGAAAGTCGCTCAGGTCACAAATGAATAATTTACAGAATTCTTCCTATCAAAGATCATTAAAATTTAGGCCTAAAGGGAAACCATGCCCCAAGGAAATTCCAAAAGAATCAAAAGACCCAGTAGTCTTAGTTTGGGAAGAATGTGTGGCTGATACTGCAGTGGTACTACAAAACAATAAATTTGAAACTATTATAGACTAGGCCCCTCAAGGCCAATTATATTATGACTGTATGGGCCAGACCCACTCATGTTCACAGGCTCCATCTGTCTGGCCCACTAATCCGGCCTGTGATAGTGATTTAACTAAAAGGCTAGACCATGTTTATAGAAGGCTAGAATCACCCTATCCATGGAAATGGGGTGAAAAGAGGATTTCATCACCCCGACCAAAGTTAGTTAGTCCTGTTTTTGGTCCTGAACACCCAGAATTATGGAAGCTCACTGTGGCCTCGTACCACATTAGAATTTGGTCTGGAAATCAAGTTATGGGAACAGGAAATCATAAGCCATATTAACTATTAACCTAAATTCCAATCTGAAAATTCCTTTGCAAAGTTGTGTAAAACCCCCTTATATGCTAGTTGTAGAAAACATAGCTATTAAACCAGATTCCCAAACTACAACCAGTGAAAATTGTACATTGTTTACTTGCATTGATTTAACTTTTGATTGGCAGAATGCTATTCTGTTAGTAAGGGCAAGAGAAGGCGTGTGGATCCCTGTGTCCATGGATCGACCGTGGGAGGCTTCTCCATCCGTACATACCTTAAGTATTAAAAGGAGTTCTAACTAGATCTAAAAGATTCATTTTTACTTTGATTGCAGTGATTATGGGTCTTATTGCAGTCACAGCTACTGCTGCGGCTGCTGGAATTGCTTTACACTCCTCTGTTCAAACTGCAGAATACGTGAATAATTGGCAAAAGAATTCCTCAAAATTGTGGAATTCTTAGACTCAAATAGGTCAAAAATTGGCAAATCAAATTAATGATCTTAGACAAACTGTTATTTGGATGGGAGATAGGCTCATGAGTTTAGAATATCTTTTTCAGTTACAGTGTGACTGGAATACGTCAGATTTTTGTATTACACCTCGAGCCTATAATGAATCTGAACAGCACTGGGACATGGTTAGACGCCATCTACAAGGAAGAGAAGATAATCTAACCTTAGATATTTCTAAATTGAAAGTACAAATTTTTGAAACATCAAAAGCCCAGTTAAATCTGGTGTCAGAAACGGAGGCAATGATAAAAGCTGTTGATAGCCTCACAAATCTTAGCGCTGTCACTTGGGTTAAAACCATTGGAAATTCCACTATTGCAAATTTTGTATTAATTCTTGTATGTCTGTCCTCTCTATTGTTAGTCTACAGGTGTATCCAGCAGCTCCGGAGAGACAGCGACCAGCGAGAAGGGGCCATGATGACCATGGCGGTTTTGTCAAAAAGAAAAGCAGGAAATGTAGGGAAAAGAGAGAGATCAGACTGTCACTGTGTCTATGTAGAAAGGGAAGACATAAGAGACTCCATTTTGAAAAAGACCTGTACTCTAACAATTGCTTTGCTGAGATGTTGTTCATTTGTAGCTTTGCCCCAGCCACTTTGCCCCAGTCACTTTGCCCCAACTTGGAGTTCACAAAAACATGTGTTGTATAAAATCAAGGTTTGAGGGATCTAGGGCTGTGCAGGACGTGCCTTGTTAACCAAATATTTACAAGCAGTATACTTGGTAAAAGTCATTGCCATTCTCTAGTCACAATAAACCACGGGAACAATGCACCGTGGAAAGCCGCAGGGAGCCCTGCCCTTGAAAGCAGGGTATTGTCCAAGGTTTCTCCCCATGTGATAGTCTGAAATATGGCCTCGTGGGATGAGAAAGACCTGACTGTCCCCCAGCCTGACACCCGTAAAGGGTCTGTGCTGAGGCAGATTAGGAAAAGAGGAAAGCCTCTTGCAGTTGAGATGGAGGAAGGCCACTGTCTCCTGCTTGCCCCTGGGAACTGAATGTCTCGGTGTAAATCTGATTGTACATTTGTTCAAGTCTGAGCTAGGAGAAAAGCTGCCCTGTGGCGGGAGGCGAGACATGTTGCAGTAACGCTGCCTTGTTATTCTTTCCTCCACTGAGATGTTTGGGTGGAGAGAAACATAAATCTGGCCTACGTGCAAGTCCAGTCATAGTACCTTCCCTTGAACTTAATTATGATATAGATTCTTTTGCTCACATGTTTTTTGTTGACCTTCTCCTTATTATCACCCTGCTCTCCTATTACATTCCTTTTTGCTGAAATAATGAAAATCATAATCAATAAAAACTGAGGGAACTCAGAGGCCAGTGCCCGTGCAAATCCTGGTGTGCTGAGTGCCGGTCCCCTGGACCCACTGTTGATTCCCTGTACTTTGTTTCTGTGTCTTATTTCTTTTCTCCGTCTCTCATCCCACCCGACTAGAAATACCCACAGGTGTGGAGGGGCAGGCCACCCCTTCAATTTGGTGACACATAGCCTGTAGCCTCAAAGAACAGACACCCCGGTAACATCCATTCAAAGAGGTTCTCCGTACCTCCCCTCCTTTATCCCCAAGGTCTCTGGGTCAGAGATCACTGAGTCATTCACAACATGATGTTTAACACCGAGACGCTCTGGAATTGCTCCTTCAAGATGACTCAGAAGAAGACCCAGTGCTGAGACAATCGTGTTCTCTCTCTCTCTGGATCACCGCCCAGAGACAAGGACTGCCAGAGACCCTGGCTTCCCCAGCTGCTGCCTCCAATTCCTGCGCCTGTGGGATGAGAGATCGAAGCTGTGTGACCTTGACCAAGTTACTTACCCTCTCTAAGCATATGTTTTCCTAAATGTGAAATAGGATGATGGTGATGTGTTTATTTCACAGATTTGATAGAAGGATTAAGAGATGCATCAAAAGCAGTGGGCACAGGGTCAATGCTCAGTGAGCTTTCTCTTTTCTTATCAATAGACAGGTATCCATGAGGACAGAGACTGGCTTCATCTCGACTGTAGCCTCAGGGCTGGCCAGTGTCTGCACCCAGCAGGACTTCAGTAAATATCTGTTTATACACTAACTACAGACTTAGGCATAAAAGCCCTTTGGAAGAAAGTTGACCATTTCATGCACCTTCAGACTATGAAGAACAATGATGACAACTTTAGCTCGAGAGGCTCTCAGTGCTCATTTATCACCACCGTGAAAAGGCAGAAACCAGAGCTGTGTGTTTAACTCTCAGCCCCAAAACCTGTTGGCTTTGCTTTATCACTATGAGCTTCCAATGCCATCCCTTTAGAATGGGACCTCTCTCTTCTTCCCCAAGGCACCAGCCTTCACCCCAGACCTCTCCTTATTAGCTGGTTCCTCCTGTCTGTACTCTGAGCCCATGCTGTGCTCGCCAGATAGCAACATGGGAGAATACAGCAGCCCAGAATGCAGGCTGCAGAGTTAGATCCCCAGAACAGGATCTCAGCCGGCTCCATCCTTCCTCAGCTGGGCGACCGTGGCCATTGACTTCCTCTCTGTGCCTCAGTTGCTCCATCTGTGAAATGACGATTGTCATAGTCCCTGCTTCAAAGAGTCACTGGGAGGATTAACTGAGAAAACGCAGGGAAGGTGCTTGGAACTAAATGCTCAAAAAAAGTCCATCTGACCAGGCACGGTGTCTCACGCCTGTAATCCCAGCACTTCGGGAGACCGAGGCAGGTGGATCACTTAGGTCAGGAATTCAAGACCAGCCTGGTCAACATGGCAAAACCCCAACTCTACTAAAAATACAAAAATTAGCCAGGCATGGTGGCAGGCACCTGTAATCTCAACTACTTGGGAGGCTGAGGCATGAGAATCTCTTGAACCTGGGAGGCAGAGGTTGCAGTGAGCCGAGTTGGTGCCACTGCACTCCAGCATGGGCAACAAGAGCAAAACTCTGTCTCAAAAAAAAAAAAAAAGAAATCCATCATTCTTATTAATGGAGGACAAATCATCTCAGTGCTTCCTTGGCTGATCAGTACCCTCAAAGCTAGTGTTATCCAATCGACCAGAGGTCCCCATCCACCAGACCACAGACCAGTAGCGGTCTGTGGCCTGTTAGGAACTGGGCTGCACAGAAGGAGGTGAGCAGTGAGCTAATGAGTGAAGCTTCATCTGTATTTACAGCTGCTCCCCATGGCTAGTGTTACCGCCTGAGCTGTCTCCTGTCAGATCAGCAGTGGCATTAGACTCTGATAGGAGCACCAACCCTATTGTGATCTGCATGTGGAAGGGATCTAGGTTGTGTGCTCCTTATGAGAATCTAACGCCTGATGATCTGTCACTGTCTCTCACCACCCGGAGATGGGATTATCTAGTTGCAGGAAAACAAGCTCAGGGCTCTCACTGATTCTACATTATGGTGAGTGGTATAATGATTTCATTATATATTATAATGTTCATAACAATAGAAATAAAGTACACAATAAATGTAATGCACTTGAATCATCCTGAAACTTCCCCCCACAAGTACATGGAAACTGGTCCTTGGTGCTAAAAAAAATTGGGGACCACTGCAATAGACTATTCAGTCATGGTCCAATCAAACATTCTGCAATGGCGGGCTTGCTCTACTCTACACTGTCCAACATGGGAGCTGCTAGCCACCCACATGGGCTTTTGAGCCCTTGAAATGTGGCTGGTGAGAATGAAGAACTGAATTTTCAATTTTCTCTTAACTAATTTTTTTTTTTTTTTCAGACAGAGTCTCACTCTGTCCTCCAGGCTGGAGTGCAGTGGTGCAATCTCGTCTCACTGCAACCTCCATCTCTCAGGTTCAAGCAATTCTCCTGCCTCAGCCTCCTGAGTAGCCAGGATTACAGGAACCCACCAACATGCCCGGCTAATTTTTGTATTTTTGTAGAGACGAGATTTCACCATGTTGGCCAGGCTGATCTTGAACGCCTGACCTCAGGTGATCTGCCCAACTTGGCCTCCCAAAATGCTGGCATTACAGGTGTGCCACCATGCCCACCCTTAGTTGATTTCTAAATCACAAAATCTAAACAGTAAGTGGATAGGAGCTACCATAGTGTACAAGGCAGCTGTAGAATCACAGGAAATTGTCAATGACCCTGTCCTGCTTCAAGTTGACTTTTCTGCCTCATGGTGAGACTCTAGATTCTTTCCTCTTCTCTCACATTTTTTAGACTTTCAGGCTTAGACCATGAAAATAAGTTCTGTCCTTCCAAGAAAATAACATTCATAACACTTACTGTATACCAGGCTGATTTCAGTGCTTTACATGTATTAATTTACAACAACTCTGAGGCAGGAGCTGTGATTATGCCCATTTAACAGATGACAAAACTGAGGCACAAAGCAGTGCTGGAACTTCTCAAAGTCACACAGGTAGCAGGAGGCAGAGCTCGGATTTGAACTCACTTTGGGTTCAGCAACTCACAGCTCTCACCTATGACATAATATTACTTCTGTGGTTAAAACACTTAGACCTGGATTTTACAGGAATCTTGTGCTTGCCTGGCTGCTCGGGAGGTTTTCATCATCTTCTTTATCTCACAGTTCAAAACCCAGGGCCTCCAAGCTCTTGCTACGGTGGCTGTTCACTGGCAGGAGGCTTCTGGGAAGGTTCTCCTTTTCTGTCATTTTTCTTATTCGTGGTTTTTTGTCTCATTGGTGTTTATCTGCAGAACTTTGTTTCCTTCTGCTCAATTCATAATCAGAGTGCTTTTCCTCCTGGCTGAATTCATAAGTGTTTGTGCAAAAAGAGGTTGGCGCAGAGCCAGGCGACTGACGACACCCGGCTCATCTGGCAAGTGGATATCAAATTGTTGTATCTCGTTCTGCCATTTACAGCTCCTGCTGTGGGGCTGGGTCATCTGCCAGCTCTCCAAGGAGCTGGCGGGAAACCGCTGCAATCAGAGCGAACCCAGGGCCCAGGTGAGCCCGTCTCCGCACAGCACTCCAGCTGCCCCCAGCGCCTTTTGGGGACACATCTGCTTTGCCAGGCAGGGCTGTGGGAGGGCCGCCTGCCTCCTGTCCATCACACGGAAAACCTACCCTTGTCCCGCGTCCCTTCCAGGCAGCCTGTGTGGAGCTTGCTGCATTCACCTTTAATATGGCTAAAATGTTTTCCTTCAATGACAGTAATGCTGCCAGAACCCATCAAGACACCCAGGAACTGATGTGCCTTGGCAGATGATGCTGGAAAGATGGGATTCCCGGCAGCCTTTGCATCCCTTGCTCACAGCCCACAAGCATCTCCACTGTCCAGCAGGTGAGGGCACGGTCTCTCTCTCTCTCTCTCTAGCTCTGTGTCTCTCTCTCACGGTCTTTCTCATGGTCTCTGTCTCTCACGATCTCTCTCTCTTATAGTCAGGGCAGAAAGAGAGAGAGTCCATCTGGAGCAGACTCGGATTTTAAATGAGTGTCACCGATAATTTAACATGATCAATGGCTGAGGTATTTCACCAAGTTCAGGAGTCCCAGTTCTCAGAGAGGGGCAGCCAGCCATGACTGTAAGACCTGGGCAAACCGTACAAACCAGACAGCAGGTCTCACCCCTCCCCAGAGAGCTCCAGAGAATATCAAAGAGTGAAACAGCAGAGGGATGGTCTGGGTGGGGTCATCGTGGCTGGCAAGGGCCTGTGACAGCACCTTGTTAGGCTACTCCCAAGAGGAAATTTGGAGAGAGGGTGGGAGGGCGGCTCTCAGTGCAAGCTAAGTCTCCTGGAAAGTAACTTCCAAGCTTTGGAGGATTGTGAGCAAGATGGGACCAACTTCTACCTAAAAGCAACTTCTACCTAAAAGAATGTTAATAGCAAGATAACTCATCCTAATGTTGGTCCAAGCTAGGTCTTTATTATGCATCCTAAAGGCTCTGAGAATAACAATGTAACCTCCAAAAGGGCTGCGGGCTTTGAGGAATCTCAGGCAACTCGCTTCCTTCTGCTCAGTGACTCCCGTGGAGCACAGCAAAGCAAGGAAACACTTAGAGCCAAGCTTGAGTTCTAAATTTCAAATACAGGGAGTCCATCTCTTTCTACCCAATTGTTCCCTAGATGAGTAACTAACTCCTTCCCCATAACTGCACATATTTCCTACCAAAGCACAAGAGCGATGGGCTGTCCATGAGCCTCCCCAAAACATGTGCACCTTGTGACATAAATTCTGTCACCCAAAGAGACCAGACAAAATGCAAAACCAAAGTGGAGCCTTTCCTTGAATTATAGGTTCTAAAGAGTTTTGGACCCTCTACAAAACCCAAGAGTTAGGAATTGCCTGTAAGAAGCACCAGCTCTTGTTTTAAAGAGGCAATTTAAGAATAATAGCCATGCTGATGCCACACTACGCTAAGGGAGAAGAATGAACCTAACAAAACAAGCGATTTTCCAATTGCTTTTGCTGCTGGAAACACTGAATATGCTAATTAAAGGGTAGAATAGTAAATAGCCACTCTTTTGCATCCAATTAAGTGTTCAGATTATTTCTCAGAAGTATTTGTTAAAAATAGCACTTCTGATAATCATGGGTCCCAAATAAACAGAGTCAAGTGCGGCGTGGTACATGTGTGAGTGTGTGTGTGTGCACACGTGTCTTTCTGGAGCTCATTTTATGGAGATCCCGCATAGCTCCCCAAATTACTGTGAGAACAAATAAGAAAAATCACAGTCTTCTAAGACTACAGCTTGGGATATCTTTGGAAAAGGTGTGTATTGAGAACACAGCATATGGAAACTATTTCACGTTGGCAATATCTGTGATTTAACATTGCAAACATTACAAATGCAACTGGTTTTTCAGAGTCACCTAAGTCCCTCATAATGGCAATATTAGCTTCTTCTAAATAATAAATTAGCCAGTCAAACTATGTTCTACAGTATGTTAGAAGTTTCATCCTTCTAGTCAATGTCACATTTCAAGGCAAAGTTGATTTATATGTAAGTTAAACGAAGTGCTGTCACTAAAAATTGAGAATTATGTCTAATGCCAATCAGAAATGGAATAAATAAGTATTAGAGGATTTGCAAGTGAAAGCAACCATAGAAATGCTATCATCAGGAAGGAAAATGTATTACCTGCAGAGGTTACAGATAAGACGTTAGAACCCAGAAGAGAAAGAATCTCTGTAAATATTTCCATTAAGTTAATCAAGAGTGGCTGGGTATGGTGGCTCATGCCTGTAATCCCAGGACTTTGGGAGGCCAAAGAGGGCAGATCACGAGGTCAGGAGTTCGAGACCAGCCTGGCCAACATGGTGAAACACTGTCTCTATTAAAAATACAAAAAATTAGCCGGACGTTGTGGTATACACCTGTAATCCCAGCTACCCAGGAGGCTGAGGCAGGAGAATTGGTTTAATCCAGAAGGCAGAGGTTTCAGCTAGCTGAGATTACACCATTGCACTCCAGCCTGGGTGACAGATCATGGCTCCATTTTGAAAAAAAAAAAAGAAACAAAGAAAGAAAGTTAATCAGGGTGAGAATAGGATGAGTTTTTCACCCACAAAAAGACATGAGATTCATGCATTCTTTCAACATGCATTCCATCAATAGTGAGCACCTGCTCTGAGCTAGGCCCGTTCCAGGTCTCAGGAAATGAGTAACCAACCAGACACGGCCCCTGATTTGGAGCTCACATTTTAGAGCAGCTAAATGGACAGTAAACAAATAAGCAAATTAAGATCATCTTAAATTGGGGGAAGTTCTTTAGAGAAGCACTTCCATAAAGCTCAATCGCATCATAGACTGTGACTGCCAGGCAGTAGGGAAGGTAATATCTCACCTGCTTGTGGATAGCAGAGCTTCTGAGGCCTTGCAAAGTATTTAGTACTAAGACTTCTGTCTTAGTTCAAGTTCCCTAAAGGCAGAGACTGAGGCAGGGATTTAGTGCATGTAATTCATTCAGGAAGAAGTCTCAGGAGATAGGAGTAAGGAAAACAGGATATGGCAGGAAGGAGCTAAGTGAGATGTGGTCTCAGCTGGAGATTGGCTCCAGTCTGATCTCACAGGGAGCTCCAGAGGATGAACTGCACCACCATGTTATCCCAGCCTCAGGTCTTTTGTTCTCCTGTGTCAGCCGGTCCCTGGCCAAGGGCTGCAGACTCCCTTGGGGCCCCAGCAGACTGGAGGAGAAGGAGGATGCTCTCTGGTCTACTCTTTTGTGCACATCCACCCACCACTTCCCCAGCTGACACCGCTGGAGGAGGAGAGGGACAGATGTCATCTCCTTCTATGGCAACCTGTGGGGTGGCAATGGCCCTTTTCCTGTTGGGTGTAGTCTGCTGCCATCTCCTGCTGTCTGCAGCCTGACACAGAAGGGTGAAGGTCACCAGGTTCCACTGACCATGGTCTTTGTCTCAAGCAGCAACCATAGGACCACGGGTCCCTTGCAAGATTCAGACACATTTCATGACTGTCTGCAACACACCCCATGCCTCTGATGGAAGGAACCCAATGCCCCATGCAGCACTCATTTCTGCCAGACTAGGGTCCCTGATCTCAATTTCCCTCTGCAGTCCCCAACTCTGGGGTCTGCAGACAGATTTCAGATCCCTCCTTATACCTCCCAGGAGGCAGAAGCCAGAGGAAATAATCCTTGTCCCAATGCACCTGACCATGCCACCTCACTGCATGCTCTTTCTCCCTCTCCAGGAAAAATCAAGCTGGTTGAATACTAACCAATATGCCCACATGCATTTAGTCCCCATAACCACTTCTTGGGGCAGCATTACCATCCCCAAGTTACAGACTAGGAAACTGAGGAGAGCATTTATATAACATGCATCTAAGTGGTGGACAAAGGATCTAACCAGGCAGTGTGGCACCAGAGCACACATTTTTGTTGTTCAGAGAGATGGGGTCTCTCTCTGTCCCTCAAATTGGAGTGCAGTGGCCTGATCATAGCTCAGTGCAGGCTTGAACTCCCAAGCTCCAGCAATCTTCCCGCCTCAGCCTCCCGAGTAGCTGGGACTAGAGGCATTCACCACCAACCCAGCTAATTTTTAAAAAACATTTTTCTAGAGATAGGGTCTGATTCCAAACTCCTGACTTCAAGCGATCCTCCTGCCTCAGCCTCCCAAAGTGCTGATATTACAGTTGTGAGCCCCCGCGTCCAGCCCAGAGCAGATTTTTTTTTTTTTTTTTTTTTTGAGATGGAGTCTCACTCTGTCACCCAGGCTGAAGTGCAGTGGCAAAATATCGGCCCAGAGCACACTTTTAACCACCATATCATTCTGCCTCTGGGTAGGTTAGTCAAGCTCTGTAGCTGATCAGATGTCTGTAGAGAGAAAGAGACATCAGTCTCCCCTTCTTCCAAACACCCGCAAATTTTACAAGTGATTTTCTCAGATCCCTCAGCATCAGGAATGCGGATGTGCAGGGCAGCCTGTCCCCTTCTGAGAAGCCCAGCAGATATCCCAAGATTACATCTCATTGGCTCTGACTAGGACATGAGCCCAAAGCTGAACCAGTAGCTGTAGCCATGGCATGCAGCATCCTCGGTCCTCTGGCCAGGCCAGAGCTACATCCCACCTCTGGATCCTCGGGTTGAGCCAATAATCTCGAACCAGGCGCGGACTGAAGCTCAAGGGGGAGTCATAGTAATGTGACCCAGCCCACCAGGAAGTGGGTGCTGAGCAGGCAAGCATTCATCACCCACTGCACACACCAGGGAAGGCTTGTGGTGGCTTAGTCCCACCTGGGGGCAAAGAAAAGAGTGCCTGCTCCATGCCAAAATGTGATGCCCAACACCGTATCTTAAAGCTAGCTGGCTTTGTAATCCCTGCTACTTGGAAGGCTGAGGCAGGAGAACCACTTGAATCCAGGAGGCGGAGGTTTCAGTGAGCCAAGATCACGCCATTGCACTCCAGCATGGGTGATAAGAGAGAAATTCTGTCTCCAAAAAAAATAAAAATAAAAATAAAAAAATAAAAAGCTAGCCTGCTTAATCCTCACAAAGATGCCATCTACTTTTTGGCATTCTAGATGTAGAAACACTGAGACGCTGAGAAACTCACCACCAGCCGCGAACGGTGTCTCATGCCTGTAATCCCAGCACTTTGAGAGGCTGAGGCAGGAGAATTACTTGAACCCAAGAGTTCAGGACCAGCCTGGGCAAATTAGCGAGACCTCATCTCTACAAATATTAAAAAAAAAAAAAAAAATTAGGGCTAGGCGCGGTGGCTCACACATGTAATCCCAGCACTTTGGGAGGCCAAGGCAAGTGGATCACTTCAGCCCAGGGATTCGAAACCAGCCTGGCCAACACGACACAACTCTATCTCAACTAAAAATACAAAACTTAGCTGGGCATAGTGGCACATGTCTATAATCCCAGCTACTTGGGAGGCTGAGGCACGAGAATTGCTTGAACCTAGGAGTCAGAGGTTGCAGTGAGCTGAGATTGTGCCACTGCACTCCAACCTAAGTGACAGAGTGAGACCGCGTCTCAAAAACAACAAAAAAAAATATTGGTGTGGTGTCACATGCCTGTTGCCCCAGCTGCTCAAGAGGCTGAGGTAGCAAGATCACTTAAGCCCCGAAGTTCAAGGGTGCAATGAGCTATGATTGTACCCCTGCACCACAATGTATACATATATGTGTATGTGTACACATACACATATACATGTGTATGTATATATGCGTGTGTACACACACACATATATACATGTGTATGTATATATGCGTGTGTACACACACACATATATACATGTGTATGTATATATGCGTGTGTACACACACACATATACATGTGTATGTATATATGCGTGTGTACACACACACATATACATGTGTATGTATATATGGTGTGTACACACACACATATACATGTGTATGTATATATGCGTGTGTACACACACACACACATGTGTATGTATATATGCGTGTGTACACACACACATACATGTGTATGTATATATGCGTGTGTACACACACACATACATGTGTATGTATATATGCGTGTGTACACACACACACATACATGTGTATGTATATATGCGTGTGTACACACACACATATACATGTGTATGTATATATGCGTGTGTACACACACATACATGTGTATGTATATATGTATGTGAGTATATGTACACATATATACATGTGTATGTATATATGTATGTGTGTATATATACACATATATACATGTATATGTATATATGTGTATATATACACACATACATATATACATGTAGATATGTGTATATATGTGTGTGTATATATATGTGTATATATATAAAAAACACACATGCACAAATTCACCACCACCAACTCAGAAATTACCGTCTCCTTCTATTCTAAGGAACTATTTTTCATATTGCCATCTCTGTAGTTGTAATACACCTTACAATCACTGGAATGTCACGGTCTCATTGGCAGCATTTTTCTGCTCAGTAGCCCATAAAATAATAATACATCTTGTAACTAACAGTGTTGTAGATGCTATGAGATCCTGGGGAAGCCCAGAATCTAACTCCACCCTGTCTGACTCCAAAGACCACATATTTCCTACACCTTTGGACAGGGGCACAGATGTAGACAACTCGAGCTTTGCTGATTGTGAGAAAGGTATGACAAATGGCCCTGATGGAATTTTCTTCTTGTACTTACAGGGGAACAGAGCGGCATCATTCCACTATTCCAGGGGAGGTGCTAAATATGAGGGTGAGGCTGTCAAGTGGTCCCTGGTGGATTCCTACACTCACCCAAGCAGCAACGAGACAGAGCGGAAGGAGAACATCGATACCGTCATGAACTGGTTCACCAAGGAAGACTTTGATTTTGTGACTCTGTGCTACAGAGAGCCAGATAACGTGGGACATCGATTCGGGCCAGAGGCAGAGAAAAGGAAGTTGATGATTCAGCAAATCGACAGGACCATCGGGTATCTGGTGGGAGCCACTGAGAAGCACAGCCTGCAGAGCACCTCAGCGTCATCATTACATGAGACCGTGGGAGGACCACCGTGAAGAAGAGACCCAATGTCAACAAGATCCCCTTGTCCAACTACGTCAAGTTCAGGGACCTGGTCAAGTTTGATATTGTGCGCTACGGTGGCTTTGGGATGCCCCTGCCCAAGTTGGGGCAAGAGGAAGCCCTTTACCAGGCACTGAAGAATGCGCACCGTCACCTCCACGTCTACAAGAAGGAGGAGTTTCCAGAACACTTCCATATCGCTAAACATGACCGGGTTCTGCCAATCGTGATGTATGCCAACTCTGGTTACAGTATCAATGGGGTAAGTTCATTCTAAAATGAATAAAGTCACCTTAGATCTAGGAGACAACCATTAGGGAAGGGTGGTTCTGCAAAAATCAAACATTAGTGCACAGCCAGGCACGGTGGTTCACGCCTATAATCCTAGCACTTTGGGAGGCTGAGGCAAGTGTATAACCTGAGGTCAGGAGTTTGAGACCAGCCTGGCCAACATGGTGACACCCCAGCTCTACTAAAAATACAAAAATTAGCCGGGCGTGGTGGCGCGCATCTGTAGTTCCAGCTGCTCTGGAGGCTGAGGCAGGAGAATCGCTTGAACCTGGGAGGCAGAGGTTGCAGTGAGCCAAGATCATGCTACTGCACTCCAGTCTGGGCAATAGAGTGAGACCCTATCTCAAAAAAATATAATATAATATAATATAATATAATATAATATAATATAATATAATATAATATAACATAACATAACAAAACAAAACAAAACAAAATAAAATAAGTGCACACACTATGAGTTGTAGCCCACAGGGTCCTAAAGGTTCCCCACCCCCCGCCCAACCAATGCTGCGCCAAGTTACTGTTATACAAGATTAATGACCAATTCAACTTGATAAGGCTGATTTAAAAATAAAAATAAGGCTGGCCATGGTGGTTCACACCTGTAATCTCAGTGTTTTGGGAGGCCAAGACAGGAGGATTGCTTAAGGCCAGGAGTTCAAGACCAGCCCAAGCAACAAAGGGAGACGTCATCTCTACAAAAAACTAACAAATAAATAAATAGCCAGACATGGCGATGCATGCCTGTAGTCCCAGCTACTCAGGAGGCTGAGGTGGCAGGATTTCTTGAACCCAGGAGGTCAATCCTGCACTAAGCTGTGATTGCACTACTGCACTCCAGCTTGAGCAACAGAGCAAGACCCCGTCTCTAAAAAATAAATAAACAAATAATAAAAAATAAACACCAACTTCATTATTCAAAACTGTGCACAGCGCTTCACTAAACATTGAACAGCAGTTCTTTCATTTTTGTCGTCCCAACAACCCTATAAAATAGATGCTCTTAGTTCCGCCATTTTAAAGAAGAAATCAAAACGTAGAGAGAAGTGACTTGAGATTAAAAATGTAAGGTTGGGCTGGGTGCAGTGGCTCACACCTGTAATCCCAGCACTTTAGAAGGCTAACGTTGGTACATTGCTTGAGCCCAGGAGTTTGAGACCAGCCTAGGCAACACAGTGAAACACCATCTCTACGAAAAATGCAAAAAATGTAGCTGGGCGTAGTGGCACGTGCCTGTGGTCCCAGCAACTCAGGAGGCTGAGATGGGAGAACTGCTCGAGCCCGGGGGTGTTGAGTCTGCAGTGAGCCATGATCACGCCACTGTGAGATAGGAGGCAGGACTTGACGACACAGGCAGGGCTTGGACACCAGACCAAATTAAGGACTACCTAAAACAGGGCTGGGGCAGAAGAAGCTTTCCATCAGACATGCCCACCAGTGTGCCATGTGAGTTTACTATTGCCAAGGCAACACCAGGGAGTTACTGCCCCTTTCCATGGCAATGACCCAATGACTCAAAAGTTACTACCCATTTTCTAGAAATTCCTGCATAAACTGCCCTTTAATCTGCATGCAATTAAAAGTGAGTATAAATGTGATTGCAAACTCTCTGCCGCTACTCTCTGCCACCAGGGTAGCCCTGCCCTACAGGAGCAGTCACAGGGCTGTAATGCTGCCTCTTCAATAAAGCTGTTTTCTTCTAAACCTCCGGCTTGCCCTTGAATTCTTTCCTGGGTAAAGACAAGAACCCTCAAGTGCTATTGAGAGGTGACAGCATGCTAGCAGCCCTCGCGCTCACTCTCGGCGCCTCCTCTGCCTGGGCTCCCACTTTGGTGGCACTTGAGGAGCCCTTCAGTGCACCGCTGCACTGTGGGAGCCCCTTCCTGGGCTGGTGGAGGCTGGAGCCGGCTCCCTCAGTTTGCGGGGAGGTGTAGAGGGAGAGGCGCGGGCAGGAACTTGGACTGGGCACGGCGCTTGTGGGCCAGTGCGAGTTCCGGGTGGGTATGGGCTCACTGGGCCCTGCACTCGGAGTGGCTCGCCGGCCCCGATGGACCCGGGCAGTGAGGGGCTTAGCACCTGGGCCAGCAGCTGCTTTGCTCAATTTCTCACTGGGCCTTAGCTGCTTCCCTGCAGGGCAGGGCTCGGGACATGCAGCCCGCCATGCCTGAGACTCCACCCAACCCGCCGTGGGCTCCTGCGCGACCTGAGCCTCCCCGATGAGTACCGAGCCTCCCCGACGACCACCGCCCCCTGCTCCAGGGCACCCAGTCCCTTCGACCACACAAGGGCTGAGGAGTGCCAGCACAGGGCACGGGACTGGCAGGCAGCTCACCTGCGGCCCCCGTGTGGGACCCACTTGCTGAAGCCAGCTGGGCTCCTGAGTCTGGTGGGGACTTTGAGAACCTTTATGTCTAGCTAAGGGATTGTAAATACACAAATTGTCACTCTGTATCTAGCTCAAGGTTTGTAAACACACCAATCAGCACCCTGTGTCTAGCTCAGGGTTTGTGAATGCACCAGTCGACACTCTGTATCTAGCTAATCTAGTAGGGATTTGGTGACCTTTTGTGTCTAGCTCAGGGATTGTAAATGTACCAATCAGCACCCTGTCAAAACAGACCAATCGGCTCACTGTAAAATGGACCAATCAGCAGGATGTGGGTGGGGCCAGAGAAGGGAGTAAAAGCAGGCTGCCCCAGCCAGCAGTGGCAACCCATTGGGGTCCGTTTCCACACTGTGGAAGCTTTGTTCTTTTGCTCTTTGCAATAAATCTTGCTGCTGCTCACTCTTTGGGTCTACACTGCCTTTATGAGCTGTAACACTCACCTCGAAGGTCTGCAGCTTCACTCCTGAAGCCAGCGAGACTATGAACCCACCGGGAGGAACAAACAACTCCAGACGCCCCACCTTAAGAGTTGTAACACTCACCTTGAAGGTCTGCAGCTTCACTCCTGAAGCCAGCGAGACCACAAAACCACCAGAAGGAAGAAACTCTGAACACATCCGAGCATCAGAAGGAAAAAACTCTGGACACGCAGCCTTTAAGAACTGTGACACTCACTGCGAGGGTCCGCGGCTTCTTTCTTGAAGTCAGTGAGACCAAGAACCCACCAGTTCCGGACACACTATGCTCCACTTCGGGGCTCCCCTGCCCTGCGTCAACTGCACTCTGGCCTGGGTGGCAGAGAGAGAGACCCTATCTTTAAAAAAAGAAAGAATGTAAGGTTAAGTGCTGCCCCCAAGCCTGAGAGGCTGATCATTATACAGAGTACACGAAGATCACCAAAAACGTCACCACAGAGGCCCCCTGCCGCTGGTTCTCATTTGCCCATATCAAAAAATATGCAAGTCTGTTCATACAAAGACACACACAGATGCTCGTAGCAAAACTATTCATAATTATCAAAAGGTGGCAACAACGCAAATGCCCATCAACAACAGATGAATAAGCAAACAAGTACAGTCCACCCGTGTGATGGAACATTAATCAGCCACAATATGGAATGAAGGGCTGATTCATGCTACAACCTGGATACACCTTGAAACCGTTAGGCTAAGTGAGAGAAGCCAGACAAATATTAGATGATTATATATATATTATACATATATATATATATGCCCAGAATATGAAAATCCAAAGAAACAGAAAGTAGATTAATGGTTGCCAGGAGCCAGGGGTGGGGATAGTCGGGGGAAATAAGGGGTGACTGCTAATGGATACAGGGTTTCTTCTGGGGTAATTAAAATTTCTAAAATTGATGGTGATGATGGCTGCAGAACTCTGTGAATATATTAAAAACCACTGAATTTTACACTTTATTTATTTATTTAGAGACAGGTTCTGGCTCTGTTGCCCAGGCTGGAGTGCAGTGGTGCAATCTCAACTCACTGCACCACCCACCTCCCAGGCTCAAACCATCCTCCCACTTCAGCCTCCTGAGTAGCTGGGACTACAGACACACACACCATGCCCAGCTAATTTTTTGTATTTTTGGTCGAGACAGGGTTTTGCCATGTTGCTAGGGGTTCATCTCAAACTCTTGGGTTCAAGCGATCCTCCCACCTCAGCCTCCCAAAGTGCTGGGATTGCAAGTGTGAGCCACCATGCCCGGCCAAATCATACACTTTAAATGGGTAAATTGTATGGTATATGAATTATCTTTCAATAAAGCTGTTATTAAAAAGCAGCTTTAAGGGCCAGACATAAGGGCCATGCCTGTAATCCTAGCATTTTGAGAAGCCAAGGCAGGAGGATCACTTGAGCGCAGGAGTTCAAGACCAGCCTAGACAACATGGCAAAACCTGGTCTCTACAAAAAATTTAAAACTTAGGCTTGGCGTGGTGGCTCACGCCTGTAATCCCAGCAATTTGGGAGGCTGAGGTAGGTGGATCACTTGAGGTCAGGAGTTCAAGACCAGACTGGCCAACGTGGTGAAACCCTGTCGCTACTAAAAATGATTTTAAAAATTAGCCAGGCATGGTGGTGGGTGCCGAGGCTGAGGCAGAAGAATCGCTTGAACTCGAGAGGTGGAGGTTGCAGTAAGCCGAGATTACACCACTGCACTCCAACCTGCTGGGCGACAGAGAGAAACTCCATTTCAAAAAAAAAATTAAAAATTAAAAATTAGCCAGCGGTGGTGGCTCGTGTTTGTAGTCCCAGCTACTCAGGAGGCTAAAGTGGGAGGATTGCTTGAGCCCAGGAGGTTGAGGCTGCAGCGAGCCAAGATTGTGTCACTGCACTCTGGCCTCAGCAACAGAACAAGACCCTGTTGCACAATTTTAAAAACAATTAAAAAACGAGCCTAAAGAAAACACAAAAACCAATGCTAACTGTGAGACATAAATGAGGTGGTCTATTTTTTGTTAACTACCAACTAACAATTCATGGCAGAAACACAGTTTAAATGATGCTATAGCCGGGCGCTGTGGCTCACACCAGTAATCCCAACACTTTGGGAGGCTGAGGCAGGTGGATCACCTGAAGTCAGGAGTTTCAGACCAGCCCGGTCAACATGGTGAAACCCCGTCTCTACTAAAAATACAAAAATTAGCCAGGTGTGGTGCCGGGTGCCTATAATCCCAGCTACTCGGGAGGCTGAGACAGGAGAATCGCTTGAACCCCGGGGGGGCGGAGGTTGCAGTGAGCCAAGATCGCGCCATTGCACTCCAGCCTGGGCGACAGAGCAAAACACTGTCTCAAAAAATAAATAAATAATGAAATAAATGATGCTATAAACCTCATGTGAGGGAAGACTGTCCCAGGTACAGCTTGAAGAACCCTTGCTGTGAATAGGAGCCAAATGCGATCATTATGTTTGCAACTTGCTTGTTAGCTTGTTGCAACTCCACAGTGTAACAGAAAACTCATGGGGTTACTGTCTAATGTTGGTGGAAATATTCGCATTAAAATACAACCGTTTATCACCTAAGGTATATTTTATCCCTCAAGTGGCCCGGAACACAGTGATTATTGCACCCCAATCGCACGCCCGTAGCTAAGGCCTTGCCAAGGAGAAATTCCACAATCACCTGGCCTATTTGTAAACCTGGTTTATGACGTTTTGTAACAGGATATCTTGACAGTAGCATGAGGACATTTAACGAGACAGGAACATTCCCCACTGACAAAACAGATGGTTTCAGGGAACAGGATGCTGTGCTCAGTTTAATATTCTGCTGAACTGACCATTAGGGAGAAAATCCTTTGGGTCAATGCCTCTCACGGAATCCACTTATCAGATTCCTGTCCACCTGCCTGCTTTGCAGTGCAGAGTAAAGTGGGCCTTCCTTGACTCTCTTCAGGGACCAATGTGCTTGAGGCCATCATGAGGATATTCATTCTTTTTTTTTTTTTTTCTTGAGAGAGTCTCGCTCTGTCGCCCAGGCCGGAATGCAGTGGTGTGATCTCAGCTCCCCACTGCAACCTCTGCCTCCCAAGTTCAAGTGATTCTCCTGCCTCAGCCTCCTGAGTAGCTGGGATTACAGACACGTATCACCCGGCCCAGCTAATTTTTCTATTTTTTGTAGAAACAAGGTTTCACCATGTTGGCCATGCTGGTGTCGAACTCCTGACTTCAAGTGATCCACCTGCCTCGGCCTCCCAAAGTGCTGGTATTACAGGTGTGAGGCAACGTGCCTGGCAGAGGGCTTTCATTCTTGATGGACTGCTCCATAGCCTCAGAGACAGTCGGACTTGTTTCTTCACCCAGAGCGGAGCAGACAGGCAATTTCTGTATCCACCAGGACAAATATTAGACCAACTCTTCAGTGTACAGAAAGCATCACATTTCTTATATGCTAGAATATCTGTTGGTCCAAAATATAAATAAATAGTATTGTAGCCAGCCACAGTGGCTCACACCTATAACTCCAGAGCTTTGTGGGGCTGAGGCAGGAGGTTCACTTGAGGTCAAGAGTTCGAGACCAGCCCGGGCAACATAGAGAGACACCCCCACACCGCCACCTGCCATCTCTACAAAAATTAAAATAATTAGCTGGGCATAGTAGTGTGGGCCTGTAGTCCCAACTACTTGGGAAGCTGATGTGGGTGGATTGCTTGAGCCCAGGAATTTGAGGCTGCAGTGGGCTATGACTGCATCACTGTACTCCAGCTAGACCTTGTCTCAAAAAAAAAAAAAAAAAAGTGCTGCAATTGACATTACTTTATCATTTGAAAAGAGGGACAGACAAGAAAGGTATTTGGCATTTACCAAGCAATTACCCAGAATCCTCATCCCATCCTACCCCACCCTTCCCCTAAAAATGTATGTATATGTTTTATACCATAAAAAATACATCTATTTGGCTCTGGAACCAGATTGCTTGGGTTCAATTACCTGATCTAGCATTTGCTCCTGATGACTCAGTGCAGAAAAGCTCTGTAACTCAGTTTCCCCAGCTGTAAAATGGGGAATGGCGACTTTACTGGGCTGCCATGAGGGTAAAGGAGGGAACGTATATTTATGAAGCATTCAGAGCAATTCATGTTACATAGTAAGCTCTATATATTTGAGCTTATTATTACTGTCAGTACGATTTTCATCATCTTGCTGTTTCCAATGGGTACGATTTCTACATTCTCTTTCTTAAAGACCTTTAAATCCTTGGTATTCTCTCCACCACCACAGACAGCAGTGTCCATGTAGTTTAAATTTTCAAAGACTTCATGGATCCAATAAACATGACATTAACTAAGGGACAGTTTTCTTTCAGTGGATTGGAACCTAAAATGGCTTTTTTATTGTTATTATTGGCCAGGCTGGTCTCGAACTCCTGACTTCAAGTGATCCCCCCACCTCACCCTCCCAAAGTGTGCTGAGATTACAGGCATGAGCCACCATCCCCAGCCCTCATTCTCTTCTTTTATAAGGACACCAGTCACTGCATCTGCCCCCTCACCAGCAGCCCCCAATCCAGGATGACTCATCGTTACTTGATTACATTTAGAAAGACCACATTTCCAAATAAGGTCACATTCCTGGGTACTGAGGATTAAGATTTCAAATTTTTTCCCTGACTCAATTTTTTTTTTGAGTCAGGGCCTCACCCTGTCACCCAGGCTGGAGTACAGTTATGTGATTATAGCTCACTGCAGCCTCAAACTCCTGGGCTCAAGGGATCCCCTGACCTCAGCCTTCCAAGTGTCTGAGACTACAGGTGCACACCATCATGCCCAACTAATTTTTTTGTTTTGTTTTGTGTTTTTTTTTTTTTTGTACAGGTTAGGTCTCACTCTGTTGACCAGGCTGGTCTGACCTCAAGCGATCCTCTTGCCTTGGCCTCCCAAAGCACTGGGATTACAGGCGTTATCCCATGCCTGGCCCTCTTTCTACATCTCAATCATTGTATCATTAGCCTGAGCTGCGCATATTCCTTATTCTGCCCATCCCTGACCAACTTCCTCCTTTAACAGAACTTCCACCTCGATATCATGGGGCCTGCTGGGCACTGCAAACAGCCTAAGGAAAGTGGAAACTTTACTTCACCTTAAATTCTATTACAAAGTCTACATTGAACGTAATTTATATTTGAACTATAAAAATTTTCTGTAAGTTGACAAATGACCTATAAAGGACTCTACACCCTGAAGCAACGTTTTAGAAAGAAATCAATTGGTCCTTTTCTGCAGAAACCATTAACCATAGGAGAGATAAAGGAAAAACTTCAAAGTACTGATTGAACTTCCATGCCCATAGCTTAACTTCTAAAAGGCAACCATTCCATACTCTTAAACTGACTTAAGTTGCTATTACTGTTATTAAAGAGACCCTCAAAGCCAGAAGTTGAATCTTGACTGTAGCACTTGCACGTACACGCACACTCTTCAACTGAAACCACTCAGACTGTCCTAATGCTGCTCCGCATAGCAACACCACCTGGAATTTTACGTTTGTTTTTAAGCGTCAGTCGTAATCTTCACTTGCACCCAAACACACCGCACCTGTGAGAGCCACGTGACATTAAAAAAATCCCTTCAGTGAGGCCGGGCGTGGTGGCTCACGCCTGTAATCCCAGCCCTTTGGGAGGCCAAGGCAGGTGGATCATGATGTCAAGAGATTGAGCCCATCCTGGCTAACATGGTAAAACCCTGTCTCTACTAAAAATACAAAAATTAGCTGGGCGTGGTGACGCGTGCCTGTAGTCCCAGCTACTCGAGAGGCTGAGGCAGGAGGATCGCTTGAGCCGGGGAGGCAGAGGTTGCCGTGAGCTGAGATCGCGCCGCTGCACTCCAGCCTGGCGACAGAGGGAGACTGTCTGGAACAAAAAAATCCCTTCAGTGCCTGGATCCTTCCAGATTCAGATCCAAGAGAGATGACATTTGTCCCTCTCCGGAGACTGCACACCAAGATAAAGATTTCTTCTGGCCAGGCGCGGTGGGTCACGCCTGTAATCCCAGCACTTTGGGAGGCAGAGGCGGGTGGATCACCTGAGGTCAGGAATTTGAGACCAGCCTGGCCAACGTGTTCAAACCCTGTCTCTACTAAAAATACAAAAGTGGCCCGGCATAGTGGCTCATGCCTGTAATCCCAGCTACTCAGGAGGCTGAGGCAGGAGAATCGCTTGAACCTGGGAGGTGGAGGTTGCAGTGAGCCGAGATTGCGCCATTGCACTCCAGCCTGGGCAACAAGAGAGCAAAACTCCGTCTCCAAAAAAAAAAAAAAAAAAAAAAGAAAAAAAGATTTCTTCTGTGTGCATGGCTCAGGTCTGTGGTCCACTAGCGTCCTTCTTCAATCCGCTTCCAATCTATGGAATCAGGAAAGACTGAACGAACCTAGATTAATATTTTAGTATAACATAATACAGTGTTACTTACTATGGCATTGACCGTATATGCCCTTTTGCTCCTTGGAGGAAGACAATTAATAGCTATTATGTGAGTTAATAAAATAAGCCCAGGATTTATAACTAACCTGTTCCCATTGATTTTCCTTGTCTCATGCAGGCACAGAGCTGATCAAAACAGCAAAAGCAAAGCAGTGCCTCTGGCCCAGTTCTGAAGCCAACCTTCCTTAATCACCCAGACCCATCCCTGGTTAGGACTTGCTGTGGATCCTCAGGTGACTCCATCTCAGGATACAGGGACTGAGAGTGTGTATGCAACTTCTCAGACCCAGAAACCGTTGATTCTGCCTAAAAACACAGCAATAACCACATCCCACCCTCTTGATTTAAATGAAAGGGTTTGGGGGAATAAAAGATGAACTTCTTTTTTTCTTTGTCAGATCTTGCGCTCATTTGGTTCTGGTGGGGAACAACAGCTATAAGAGAACAAGTGTATTCAATTAGAATTAATTCCCCCTCTCTTATTCTCATAGCTGAGCAGGGCTCAAGTGCCTCTCATCTGAAAGAGGTAATAAGATTTTATCTGTCTCCTCATCTACCTTCTGCAAGTATACTTAACAAATTAGCTCTCGGGACTCTTCCAAATGGAGTTTTATGAGGAATTTGCTAAGGTAAACGTTTTAGACTTTGTACACAGTTCAGATTTCAGGGGCAGTACTGAAATCTGAACTGTGTTGCTAACTGTCCTGCCTTTCAACTCAAGACACAATAACTTTGAACTAAAATAATTATATTTTTGTTGTTTTCCAGTCTGTCCCCACGTCTATATCACCACCACCCCCAATCCCACCCCGCAGGAGCTAACTCCTCCTTCCTGTCCCTGCAAGATCAAAACTCCTCCTGCAAGCCCCGCTAGCTCTGTCTGCTCACCTTCGTGGCAGATATCGCTATTGTACTTTTATATTCATTTGTGTGATAAATACTTCAATGTCCACTTCTTCCACGAGCCCCTGAGCCCCTGGAGGACATGGACCACACCTAGTTTTTCTCACCGTTACATCTCCCTTGTCAGGCACATGGTAGGCGCTTAATAAGTATTTGGTGAACGAATGGCTTGTTTGGTGACAGTCCAAAGGCTGGGGGACAGAGGGAAAGCTCCCTCCTTTCGGGCCCCAGACTGGTGGCGCTGATGGAGAGGAGGCTAGGATAAGGCCTCCAGGACCAAAGCGCGAACCCGTAAGGCCCCTGCTAAAAAGACTTTCCTGAAGGCGGAGGAACTGCGAGAGTGCCTACGTTAGCCCAAGGCCTGACCTGACGATCCCAGGGACCCTCGCCCTAACTGGCCCCGCCTTCCGGGCCCCAAACCCGGACTCGGCCCCGCCCGAAGCTCCGGATCCTGGGGCCCGCCCCTGGTCCCGCGTCGGCGGACCGTGGGCTCGCTCCTGGACCTGCCTCAAACCCTCCGCAGGTAACGCCTCCCGAACTTGAGCCACATTCCGATCCCCTCCTCAAACCCCTCCCCGTTTCCCACGCCCTGGACCCCTCGCTCCGTCTCGGCCCCTCCCCAAGCCCAGCTAGGTCTGGGCCCCTGAGCCCAGCCCCGACCGGCCTCCCAGTCCCTGGGTCCCTCCCGACACCGGCCCCTCCCTAAGCTCCGCCTCCCAGGGCCCGCCTCCTGAGCGCAGCCCGCAGCCCGGACTCGGCCCCGCCTCCCGGACCCTGGACCCCTCCCCACGTGGGCCCGTCCTAAGTTCCGCCTCCCAGAGTCCGCGCACCGCCTGGCCATGTGCTACGACATAGTCAACGCCCCGCCCCGGCCCCGCCTCCTGAGCCCTTCTCTGGGTCTGGCCTTAGCCCCGCCCTAGGACCTGTCTCCTGGGCTCTGCTCCGAGTCCCGCCTCCTGAACCCAATGGCGTTTATCCCCGCCCTAATGCCCGCCTCCAGGACTCTTATCCTGCCCCCACGCAAGGCAGCGCCTCCAGGACGCGACCAACCTGGACGCTTCCGAAGACCAGCTTCCAGGATCGCCCTATGCTGACCCCGCCCCAGGACCCGCCAACCTGGACTCTACCCAGCACCTGCCCCAAAGACGCTCATCCTGGCCCCACCCCAGGCCCCGCCCTCCTATAAGCTCATCTTGGCCCCGCCCTAGAGTCCGCCCCCAGGACGCTCCTCCTGACCCTGCCCCCAGGCCCCGCCCCCTCTCAGCCCCCGCGCACTACCCTGGGCCCGCTCCCTTTTCAATCCAGGCCCGGCTTCCGCCCGGTCTCCTGGCAACTCTGCGGCCCCGCCCACATCATGACGCCCGAGGAGAACGCGGGTACCAAACTCTTGCTGCAGAGTTTCGAGAGCCGCTTCCTAGTGGCGCGCACACTGCGTTCCTTCCCCTGGCAGGTGGGCGGCGGGGCGAGCGGAGAGGCCCGCGGGGCTCGCGGAGTCCAGGGGCAGACGGGATGGGTCTCCGTGCTGAAACCCCCGGCGCTCCTGCCACGTGAGTTCCTGGGCTCTCCCTGGTCAGGGCCGCGAGACCCGGTCCCCGTCCCTGGGGCCTGGCCAGAGTCGCTCTCACCCATCCTGCCCCGCGAGCTGGCGGCAGAAGCTGGGGGCGTCTCCACAGTCTTGGGGTGCAGACGCGCGCTCGGTGTGGGGTACAGTTCACGATCATTTTCATGACTTTTTAAAGGCAGTAATCGTTCTGGTCACTGGGACACATCTGCCCTCGCCCATTCTAAAAAGTCAGCGCCCTCAGGCCCGCGGGTAACCACCTCCTCCTGAGCGCGGTGACCAGGTCAAAGGCTGTCCCTAGGGCCTCAGTGTTCTCATCTGTATGTCGAGCACTACATAGAATCAGCTCATGCGCTGAGGCTTTCACGCCTGTGATGGAAGAGATAGAGAAGGGGCTGGCCTCTCCTCTCCCTGGGGACCTGCCATTCTCAGCACAGGCACATGGCAGGCAGCAGCCTCCCTTCTGCCAGCAGAGGGGCTTAATGCACCCCGCTCCATTTGTAATTCATGTGCAGTGAGCTCACTGGGATGAGTCAGTTTGGATATATATTCCTCCCTGGGTCTGCCCCATTTTATGGGGTGTTGCTTAATCATTTGCGTTATTCCATTGACATAAAATATTTAGCACTCAGAGATCATTTCTGGTCAGGAGAAATTTATGCATTTTTAACCCAAAATAGAAACCTTCATAAAAGCATCATAGGTCTCCATTCAATATTGACTATAATTGTTCACATGCCCACGCTGAATGCTAACTTGGGCTCACCCTCAACACCCACGAGGTGGGTACTATTATTATCACTCACATTTGACCAGAGGGATTGTTTGATTAGGGTGTAGTAGTTGAGAGTTCAGACCCAGGAGACAGCCTGCCTGCTTCGAATCCTGGCCCAACCCCTGGCCCTGTGTGACCTTGGGCAAGTGACTGCATCTCTCTGTGCTGTTGTTTTCTTATTCATAAAATGGTTGATATAATGATACCTACCTCTTAGGGTTGTTGTCAGCGTTGAGTACAGAAGCCTGTGGATCAGTGCCTGGCTCATGGTAAATGTATGTCGGTGTTAGCTAGTGTTTTTACTCAGTCTCAAAATGTTTAATAAATGCCTTCTGTGAGCCAAGCACCATGGATCAGCAGTACCCATGATAGATGAGGCTCTGCTTGCATGGGAGAGACAGAGAATAAACAAATAAATGAATAAACAAGAAAAGACCAGATGAGAGTGGCTTTAAAGCCAAGAAAACAGGGGAATGGTGAATGGAGCAACTGGGGAGAAGAGTCACCAAAGTCGGGGAATCAGGGAAGCCTTCCCCAAAGAGGTGGCATTTGAACTGGGGCCTGAGTGGTGAAGCAGCCAGCCATGGGAAGGGTTTGGGGAACAGGATATGCAAAGGCCCTGTGGTGGAAACAAGCCAGCTGTGGTTGAGGAACAACAGCAAGGTAGCCAGTGTGGCTGGAGTGGAGTGAGCAGTGTGGGCCAGGGATGAGGGAGAATAGTCCAGAGAGAGGGATTAGGACCAGGTCTTGTAGGGCCTTTTATGGCATGGACGGAGCTCTGAAGCAATGAAATGCCTTGCGGTGTGTCACATACCAGCCGAGACAGTCTGCCTAACTCAGGAGCCAAAGCTTGCTGCTGGACTTGAGGCCCCTGTAAGAGGACAATGTAACCCAGGCTGGTATGGGCACATTCTGCATTTCCACTTAAACTCAGATGGCAAGCCCATCAAACCTTGGTGCCATGGCTGACGTGGTAATTCCTGGCTGACCAGTGCAACCAGGGAGCTGGCCCATGACCCGGGTGGCCGCTAAGTAGCCAGGACTAATGCTGCCAAGAGTCAGCCTTCTTCCTGTGACTCATCCAGGTGCACGCTGCGACATCTGAAGGTCAGGCTTTCAGCCGCTGTGGCTTCCACTTCCAACTGGCTCCACGTCCCCAGGGAGGGATCACATAGAGCTTTGCCAACACATTCTATTGTGTGTTTTAATGTTCCTGTGAATGCGCCCTTGAGATTTCTCTCTCTCCCGTCCACACAGAGCTTAGAAGCAAAGTTAAGAGACTCATCAGATTCTGAGCTGCTGAGGGATATTTTGCAGAAGGTAAGAATTCCAGAGTCCCTGGGACTCATGACCCTGCCTCCTGAATCTCTCCGGAACACCTGAGAGAAGAACCGCAGGTGTGCTTGTCCCCTTTAAAAACACCCCTGTTCAAAGAACAAAACCATTGAGTCAGCACTGCAGGTGGGTGTCAGCACCTCCGACAGCTCCTGCGCTTTCGTTTTCTATCTAAGACTTAGACAAAGACATCAGAATATACAAAAATCTGCAAGAGAGGGGAAATCTAGGGAATGTTTTTTAAACCATCCTCAGCAAAAACAGAGATGACAGGTGCAAAACAGCTTCTAGCATTTGGTAGATGCTCAGAGACTTTCTTTTTTGCATTCATGAGGCCTGTCCCGCCCACTCCTGTCTCCTCTACACCTAAATGGGCCCTTGCTTTGCCCAGGGTGGGGTGTGGACTCAAGTGCATCTGCATGCAGGTGAGAGCCAGGATTACCACCCGGCCCAGCCACAGGCTGACCTTGGCCTTGAGGGCCAAGTGCAGATCACCCTGCATCCTGGGTCTTCACCTTCGAAGGGCCATGAGCCCTTCAGAAAAGACAAAGCAATAGACTCCCTCCCAGAAAGAAGTGCACCAGAATACATTTTCCATACAAACTCAGGGGAGGCAGACATCCTCCACGCCCACCCACCCAGCCCATCCTAGGAGCCCCGGTGAAGAATTCCTGTGCTAGAGGTGAACCAAGATTATCCACGTGGAAAAGATGCAGCCACAGCAGGGAAGACTTTCAGGGCAATACAGTAGGTCAGGCTTCGAGTATGGAGATACCTGAAGTTATCTCGCACCCTGCTCTGAGTTTCACCCTGAGCCTCACTCTCGTAGGTGGTGAAGCATGAGATGTAGGGAGAGCTGCTTTAAAACCCAGCACAAGGCTGGGTGCACTGGCTCACACCTGTAATCCCAGGTCTTTGGGAGGCTGAGGTGGATGGATCACCTAAGGTCAGAAGTTCAAGACCAGCCTAGCCAACATGGCAAAAACCCATCTCTACTAAAAATAAAAAAAAATTAGCTGGGCGTGGTGGTGCATGCCTATAGTCCCAGCTACTCGGGAGGCTGAGGCAGGAGAATCGCTTGAACCCAGGAGGCGGAGGCTGCAGTGAGCCAAGATCGGGCCACTGCACTCCAGCCTGGGCAACAGAGCGAGACTCTGGGTCAGAACAAATGAAAAACCAGCACCAGCATGAAGAGCCTGTGTATTGCGTGGGGTACTTTGCTGCCCTTGGGCAGAATCTGCATCCCTCCCAGCCAGCAGGCACTGCGGACTATCTCCTCCCTCTCCCTCCAGGCTTCTGTTTTCCCACCATCCCCCCTCCTGCTGCACCAGTCCCTCTGCCCTCCGTTCCAAGTGCCAGCCCGTGGCCACCTCAGAGCTTGCACAGGCTGTTCCCACTGCCTGGAACTTGCTCATCCTGCACTTGGCTTCTCTCGGCTTTAGCTGGAGTCACCCTGAGCTTCCCCTCCCCTCCATCCTGTCCCCAGGGACACACGCTCCCAGAGAGCAGTTGCTGAGTGGGCCTTCCCGCCTCTTCCATAAAGCCAGATAGTTGGCGACTGTCCTTACTGCAAGCCCTGGTTCACACTGGCTCCCCTGGGAGGGAGGTGGTTTGGGCCCACATGCCCTGTGTTCCTGCTCAGAATGGGCGTTAGAAATGCTGCCATAGCCTGTGCCACTGCAGTGGAAGCATTTTTAGGAAACGGCTTATATCTTAAGACAAACTTCAGATGCGTGGAGCCAGAACGCTGTGTCCATCTGCATCTCTGCTGAGGGATCGGGTAGCCTGGAGTTTGCCCTCTGCTGTGTTGGCTTGAAGCTCATAGGAGACTTAAGACGGGCTCTCGAGCAACCAACGTTCTGTCCTTTGCCGTAGACTGTGAGGCATCCTGTGTGTGTGAAGCCCCCGCCGTCAGTCAAGTATGCCCGGTGCTTTCTCTCAGAACTCATCAAAAAGGTCAGTTATGGGCAGTGTCCGCCCAGTAGCTGGACAGCATAGCCACCGGTGTGCTGCACACTCCGTCCTTCCCAGGCCCTGGGCCTGCTTTGCAAACCCAGGCATGTCAGGGGCCTCCTCAGGCAACTGGCTGCAGCTGAGTGTGACCCATGGGAGACAGTGCAGGGTGGGAATAAGGGGAGGCCAGCGTCTCTCCCTGAGTCTGCCCTCTGGGGGTTCCACAGCAGCTGCTTCTCTGGGGCCCCAGCTCCTAGCATATGGATTCTCATTCCTACCAGGCTGGACCAGCCCACAGCACTGGAACCATCACCCACACCCTCTGTCCTGCCCACCAAAGGGTTTGGAGTTTCCTGCTCTTGTCTGTCTCTGGGTTGCCCCACGGGCCCCTGTTGGAAGTTTTAGCTCTTGCCATACCTTTGGAACTAGTTCCTCTGGTGAATTCTCTGCATTGATCCTGCTGGAATGAGCTCTTTCCTGACTGATATAGGATGGATTTTATTTTTTACTTACTTATTTAGTTTTTTGAGACAGTCTCACTGTGTTGCGCAGGCTGGATTACCATGGCACAATCTCGGCTCCCTGAAACCTCTACCTCCTGGATTCAAGCAACTCTCGTGCCTAAGAAGCTGGGACTACAGGCACATGCCACCATGCCTGGCTAATTTTTGTATTTTTAGTAGAGACAGGGTTTCACCATGTTGTCCAGGCTGGTCTCGAACTCCTGACCTCAGGTGATCCGCCTGCCTCGGCCTCCCAAAGTGCTGGGATTACAGGCATGAGCCACCGCACCTGGCCTAGGATGGATTTTAAAGATGGGCCCGAACATGCAGGGTTTGACATGAGGATGTCGAAAGGCCGTTCCTTAGTAGGCAGTAGCAGACCTGCTGAGTGAAAGGGCCACACTTTCAGCAAATAAGCAATCCCCTGCTTCTCCAATACCTGCTTTCTCCCTAGTTCTCCCCAAAAGGGTGCATTTGTGGTCACCAGCAGGTCTGCCCTGTGCCACCAGGAGAGGGCAGCAGTCACCCAGTGTACCCTGCTGCTGCCCTGAGAATTGTAGGACGGGGCCAGCTGTGGAGAAGCAGCCTGCTGACAGCCACAGCCTGCAGCATGGGCCGCCCTCACAGTTCTGCCTGGGCTCACTTAAAATCACCTTTTGTTTTCCTCCTCTCTGTGTTTGATCCAAACACAGAGCTCTCTGTCATGGTCATGTGGCAGCTCTCACGGAATCCTTGTCTCCTGCCCTCGACTACACCTAACCCTCCCCTCTCAACACCTCTTGTTGAAGGCCCTCCCTTCCAGGTTTCCCTACCAAGTGGAATAATTTTATTTTTAGAGACAAGATCTCTGTTGCCCAGGCTGTCCTCGAACTCCTGGGCTCAAGCAGTCCTCCCACGTCAGCCTCTAGAGTAGCTGGAACTATTCGGCACACAACACCACGCCCAACGAAATGAATATTTTATATACCAGCTGGCTGGCATTACACCATTTCATCCCAAATCTCCCCTCCAAACTTGGTGAAAATCATCTGACCATTTTTACAGATTAGAACGAAAGCAAACAAGCTCTCACTCTGTCTGCCCCCAGCATGAGGCTGTCCACACGGAGCCTTTGGATGAGCTGTACGAGGCGCTGGCAGAGACTCTGATGGCCAAGGAGTCCACCCAGGGCCACCAGAGCTATTTGCTGGTATGAGAAGGGCACCCTCCTCCCCCTCACAGCCCAGATACCCTTCCTGCACAGACAAAGTGAAAACGTGGGTGTGGGTTCAAATCCTGACTCACCCATTCTGCAGTCTTAGATATGAGGTCCATTAACCTTCTTTAGCCTCAGTTTCCCTGTCTGTAAATCAAGCACTTCAATAACAACAGCATGTCTCGTGGGGTTGTTGGGCACTTGTCCAATAGGTGACACACACTACCTGCTTCACAAGGACCTGGTGCCCAGTCCTCAAAGAATACTTGACAGGGCTGGATATGGTGGCTCATGCCTGTAATCCCAGCACTTTGGGAGGTCAAGGCGGGTGGATCTGAGGTCAGGAGTTCGAGACCAGCCTGGCCAATATGATGAAACCCTGTCTCTACTAAAAATACAAAAATTAGGCCAGGCGTGGTGGCTCATGCCTGTAATCCCAGCACTTTGGGAGGCTGAGGCGAGGGAATCACCTGATGTCAAGAGTTTGAGACCAGCTTGGCCAATATGGTGACACACCATCTTTACTAAAAATACAAAAATTAGCAGGGTGTGGTAGTGGGCGCCTGTAATCCCAGCTACTCGGGAGGCTGAGGCAGGAGAATCTCTCGAACCCGGGAGGTGGAGGTTGAAGTGAGCCGAGATCGTGCTGTTGCACTCCGGCCTCAGCAACGAGAGTGAATCTCTGTCTCAAAAAAAAGTACAAAAATTAGCCGGACATGGTGGCACACGCCTGTAGTCACAGCTACTTGGGCAGCTGAGGCAGGAGAATTGCTTGAACCCAGGAGGCAGAGGTTGCAGTGAGCCAAGATCGTGCCACTGATTCCAGCCTGGGTGACAGAGCTAAAAAAAAAAATAAGATAAAACATAGATACAGAAAACCACAAAGGAAAAACATAGCATATTGAATCATCACAAGGCAGTCACCCCTTCATTGCCACACCTGGCCCCTGGCCACCACTGACCTGTGCTCCATCGCCAGAAATCCTTTGTCTCAGGAATGTTCAATGGATGGAATCCTGTGTGGCCTGAGATGAGTGTCTTTCATGCCACGTGACACCCTTGAGGCCCGTGAAAGCTGTTGGTATGTCAACAGTTAGCTGCTTCTCATTGCTGAGTGGTGATTGGTCCTGTCATTGTTTATTCAGCCATGTGGTGGATGGCTACTTGTCTTCTAAGCCACTTGCCTTCTGATCGCTGGACTGACTCTCTCGCCCTCTCTTGCTGCAGCCCTGGGGAGGCTCGGTCACACTCTGAGAGCACAGCCATCATCTCCCACGGTACCACAGGCCGGGTCACATGGGACACCGCCCTCTACCTTGTAGAATGGGCCATCGAGAACCCGGCAGCCTTCATTAACAGGTGACCTCGGGGCACAGGGCAGGGCACCGAGGCGGGCTTACCCTGGTGCAGTCGAAGACACGGTCCCCTTTCTTCCCGCCAGGACTGTCCTAGAGCTTGGCAGTGGTGCCGGCCTCACAGGCCTTGCCATCTGCAAGATGTGCCGCCCCCGGGCATACATCTTCAGCGACCCTCACAGCCGGGTCCTCGAGCAGCTCCAAGGGAATGTCCTTCTCAATGGCCTCTCATTAGAGGCAGACATCACTGGCAACTTAGCCCCAGGGTGACAGTGGCCCAGCTGGACTGGGACGTAGCTACGGTCCATCAGCTCTCTGCCTTCCACCCAGATGTTGTCATTGCAGCAGGTAATGCCCAGCCCCGGGCATCCTGTGCAGGCCGTGTCCTTGCAGCTCTACCCAGCTCTTGGCTCTGGGAAAAGGGAACAATGGACGCTGTCGGGCATGGACGTGATGGGGCTTCCAGAAGAGTTACTCTGGGCCTCCAGGGTGACATCAAAGGACAGGGGTGCCTCTTAAGGTGACCTTCAAGCCACAGCCCTCTTGTTGGAGACAGGCATACTCTCATTACAGTCGGCACCACATGGCTCTTTCCCAGAGCCATGCCCTCTGTCCTTCAGAGACCACAGGAGGAAAACAACCACTTCTGGGATGAGGCCAGGGCCCTTGAGAGAAGGTGGTGTTTAGCTGGGCCACTGAAAACCCCTCACCCCTGCCAGCACACTCAGTCCCCTCTCTGGTGGAAGAGAGCTCTGCCTGTGGTCCTGGGTCCCAGCCCTGAAACCCACAGGTCCAGCGGTGGCCAGAGACACAGGCCCACCCCTGCAAGCCAGCAGACCAATCGGCAGATACCTGAAACACGAATTTCACGGCAGGATCAGGCTTTCTGTCATTCAAAGCCCTCTAGATAGGCTGAGAACCAGAGCTGGGTTTTTAAGGAACACCAGTGAGTCTGGAGATTTTTTTCTTTTGCTTCGGTCTTTTGAAGCTTTCTCTACCAAGGGTTCTCCTTTTTCACCCAAGTAATTGCCTTTCCGTCTAATGGCCCAAATGGTCAAGTGGCATCTCATAGTCTCATATGACTGCTGCCTCTCTGGCCTCACCCTGCTGCTGAGGTCAGCATGAACTGGAGCTTTCCACTTGTCCCTTACAGTAACCTGAAGCTTTCACCGTAGACTTGCTGTATTGCCCAGAAGCCATCGTGTCGCTGGTCGGGGTCCTGCAGAGGCTGGCTGCCTGCCGGGAGCACAAGCGGGCTCCTGAGGTCTACGTGGCCTTTACCGTCCGCAACCCAGAGACGTGCCAGCTGTTCACCACCGAGCTAGGTGAGCCCCCACGCCCACCCGGGCCTGCATGGTCCCCGAGCTGTCCCTGCAGGACTCCAGTGGAAGTGAAAGAACTGGGCACCGGGGAAAAGCTAGCATGCCCCACACTCCCACACCACGCGGGGAACTCGGGCAGAGGCCAGTGAGCAGGGTGGGCTCGGGGCGTGGGGGGCTTGAGGCAGGAGGAGGACACCTCAGCACAGGGAGGGAGAGTCTGAGCCCAGCAGCCCTACTATGTGCTTCAGAGCAGGGTTCTCTAAGCCCTTGGGCCTCGGTTTTCTCATCTATAAAATGCAGGTGGTGGGAGGGGCAGTCGGATTCAGGGCTGGACACACCTGTGGCCTGCAGGACGCTGGAGCACAGGCTGTACAGGCGGATCCTCCACGCCACTGTCCTGAGCACCCAGTTGATGGAAGACAAGTAGGGTGACTATAGAGGAGGGAAACTGGCCCCGTAGTGGGCCAGTCACTGTCCTCAGACCTGACATTTGTCAGCCCCCAGCACCTGTGAGGGTGTGCTGTCATTGTCCCATCTCACCGACAAAGACACTAGGACACACAGAGGCCAAGCGACCCCCGAGCTCCTGCAGACTGCAGCCCGGCCACCTGGCTCTCGTGCCTCCACACTATACCCAAGCCCCCCATTGCCACCAGCCTCTGCCCCAGCTCCCCCTGAGCACAGCCCCTCCTGGCAGCCATGTGCACAGATGCACCCGCAGCAGCCTCTGCCTGCACACAGAGACACGGACGACCCAGTGCCTGTCCACGTGGGGCAGCCCGTTAACTACAGAGTCAACAAACAAGCCAGCACACGAAGGCACACTGGGTTCCACGACAGAGTCCCGCACAACCTCGCACAGGAGGCTGGCCGGGCAAGGGGCTCAGGCCTGTCATCCCAGCACTTTAGGAGGCTAAGGCAGGAGGACTACTTGACCCCAGGTGTTCAATACCAACCTGGGCCACAGAGTGGGACCACATCTTCACAAAACATACAGAAACTAGCCAGATGTGGTTGCACATGCCTGTAGTCCCAGCTACTCGGGAGGCTGAGGTGGGAGGATGGCTTGAGCCCACGAGGTGGAGGCTGCAGTGAGCCCTGATCTCACCACTGCACACCAGCGTGGGCAACAGAGCAAGACCCTGTCTCAAAAAAGCAAAAAAAAAAAAAAAAAAAAAAAAAAAAGGAAGTCTTTCTTCAGATACTTAAGTGAAAAAAAACCTGCAATATCTTTTAAGTGAAAAAAACAGTGCCAAGCAGCACACATAGTATAAGCCCCAACCAACTTTTTTTTTTTTTTTTTTTTGAGACAGAGTCTGGCTGTGCCCGGCCACTATCTAAGCTTTGTGAAGAGTGAGTTGAGTGAGCAGCCAGGTACATGTGGGTTCAGATCTCTGTTTCTGTCCTGCTGTGCCAAGTGCTGGGGCAGATGCAGGCAGAGAGTGGACAGCGGCATGGTGCCTGCTGCTAGCCATTTCTATGCAAAACAAGACTTCTGGTCCCATCCTGGAGGCCAATTCTAGGTACGTGGGTGGGCCTGGGAACCTGTGAAGCAAGTAAACTGACTTAGACGCCCCCCACCCCGCCAGGCCTGTCCTAGCAGCCCCACACAAAACGCTCATGTCCTGTCCCCAAACACCGCCATCCTCAAACACGTGCTTTGTTTCCAGGCCAGGCCGGGATCAGATGGGAAGCGGAAGCTCATCATGACCAGAAACTGTTTCCCTACGGAGAGCACTTGGAGATGGCAATGCTGAACCTCACACTGTAGGACTCACACACGACTCCAACAGGATTGTGAGAATCAAGTCACTCTCGTGGGAAGAATTTTTATATGGGAAAGCGGATAAAACTTTCATTGGACTAGAATGTTTGGAGATTGTTAAATTCCAAATCAGGAACCACAAACTGCCCTCTAATAAGACATCAGCTGTCTAAGCGTGTGGGTGCCCCTTTCTGCCAGCAGTTCTGGTTCTTAAGAAAATCACCATAAATCAGACATGAAAATTTTGGCTCCAAAAATAGCATTTTCTCTCTGCAAATAAAAACGTGTGTATCAAGGATGACGTTCCCCCCACGTGGACACACTTGGTTCCTCAGAAAGCCAAGCCCGCTGCAGCTGCCACATCCCTGGACACACTCGGTTCCTCACAAAGCCAAGCCCGCTGCAGCTGCCACATCCCTGGACTCACTCTGTTCCTCACAAAGCCAAGCCCGCTGCAGCTGCCACATCCCTGGACTCACTCGGTTCCTCAAAAAGCCAAGCCCGCTGCAGCTGCCACATCCCAGGGCTTATGGTGCAGTAGGTGCTTTTTTCAAGACAGGAATCAAAGTGCTGGGAACACGGCAGAAAGGTTACACCTGGAGACCAAATGCAGGATGAGGAGTACTGCAGAGGTCACAGGGAAGTCACAGAACAGTAATACATTAGCAGGGGCATGGGGCGTGAAGAGTAGAAGAAGACAGGAAGCGTTTCAGAGACTCCAAAGAAGAAATCAGGGCCAACCACAGCTTCCCGGGTCATTCACCAGGTGGCACCACTGCTGTCATTTCAGCTTCTGGCTACTGGGAGGTGCTGCTCAAAAGGGTTTGCCCTGAGACTCCAAGAAGAAGCTGCGGGAAGGACAGCAGCGGCCCTGGGGTTTTAGCCTCTGGCCCAGGAGTTATGTGTCCATAACCAAAGGGAGCACAGTCTGCACCCAGCTCTCATCCCATCAGAGCTGCTGCGACTCCCGCAGGTTCTTCCGGAACTGGTTTAGCTTGCCAGCAGGATCAGGAAAGTTTGAGAAAAGCATCTGCAAAATGCTAAAGAGCAGAGCTTACCTCATTGCCTGTTCCCACCCCATCCCAGGTCATCACCTGGCTGACCCCAGGTCCCCGACCCAACAACAACCCCTCCCAAGTGTGGGGAAAAGCAAGAGAGATCAGATTGTTACTGTGTCTGTGTAGAAAGAAGTAGACATAGGAGACTCCATTTTGTTATGTACTAAGAAAAATTCTTCTGCCTTGAGATTCTGTTAATCTATAACCTTACCCCCAACCCTGTGCTCTCTGAAACATGTGCTGTGTCAACTCAGAGTTAAATGGATTAAGGGCGGTGCAAGATGTGCTTTGTTAAACAGATGCTTGAAGGCAGCATGCTCCTTAAGAGTCATCACCACTCCCTAATCTCAAGTACCCAGGGACACAAAAACTGCGGAAGGCCGCAGGGACCTCTGCCTAGGAAAGCCAGGTATTGTCCAAGGTTTCTCCCCATGTGATAGTCTGAAATATGGCCTCGTGGGAAGGGAAAGACCTGACCGTCCCCCAGCCCGACACCCGTAAAGGGTCTGTGCTGAGGAGGATTAGTAAAAGAGGAAGGAATGCCTCTTGCAGTTGAGACAAGAGGAAGGCATCTGTCTCCTGCCTGTCCCTGGGCAATGGAATGTCTCGGTATAAAACCCGATTGTATGCTCCATCTACTGAGATAGGGAAAAACCACCTTAGGGCTGGAGGTGGGACCTGCGGGCAGCAATACTGCTTTGTAAAGCATTGAGATGTTTATGTGTATGCATATCTAAAAGCACAGCACTTAATCCTTTACATTGTCTATGATGCCAAGACCTTTGTTCACGTGTTTGTCTGCTGACCCTCTCCCCACAATTGTCTTGTGACCCTGACACATCCCCCTCTTTGAGAAACACCCACAGATGATCAATAAATACTAAGGGAACTCAGAGGCTGGCGGGATCCTCCATATGCTGAACGCTGGTTCCCCGGTTCCCCTTATTTCTTTCTCTATACTTTGTCTCTGTGTCTTTTTCTTTTCCAAATCTCTCGTCCCACCTTACGAGAAACACCCACATGTGTGTAGGGGCAACCCACCCCTACACCAAGTCCCTAACTCCCTCACTTGGACTTGAGACCCTTCACAGCCCAGCAGCGCTATGCCTCCAACTTGACATCATGCTTTCTGGAAACTTCCCCGTATGTCCCACTTTCCCACACTTGGTGCGCTGGAGCACCTTCCGGCCTCTGCATGCTGTACGTTCCCCTGTGAGCACCCTCCTCTCTGTCTCTGGCCAACACAGTCCCACCCATCTGTGGGTAACAAGGGGGTGTGGGTGTTCTTTACAGCCTTGCTAAACTGTCTGAATCAAGGATCACAAACTACAGCCTGCAGGCCAAATCCAGCCCACAGCCTGTGATTGTGAATAAAGCTTTATTGGAACAAAGCCACACCCCTTAATCTACAGATGATCTGTGGCTACTTTCACACCACAACAGAGTACCATGGTTCTGACAGAGACTGGGGTACCCTGTCTAAATGACTTCTGACCTGGACTTTTACTGAAAATCCTCCCAATCATTCTGTTGACAAGAATGATGTATTACTTTTTGCAATAAGAAACAGGTAACCTTTGCAGAATTCCACCCATCTTTCAAGTCTGGTCCCAGAAGTTCCCTTTGCCCACACACCTACCTGATCCGATCACTTCCTAAACTGCAGCCTGGCCCACCCGGCTCCAGCATCATTTGTGGAGTGTCAGCTCCATAAATCCAGAGGGCAGGTGGGGTTGTGTCCTAACTTTCCCGAGCCTACTGTACCGAAACGGGACAGCAGAGTAGGAGGCCTCTGTGACTTCTGCTCCCTCCCTAGCTTTTCCACCAGACCCCCCATGGTCCCACCCTGGCTGTGGGAAGCCGGGAGCAGGGAGCGTGGCTCGATGCCAGTCTCCAGAACCCTGCCCACCTTGGCGTGGTGGCAGACATGTCTACCTGCAGCTGAGCTGCCATTTCCTCTGAGTCCTCAAAACCAGGCCGTTTTCTTCATGTTTCACCAGCTCATGTAAACTGCAGAGAGAAGGAAGGGAGCCTGAGAGCTGCCTGGAGAAGACACCAGAACCCTGGGGTGCCCAGCTGGTCTCCCACCCACCCCATGCTAAAGCCAGGCTGGGGTTTGGAACAGGGAGTGTGGTTTCTGGGAGCTGGTTCTTAGATTTGGCATCTGAAGGGTATAAAGGCCTGGGGGTGTGCACATCAAAATGTCTAAACCAATTTGAGGAGGGAGCCTTAAGGAAGGTTTGTACCTTCTGTGCTGGATGCTCTTCAAGTACTGAAGAATTATTTTTGCATGTTTTTCTTAATTCCATGGCCATGGAACAAGTAAAGGCAACCCTCTGGGGACTGGTTCAGCACATAAAAGATGACTTTTCTAGGACACCAGATTTGATCCCGACATTCCCTGAGCTCAGCTCACACGAGGGGCTCGCATCCCTGAATCCCATCCAGGAGCCGGCTCCTGAGCAGGGGCCAAGGGCTTAACTTGTGCTGGGGCTACTGCTTCTAGAATCTCCTCTAATGCCACCCTTCCAAACACCCGTCTATGCTGGATGGAGTGAGGCCACAGCATGACACTCATTTAACTCATTCAAACCCACCATGTCAGCTTGTCCAAAAGGGACATGGTGGGAGAGAAAAACAAAGAAAACCATGTAAGCCTGCAGGCATTTCCTGCCAATTCTACTCTAGGAGCAAAAGCCCCGAGTGGAGTTCTAGTATTTAGGGTGCTTTTTTTTTCCCTATTGGGTTGGTGCAAAAGTAATTGCCATTTTTAATGGCAAAAACCGTGATTACTTTTGTACCAACCTAAATATAGCATGAGCTCTAAATGGAAGCACCTACTTCAGTGAGGCTCAGCCCAGCCACAGTAACGGCAGGGCTCCTCCTCATGGCCTCCAGTGTGTGCTGGACTGACCGAGGGTCAGGGCCTCACTTTGGGCAGCTCACTCTGCACTGCTTCCCCGTCAGCGGTGGATCTGTGAAGCTATCCCCAGAAAGATTCGGGTTCTGCTCCTACCACTTGAAGTTCATGGCACACGCAGGCAAACAGCACCTGAACATGTCCACCACCTTCATGGGCAGGTCCAGGCCACTGGAGGATGTGTCCAGACAGACACCCAGGTCCACCGACCCTGCTAGGCAAGAGAGGTGGGTAAGACCGCTGGTCTCTGCCCTGGGAACACAAATCCTCCCAGCACAGTGAGACAACATCCCCCGAGGGGAGTGAAAATTGGATAAGGCCCCTGACAGCCCCAAGCACAAGTGGCTTAAGCTGGCTAAGCAGCCACATGGCCTGGCTGGGACATCTGAAAATGTAAGTTGACACTTTTTCTACGTAACCACAATTTGTTTTTTTGTTGTTGTTGTTTTGTTTTGTTTTGAGACAGAGTCTCACTCTGTCACCCAGGCTGGAGTGCAGTGGCACAATCTCAGCTCCCTGCAACCTCCACCTCCCAGGTTCACCTCCCGCCTGTAATCCCAGCATTTTGGGAGGCCAAGGCGGGTGGATCACCTGAGGTCAGGAGTTCAAGACCAGCCTGGCCAACATGGTGAATCCCCATCTCTACTAAAAATAAATACAAAATTAGCGATGCTAATTCGTGGCACGTGCCTGTAATCCCAGCTACTCAGGCGGCTGAGGCAGGAGAATCGCTTGAACCCGGGAAGGCAGAGGTTGCAGTGAGGCAAGATCGCGCCATGGCACTCCAGCCTGGTCTACAAGAGCGAAACTCCGTCTCAAAATAATAATAATGATGATGATAATAATAATAATAATAATAATAAACCACATCACACCCACCACAAACCAGCTGTCAGTGTGAAAATAAAGCCAAATAGCTTAACATTTCTAAAGACTACCTGGGGCCAGGCATGATGGGTCACGCCTGGAATCCCAGCACTTAGGGAGGCCAAGGCGAGAGGATCATTTGAGGTCAGGAGTTCAAGACCAGCCTGGACAACATGGTGAAACCCAGTCTCTACTAAAAATACAAAAATAAGCCAGCTGTTGTGGTGGACTCCTGTAATCCTGTAATCTACTTGGGAGGCTGAGGTGGGTGAATTGCTTGAACCCAGGAGGCGGAGGTTGCATGAACTGAGATCGTGCACTCCAGCCTGGGCAACGGAGCAAGACTGTCTAAAACAAAGACTAGCTGGAGAATCCTGCCAGGAAAAGGCGCTCAGACTCCAACTGCTCTGCTCACTGGAAGCTGGAAGATGCAGCTCTAGAGACGCATCAGGACCAAGCCACGACTCCCCACTTGGAGAAATCAACGGGGAAAGAGATGGAGGCAAAGGAGAACCATCTCACTGGGAGAGGAGACGCTGTTTGACACATCGTCCCTGTTCCTCCCAAAGCCACTGCCCTCCCACACCTGGGCAACAGTGGCCCCAAACCCAGGCCCAGCCCTCCTGCAGGAAGGAAGAGGACGGAATGGAGGGCGTGGCAGACTGAAAGGACGTGGCCTCCTCAAACCCCTTGGTAAATGGCCTCTGGGGCGACCTGGCAGGGAGGGGCTGGCACACCAGGAGGTAGCCTCCTCCCGGGAGTTCAGCCAGAGCCCAGGTCCTGTCCCCAAGTGGCCCCCAGAGCCACCTTTTCAGAAAAAGTACATCATGCCCACCCCTGCTCCCCCTGCTTAAGGCCCCGCCTCCTCCCTGAGCCTCCTGCTGGCCTCTCACCTAGAAGCGGGGGTAGTCCTCGGCCCTGCAGTCAGGGGGTGCAGACCTGGATGTGCTGGAAATGCTTCTGGTGGATGAGGCAGCTGTAATACTCCCTCAGAGGCCCTTTGCCTTCACAGAGAAGAGCAGACACTGCCATGGACCCGTCTCTGTCCCTGCCATGTGGCCCCCGGCCCAAGACACTCCCTCTAGGAGGGATCCTTTCCCCAGAAGCTCCACCCCTCGGCAGCTCCAGTCAGGCCCCATCTGTGCCCTTCCAGAAGCAACCCAGGAGCCCCGAGACCTGCAGGGATGTGTGCACCCTGACCCCTGACGCCTAACCCTGCACCTGCAGCCAGCTGGCCTCGGGCTGCAAACATGGCGGGGTAAGCACTGGCCTGGCACCTGACCGCCCACTGGGTGGACCCAGCCTTCTGTCTGTGTTGTGCGCAGGGGACACGAGGACTCCCCCTGCCCTGGCACAGCCCCCAGAGCACATGGCGCAGGTTCCAAGCTGCCCCTGCCTTGCCACAGCCCCCAGAGCACATGGTGCGGGTTCCAAGCTGCGCCTGCCTTGCCACAGCCTCCAGAGCACACGGCGCAGGTTCGAAACCACTCCTGGGAGCCTAGAGGCCAAAGGAGGGAGGAGAGCAGGACCAGCAGCTGGCCCAGACCCTGCCTCTTCCCACACCACTTCCGCTTTTCTCCCTCCTCACTGACTCACCTTGAAAGGGCTCAGCAGCAGTAACTGAGGGACAGGGGCTCTTCCGTTTGAAAAATTAAAAGAGGCTTGGTTAAGACACCAGTGACATGACCGGGCACAATGGCTCATATCAATAATTCCAGCATAGTGGGAGGCCAAGGCGGGTGGATCACCTGAGGTCAGGAGTTCAAGACCAGCCTGGCCAACATGGCGAAACCGTGTTTCTACTAAAAATACAAAAATAAGTTGGGTGTGGTGGGCACCTGTAGTCCCAGCCACTCGGGAGGCTGAGGCATGAGAATTGCTTGAATGTGAGACGTGGAGGTTGCAGTGAGCTGAGATCACACCACTGCACCTCAGCCTGGGCAGAGATTTTGTCTCAAAAAAAAAAAAAAAAAAACAGACACCAACGAAGAAACAAGAAAAAAAAAAGATGCTTGGAAACTACTGAAAAATTAGAAAGTTTGGTATCTACAGATTCACATCTGGGCTCCCTGCCCTGCTGTGAAACTCTCTGAGCCTCAGTTTCCCACATGTAAAGCAGTATAAGACCCTATGGCAGAGAGCTGCAGTGAGGATTAAGGATACAAGATCGTGGCAAGCACAGGGTAAAGGCGACGTACCCCTCCTTGGACTCCAATACCTGGAGTCGCAAGAAGAGCTGAAAAAGGAGCCAGGCACTGAAGGACAAAGCGGTGTTGACTTTGTTCATCTGTGTTTCCCAGTGCGGTCCAATTGACGGTGGTTTCCAAGCGCCTCCTGGAGGAGAAAACACATGAGGGTGTGGTCAGGGTTCTCTGCTGACAGACCTACCGTGGGGAAGAAAGAGAAACTCTGAAGATGGATCATGGCCATGACTGCATGTCAAGCAGAATCTCCTTGAAGACACTGAGGCCTACGTCGAGGTAGAGTAAATATGGTCCAATTAAAAGGTGTCTATTTTACCACATTTTTTAAAACAAAACAAAACACAAAAACAAAAAAGATGGAAAAAAAGACAGGCGTACAGGCACCAGTGTTACATGTCTGACGGGGAACATCTATTCTTCAAAGCTTGCAGCTGTACACGTAGGTTTTAGAATGTCTGTCAGCAGTGGACATGATCTTAGAGTGGGCTGTGCAGATAGACCTTTCCGGGTCATGTAATTGGATTAAGTTAATTGTAATTAACTTACATGTAACTGATTAGGTTAGGGTACGTTCCATGTCAGGTGACCAGAGGCAGTATAAAAGGCAGCCTGGAAAGCAGAGGTCCCTCTCCGCCCCTTCCTCCATCTTCCTGGATGCTGCATCGCTTCCAGGGGGGCTGCTCCAGCACCTGCCCATCTCAGTGCCAGCCGGGGAAAGAAAGTAGACGTGTAATTTCAGGTTAGTTTCACTGTACAGTTGTTTTTTTCACCCAATCCCTGAGGGGTGGGTGGTAAGAGACAAAGGAGGCTGAGAGAAACCGATCACACTGGGCCTTGCTGATGGGGTAGGATGTGTTCTCGTTACTAGTAATTCTTGGAACAGAAAACGAGAAAGCATTTCCGTCTCCACGTGTGGGAGAAGACCAAGATGGGAATGCGAAAAGAAATGTACTGCAGCATGCTGAGTTGGTGGGTAAATGGAAAAAGGACTTTGGAAAAAAGGGTGGTTTGCCCTTCAGCCATGTAAGACGTCGATACGATATGGCACTTGTTCACCGTTTGTTTAGATGAATTCGTGTGGCATGTGTAAAATACCAGAAAAATAAATAAAGAGGGGCTGGAGCTAAAGCCAAAAAGATAGAACAGGAAAGACCATCACCTGCTAGTGTGGTAGAGAGAAAGCTAACTTCTCTCTATGAATTTGTGCTTGGAAGTCACCTAATGAAATGGCAAGAGTAGCGATTCAAGTTGTGACAGGAAGCATCCCTTATCCCAGATTTCAAACAGACCTGCCAAAGGGTGACACACGCCATTCCCTGTGGCTTCGATCATTCTGTCCGTCAAGGGAGATAGAATCATCGTGTCTTCTACCGGAGTGAATCGTGATAGACCTAAGTCCAGTCTCCAGAATCAGTTGTTAGTTTGGAGTTGAAAGCTCAACTCCCCATACCTAGGCCACAGGCCCTGTGGTAGGCGAAGTTTACTCTTGGACTAGGTAATCATGGCAGAGGAACACACAATATCTGAAGATGCACACAGCACATTGTGTTCCACAGATTTGACCGACTGGTGGTGAGGTCTCCTCATGACCACACCGGCAAGGAGTTAGCAGGTGGCTTCCTGTGGGTGTGTGAATATCCAATATGCTTAACCATAGACGTGTGTGTGTGTATTTCAGGTGACCCAACAGTCCACCCCTGAAAAAGCCGGTCACAAAACCCCCAGGAGACGAAGATGATGGCAGTCATGACCCCAAACCTGGGGCAAAGAGACTGGTGAGAGCCCAGACCCTCCAGAAGCAGCGGAGGGCCCCAGTTGGGCCAAGGGCTCCACCGCCCGATGAAGAAGATCCCAGGGTAAGTCTAGCACTGGATCTCTTGGAAATCGGGGTGGGGGTGGGGGCGGGGGGAGGGGCTGTCACACGGTCCTCAGAGACTGGGTTGGATTCCAAAGAGTTCTGTCACCACCACCCAGGTTGCTTTTCCCATCCAAGGTGGGCGTGGCTTGGGACCTCCTCCGCGGCCCGATAGGCCCCTTGAGAGACTCTTGGGGGCAACCTCCCTTTCTATTTAGACTCCTGTGTAGCCACGTTTGGCTGTGCTGTTGACATCGGGTTCACCATCGTGCCCCTTAGAACCTTGAGTCCTGCCTTTTAGAGTTCCTCCGTCACATGGGCTTTGGGAGGGAACATCGCATCCGAACTCTCCCAGCTCTTAACGGCCCCCATGCTGGTGTCCCCTCTTTGGAATCCTTATTCAGCTCTGAATTCACAATCCGTCTCAATGTTGACGCGGGATCGCTGCCTGTGGCTTCAGCTCACTCACTGACATCACTTCCTTTCCACCCACAGCTCAAGTGCAAAAACTGCGGGGCCTTTGGCCACACGGCCAGAAGTACCAGGTGCCCCATGAAGTGCTGGAAGGCAGCCCTGGTTCCACCGACCTTGGGGAAAAAGGAAGGGAAGGAAAACCTGAAACCATGGAAGCCCCAGGTTGAAGCCAACCCGGGGCCCTTGAACAAGGATAAGGGAGAGAAGGAAGAGAGACCAAGGTGAGCAGTGGGAGGGGTTTTCACCACTCTTAGGGTACTGCCTCCTAAGGACATGGTGTCTCTGCACCTGCACACCGTGTGCCTTTCCGTCTCCGGGCCAGGGAAGGAACGCTGCAGAGAAATAGGCCGGAGCTCCGTGTCCTCCTGGGTTCCACACCCAGGAGTTCCTTTGGCTCTGGGAGATTCAGGGACGGGGAGAGGCGGGGGTGCTTCTTGCAGATTCCCCACGACAGCGGGAAAAGCGATGGAATCCAAATCACAGTCCTTAGTTGGGAAGCCTAGAGGGCCACCTGGAGGATGGGAAGGTTGGCACGAGAGGGAAGGTGCAGAGGCGGAAAGGGCACCAGATGTCCATTTCTGTATCACAAAACACGGAATGGGACTGAGCCCCAGACAGGGTTCTCCCTGTCTCCTGGGGAAAACCAGGGGCCATGGCCTGACCTTTTTCTGTTCTGCAGGCAACAAGACCCACAGAGGAAGGCTCTCCTCCACATATTTTCCGGGAAACCTCCAGAGAAGCTGCTGCCAAATCGAAAAGGATCCACGGAATCTTCTCTTTTTCTGAGGGTGAGTGTCACCCCGGGCCCCTGGTCTTTTTGTCCTCTAGGTCACCCTGGTTGATTTCCTTTCAGCTTCCCGTCTGCGGGAGGGAATCGGGGAACCCCTCTTTCTTGCCTTCTTGGGGTCAGGGACTCCACGATCCTTCCAGGTCAATTGGATTCCAGGCGAAGGCATCTGAACATGCCGTATTTCCTGTTGCTTTCTTTCTGTCCAATTATGGCAAGCCTGCCAACAACATGTTCCTAGCGGCATGAGGAAATTTGTCCCTCAGAGGCCCCAAACATGGAGAAGGCTAAACCCTGGAACATGCATGTGTTCAGAGAAGACGTCCTGAGTACCCTTGAGCCACCAACCTGCCTTCGGAAGGGCATTAGTCTGTTCCACTTCATGGAAGGCTGAGTGGAGGCGCTTTGATCCAGTTAATGCCCAAGACGCGATCTTTTGAACAATGGTGTGCTTAGAACAGCTACACATAGCTCGAGAGCGCATCTTTCATGTATCTTGTCCTGATCAGCACTCAGGTGGAGGGTCTGTCCCTACTTCCAAGGACCGCCTGTCGATACTGTACTAAGAATTTCATGGCGTGTGCACCTTGTCTTTGGATGTGCTTGATTTTCACGTTGGCTCCATGCTGAGGAACTTCTAACCTGTGTTGTTTCCTCTCTTTCAGGTTGCAAGCGGGCCAATGCCGGTCCACACAACAAGTAAGAGGCCGTGCGTGGACCCTGAACTCGCTGATCGCTCAGCTACCGAAATGTCTGGCAGGGGCTCCGTCTTGGCTTCACTGTCTCCCCTCAGAAAAGCCAGTCTGAGATCCTCCTCAAGTCTTGGACCAAAGGAAAGACAGACAGGGGCTGCGGCCGACATCCCTCAGCCTGCAGTCAGGCACCAGGGCCGCGAGCCTCTCCTCGTGGTGAAGCCGACACACAGCAGCCCCGAGGGTGGCTGCCGAGAAGTTCCCCAGGCTGCCTCCAAAACCCACGGCCTGCTCCAGGCCATCAGACCCCAGGCACAAGACAAACGTCCTGTGGTGACTTCACAGCCCTGCCCGCCAGCCGCCACACACAGCTTGGGCCTAGGCTCCAATCTCAGCTTCGGGCCAGGAGCCAAGAGAGCTGCCCAGGCTCCGATTCAGGCTTGCCTGAACTTCCCCAAGAAACGGAGACTGGGTCCCTTCCAGATCCCCGAAAGCGCCATCCAGGGAGGTGAGCTGAGGGCCCCGGAGAATCTCCAACCTCTGCCAGCCGCAACTGAACTTGGACCAAGTACGTCGCCCCAGATGGGCAGGAGGACACCGGCCCAGGTGCCCAGCGTCGACCGGCAGCCTCCGCACAGCACACCTTGCCTGCCTACTGCCCAGGCCTGCACCATGTCCCATCACTCAGCGGCCAGCCATGATGGGGCCCAGCCTCTCAGAGTGCTCTTCCGGAGACTGGAAAACGGACGCTGGAGCTCCAGCCTCCTGGCGGCCCCCTCATTTCACTCTCCTGAGAAGCCGGGAGCCTTCCTCGCTCAGAGCCCTCATGTGTCAGAGAAGTCTGAGGGTCCCTGTGTTCGTGTCCCACCGAGCGTCCTCTATGAGGACCTTCAGGTTTCCTCCTCCTCAGAGGACAGTGATTCTGACCTGGAGTGAGACTGCAGGTGGCAGGGGCTCCTTGGCCTCCAGCTCCCGTGACTTGGAGGGGACTGTGGGACTGAGGAGCGCAGAGCAGAGAGCACACTCTGTGCGGTGACTCCGAAGCTCCCCGGCTGTGGCGCTTCTGTGGATGTGGGAGCCCAGGCCAGGCAGGGAGCAGATGCAGGGACTCTGCCTCATTGCATTCTGGTGAGGGACGTTGTAGTTGGCGTGGTTCTCCCGAAACGCGCCAGGAAAAGCTTCCGTGCCAGAGATTCGTTGTCTCAGAAACTGCGTGACGCGCAGGAGTCAGACTTCCGCTTGGACGTCAATAGGAAACTGGGGAATTACTGTGTATTTGCTCTCTAGATGACTGAATAAGGGAAAAGTTAGGGAACCCTGAGAGGTGCAGCCCTTCCGCTGTGCCCCGCCCTGAGAGCAGAGTTTCGGACGCTGGGAAGCGTGCTGTGCGAAGCGCTCTCGGGGTCTTTCCTCAGCCTCGAAAACTGGGCTCTGGAATGCCTTTGTAGACAGGTGTGTTTAATTGGTTTTGAAGTGAATAAAATTCTCAAAAAGATGACGTATTGTCTTTTGACTCTCATTCCGTGTTTGTGTTTAACTGATTTTCCAAGTGAAGGGGTGGCCTGCCCCTCCACACCTGTGGGTGTTTCTAGTCGGGTGGGATGAGAGACGGAGAATAGAAATAAGACACAGAGACAAAGTATAGGGAGAAAACAGTGGGTCCAGGGGACCGGCACTCAGCACACCAAGGACCTGCACCGGCACCGGCCTCTGAGTTCCCTCAGTTTTTATTGATTATGATTTTCATTATTTCAGCAAAAAGGAATATACTAGGAGAGCAGGGTGATAATAAGGAGGTCAACGAAAAACATGTGAGCGAAAGAATCTATATGATAATTAAGTTCAAGGGAAGGTACTATGCCTGGACGTGCACGTAGGCCAGATTTATGTCTCTCTCCACCCAAACATCTCAGTGGAGTAAAGAATAACAAGGCAGCATTACTGCCAACATGTCTCGCCTCCCGCCACAGGGCAGCTTTTCTCGGAGCTCAGAGTTGAACAAATGTACGATTGGGTTTTACACCAAGACATTCAGTTCCCAGGGGCAAGCAGGAGACAGTGGCCTTCCTCCATCTCAACTGCAAGAGGCTTTCCTCTTTTACTAATCCACCTCAGCGCAGACGCTTTACCGGTGTCAGGCTGGGGGACAGGTCTTTCTCATCCCACGAGGCCATATTTCAGACCATCGCATGGGGAGAAACGTTGGACAATACCCTGCTTTCAAGGGCAGAGGTCCCTGAGGCTTTCCACGGTGCATTGTGCCCCTGGTTTATTGAGACTAGAGAATGGCCATGACTTTTACCAAGTATACTGCTTGTAAACATTTGGTTAACAAGGCACGTCCTGCACGGCCCTAGATCCCTTAAACCTTGATTTTATACAACACAGGTTTTTGTGAGCTCCAAGTTGGGTCAAAGCGGCTGGGGCAAAGCGGCTGGGGAAAAGCTACAAATGAACAACATCTCAGCAAAGCAATTGTTTAAAGTACAGGTCTTTTTCAAAATGGAGTCTCTTTGTTTTCCCTTTCTACATAGACACAGTGACAGTCTGATCTCTCTTTCTTTTGCCTACATCCAAGGGCTTGAAAGTTTCTTGACCTGTTAGCAATCCAAATCGTTATGTCTCCGAAACAGAGTTGACTGAGGGGACCGCAGGGCTGGGCAGGTGCTTTGACTTCCTATACATCCGCAGGAGCAAGAAAACCTCAGCCCCACTCTACAAACACGCACCTAGTAAAATTCCGCCAACCGAATCTCACGCACGCTAACACGTGGGGAGCGTTGCTTGCACCACGAGTCCCCATTTGGCTCAACCGCCGATGCCAAGTGTGTGGTTCCAGTTGCGACGGCCCCCCGTGAAGTGGCTTCCGGATGTGCGAATGAACCAGGCAGAGTTTCACTGGCCAAGTAGACCCCAGCAAACCTGAAGTTAACTCCCAGATTTGGGATGTACTTCAGAGGTAAAACATTCATCACGTCGTTCCGGATGTCTGACACCGGGCCTTTCCATGCTTCTCCCCCTGATCCTAAGAGTAGCTGAGGTAGAGACTCATTGAAAGATCTAGGCAGGGATATCCCATCATGCACAGGCTCTCTCCATTCTCTGACCTGGGAACAACTCTCAGCAGGATTCCACATCTAGGAGGCCTCGGAACTCAGCGGGATTTTCTGAGACACACCAACTGGCTGCTCCCTTTCCGCCGCTGTTGAGGGTCGTTATCTTGATTATCCAGATCACCTAGAAAGTATCCGTATCCAGAATCAATAAGATCAACTCTCTGCTCCTCTGACAGCAGAAGGAGCAGGACCATAAGGAACCAAAGAGCGTGGAAGGAAACGATGTGACAGGAAAGCTCAGAGAACGACGAGCCACAGGGGGTCGTCAGCAGGCCTTCCAACCTGAATCATGAATAATTAATGAAGCGCAAATCAAAGGGGACTCGAGTTTTAGCAGGTGCAATTCATGCAACGGGAGATCGGCGGAGGGCCAACAAGATTGAGAGACTGGGAGCCGGGTGCAGTGTCAAAGGGGACGCGACTGGTTCCAAAGCCCGAGAAGATCATGGGGTCACTTGGGCTACATGAGAAAACGCCCCAGTGTGCTGGTTCATCATTCCGACTCCTGCCTGTCTCTTCCTGTCCAAGGAACATGGACCCTAAGTCGTGCAGGTGCAGATGACCATGGGCAGAATTAGGGGCCGTGGCACAAAAGTATAGGGACACGGGAGTTCCACAGATGGTCAGGTGGATCTTCGCAAATCCAGAGACATGGCAATGGGACCCAGGGAATTAGAGCCTCACAGGCGTCCGGGAGACTTTTCAGGCATAATGCCTGGAGTCTCAAGACGAGCTGAAAAGGGAGCCAGGCACTGATGGACAAAGCGGTGTTGACTTTCTTCATCTGTGTTTCCCAGTGCGGTCCAATTCACTGTGGTAGAATTCCTGTATTTATTTTCTGTCGGCTTGTAGTTGCAAACTTTTGATGTTATTGATTTTTGGTTGGAGAGTTTCTCTTTGAAAAAGTAGATATTCTGAAGATGGAGGTTGTCCAAGATTGTATCTCAAGGTGAGTCTACTTGATGCCAGCGAAGCATACTCTGACATATAATGCATATGTTTCAATTATATTTTGTCTTTTTTACCACATTTTTAAAAATCGCTTCGTGAAATATGTCAGAGCTAGATACACCAATGTTAACTTTCTCATCACATGTCCAGAGGCACTGTAAAATGCAGTCTAGAAGGCAAAATTCCCAGCCACTTCTATGTGGAACTTTCTGCAGAGTGGGATTGTATCCAGCGTTTTCAGGGGGAGCCGTTGTGGTACGAGCTGGTCCTTGGCTTCCTGCTGAAGTTGGAATCCTGCAGATTGCTTAGGGGAGGTTTCAGCCAGTCCCTTCTTTCCAGGTCATCACTAACCTTTCCTGAGCCCCCATGGGGACTCAGAACTTATCTAGAGTCACAGGCCGGCCTGGGATGCTGCCCTTGAGCCTTTGTGCTGTCCATGATGGTTCCATGCCACTGATCTGCTGGGACACATTCTGCAGAGGGATGGGCTGGCATGAGCTGTCCCTGCCTTTCTGAAAATCACAGAGATTTCTGTTGTCTGAAGCCACATAGAAATATCTGTGGAGTCTGGGGAAGGCCAGGGATGCCATTCACAGGCTCCTGTTCTTCCTCTTAATGACAGCAAGAGTGATTTCTGAGTTTCCTAATTGACTTCGAAATAATTTTGTTGATTTTGTTGTGTCAAAGACCACTCCTCTTTCTGTGGCATCCAGTTCACCTGTAGGGTTTTTTGGGATTATGTGGAAACTCTTGCATTTTTCCAGAGCCTCATTTCATCCTGGATGTTCTCAGGAATGCACGAGCTGATCCCTGCCTTGGTGGCATCTTGAAACATTGAGGGAGGCCCCTTAGGTCCAGGAGGCACAAGGAGGTCCATCAGGAATTGAGAGGGCATGTGTCTGCCCATCTGTAGCTGGAACTTCTATTTGCCTTCAGAATGGAGATTCTTCCTGAACTAATAAATTATCTTCATCTTGGTGTAAGTAGCCACAATATAATAATTCACAGTAACTCTATTAATAAAAATAACTGAATATCAACAATGAAGGTAATAATGACAATGTTAATTATTATAATATTGATAATAAAAATAAAACAAAGGCATTACAGATTACAGATTCCCCTAAGTGAAGGACAATGTACAGATATAGGGACACATGAGTTGTTTCGACTCAGAGTCAAATGAAACGTGTTCCTCAAAGGCAAAGGACAAGCAGCAAAAAGAAAACACAAAGTTCATGGATGACCACACGGGCTACCTTGGAACTCATGTGGAAACACTGCAGGCAAAGTTTACCTGGTACTGGGACTGCCCACCAGCCAGCCCCCACCCACCTTCATGAGGTAGGACAGCAGGATAATGGGGAAGGGGTCCATGCAAGGGATGCAAGGCTTGTGTCACACCTGATTCAAAGAAGCACTGCTTCTGACAGATGTTTATCTCCTAACACTGTGTCACCTCTAACTGCCTGGCTGCATGTCTGCCATCTGTTCTTCTTAGGTCACAGGAGGGACAGACATTACTGTCCACCTATCTGCATACAGAGCCATTGGAGGCCATTACCCTTGTTGCTTCCTCTTTGGAAAGGGGCAACATACATGGCAGATGCCATTCTCTGTCTCTTTGGAAAACTTTGTCAGCACATTTAAGGTTTTCTTCAGCCACAGAAAGCCACCTGCTTCAAAGTCTCATCCTCCACAAGTGGCAAGCACACAATCATTAATGGAGGCAAAGGGTACATAGGCTTTGCCATTTGATTCAGTTGGGACAAATAGGGGAGGACTTCTTAGCTCTACAGCTCTGTCTGTGTGGCCAGGTGACAATGTCAGGCTGCACTGCCATTAGACTTGTCCCTTTGCACATAAGGCTTCCCTCCAATCCTTTCCACAGATGTGGATCCTCACATCACTTCCTAATAAACATCCTACACACTAAACTTTATCTATATCCAGTTCCCTGGGAACCAAACCAGTGACAAAAGTGAAAAGTTTGTAGGGAAAATAGGGTTTCCTTATCAGACAGGAATCCAATTCTGCTGAGCTAGAAAATAAAGTCTGATGCCGTCTCCTGATTTTTTTTTATTAGGACATTACCACTGCCAGCAAGAATTATGTGCATCAATTTGTGGGGACAAACATCATATTGGAGTGGGATGAGGTTGTTGTGAGTTGAGGAGAAATGCTGATGAATGGACTTTACCCTCAACTTGGATTCAGGAGAGGACATAATAACAGCTGGAAATAAAAGGTGTCCAAAAACATTTTTCTGGTTTTTCAAAACTTCCAATTTCAGGTTGGGAGACACTGTATATTTAAATTCTAAAGGGATGTAGCATACTGAGAAGAAATAACTATAGACAAAGTGTCCATTTTATGAATAATACAATTTATGGTATGACAGAAGACCAAGGGACATAACACAAATTTGGAGTTAAAGAAATTAACAGACATTCTCGATAATTCCTCAGCTATTATGGCAGAGATGCTGGGACAATGGATGTCCATGTAGCAGTACTTTTTTTTTTTTGGGGGGGGTGGTGGGGGACGGAGTCTCACTCTGTACCCAGGCTGCGCTGCAATGGCGCAATCTCAGCTCACTGCAACCTCTGCCTCCCGGGTTCAAGCAATCCTCCAGCCTCGGCCTCCCCAGTAGCTGGGACTACAGGCACATACTACCACACTCAGCTAATTTTTGTATTTTTAGTACAGATGGGGTTTCACCATGTTGGCTAGGATGGTCTTAGTCTCCTGATACCGTGATCCACCTGCTTTGGCCTCCCAAAGGGTTGGGATTACTGGTGTGAGCCACCAGGCCTGGCCCTTGTAGCAGTACTTTTGAACTTAATGGCTGAAAGCATCCACCTCCAAACTTACGTATTATATCTGCAAAAGAGTACAAACCATGTGATGAATTTTAAAGGGAAGACAAGCCTGTGGGAATTCAACAGCCATGGTAATGTTTTGAACTTCTTTTTATTAAACATGTAAGAAGTAAGTGAAGTTCAAGAACTAACAGAATTGCCAGGAATTATCTGAGGAATTAATAGACACTATGAAATCCTTACGATGCCCTCTGCTGGAGTTTCCTCCTACACCCAGTGATTTTAAGCCAGAAGCAAATGTCTCTGCAGGCACAAGAATTCAACCCAATGTGCTATTCAATTTTAAATGAGATGACAATGAAATTATGTGCTATATAAAAACAACTTTTTTTTTTCTTTCATACAGAGTCTTTCTCTGTTGCCTAGGCTGGAGTGCAGTGGGGCACTCTTGGCTCACTGCAATCTCTGCCTCCCATGTTCAAGTGATTTTCCCACCTTTTTCACAATGTATCCTTATCCTCAAACTCATCCTCCTAAGTAGCTGGGATTATAGGCCTGTGCCACCATGTCTGGCTGATTTTTGTATCAGCAAAATTATTTCTGGGGTGGAGAGTTAGGAATCTTTTTTCTCCCACACCCAAAAACATGTTCTCCAAATGATCTGTCAATAGAAATAGCTGATACCTATATTTGCTAACCTACCTTTTTCTTTCTTTAAATTCAGAACTGGAGTGTGGAAAAGTGATATGAAGAAGGTTCTCTTAATTTTCAACACAAGTTATGGGCTAGGCACTGTGCTAGGTGCTACAGATACACACTAATATACCCACAATAGTTTTGCCTTATTGCCTTCTATGTTCTAATAATGCACCAAAAGAAAAGTATAGATTAGCTTTTTATTTTTTTGAGATGGAGGTTAATTCTGTCACCCAGGATGGAATGCAGAGGCGGGATCTTGGCTCACTGCACCTTCTGCCTCCTGGGTTCAAGTGATTCTCCTGCCTCAGCCTCCTGAGTAGCTGGGATTACAGGCACGTGCCACCACACCCAGAAAATTTTTGTATTTTTCAGAAAGACAGCTTTCATCCTGTTGGCCAGGCAGGTCTCAACCCCCTGGCCTCAAGTGATCCACCTATCTTGGTCTTCCAAACCGCTGGGATTACAGTCATGAGCCATAGTGACCAGCCAAAGAGAATAGCTTTAAATAGAAAGTATGAAACCTAAAGAAATATATGCTCATCAATTTTATACTGTATTTGGCCAGGTGCAGAAGATCGACTTGTAGTAATGTAAGGGAATAAGGTCAATTCACATCTAATTGTTTGGACAAGTCACCAGAAATCAAAAGTTGGAGGAGTTGTATCTTTTGAGGTGGGTTGCACAGGCAAGCAGCAAGTTGCTATCTCTCCAAAGTCCTAAACTATTCTATTTGTCCTACTGTGGAAAAATGAGTCTTCAACTTGATTTCAATTTATATCGGAAAATGCTTAATAAAACTAATAAGGGCTACATTCCAGGACACAGCCAGACCACACATATACTGAACTTTGATTCTAGAGACACCTCCTGTTCAATGTAATTGGATTTTCAAGACAACAAAAATACAAATCTGACACAGTATTGGAGAGCCAAAAGGAAAGGACATTTTGGGTTGAAATTTTTTCCTTTAAAAATATGTCCTTGAGTTCTATTAACAATAGCTGAAGCCTGGGAATAGCTCAAATGTCTATTGAGAGGAAATTGATAAACTATATGCATATTATAGAGTAATATTTAGCAATAAAGGGGAATAACCAACTCTATGAATCAACATCATGATCGTGGATCAATATAATCTTTCTAACCCCGAGTGGGGAAAGCTAAGCTAAAAAGTGTCCTATAATATAAATAAATGTATACAAAATTCTAGAACAGACAAACCTAATATAAGCTAAAAAAGTTCAGAAAAGCCAGGTGCAGTGGCTCATGCCTGTTATGTCAGCACTTTGTGAGGTGGGTGGATCACATGAACTCAGGAGTTCAAGACCAGCCTGGCCAACATGCTGAAGCTACCCCATCTTTACCAAAAATACAAAAATTAGCCAAGTGTGGCGTGGTACACAGGAACAGAAAACCAAATACTACATATTCTCATGTATAAGTGAGAGCTAAACATTGGGTTATACACTGTTTAGCTCTCACTTATATGGAAACAACAGACACTGGAGATTCTTAGAGGGAGGAGGGAGGGTTGGGTGCAAGGCCTGAAAAACTACCTATTGGGTATTATGTTCACTACATGTGTGATGAGATCATTCATACTGTAAACCTCAGCAGCACACAATACATCCATGTAACAAACCTGCACATGTATCCTCTGTGTCTAAAATAAAAATTAAAAAAGTAAAAAATGAACAAAGATACATGAGCAGGCATTTCTTGAAAAAGGAGATACAAATGGACAACATATATATATAAACAATTCTTACCCTCTCTAGACATCACGGGAATGCAAATGAAAACTACCAAGAAATATCACCTCACACATGTTAGAATAGCTATTATCAAAAAGATGGATGATAACAAGTGTTGGTAAGGATGTGGAGAAAAGGGAACCTTTGTATACTGGTGGTGGGAATGTAAATTAGTATGGCCACCTTGGAAAATAGTATGGACGTTTCTCAAAAAATTAACAATAAAAATACCATTTTGTTCCAGCAATCCCACTTATTTTATATATAATATATATATCCATATATATATATAAGTATATATATATGAAGTCATTGAAATCAGTATGTGAAAGAGATATCTGCACTCCTATATTCCTTTCAGCACTGTTCACAATAGTCAAGATCTATGAAGAAGACATACATGTTATCATTCATTCATGGATGGCTGAATTAATGTTATATATATATATATGCACAATGGAATATTATTCAGTATTATATAATAATGAAACCCTGTCATTTGTGACAACATTGATGGATCTGAAGGGCATGAAGTCATGTGAAATAAGCCAAACACAGAATGACAAATACTGTATGATTTCACTTGTATTTGAAATCTCAAAAAAACAAACTCAGAAGCAGAGGGTAGACTGGCCAGGAGCTGTGGTGCAGGTAAGTGTGTAGGTGTGATTATAGTACAAAGTTTTAGATATACCACATAAATAAGTTCAGGAGGTCTAATTTACAGCATAGTGCTTATAGCTATGAATACTGTATTGCATACTTAAAATATAATAGGAGGGTGAATTTTATGTTAATTATTCTTACCAATAAAAATAATAATTAGAATGGGAGGGAGAACTTTGAGAGGTGATGAATATGTTTATAATCTTGATGGTAGTGATGCTTTCACAATGTATCCTTATTCTCAAACTCACTGAGATATACACATTAAATAGGTACAGCTTTTTGAATGTAATCATGTCTCAGCAAAGTGTTTTTAAGGGGAGTTGGTTAAAAAATTTAAAAAGGAAGGGTAGATGTTCCTTTGCCATTCTCTCATGCCTTTTTTCTCCCTGCTGTCTAGAATTCAGAAATAATAGGTGGGAATTTAGCAGCCAAACTAGGACCTTTTCTAAAGTATAGCACAGCAGAGAGCTGGAAGGGACCTGCATCCCTAATGATATTAGAAAGTATCTGTACTAGCCCTGAATGGTATAACTACAGGTTAATTTTAAGTGAAAAAGAAATCAACTTCTGCCTTGTTTAAGCAAACTTATTCAGGCTTTAATTTTATAAACATGTAGAGAATACATACTCCTTATTAGCAGAAACAATGTTTATGCCATACGGTCCATGATGGGTGTTCAATAATGTGTGAGGATGATAATAATGAAGACAACAGTGATAAATAAAAGAAAATAAAAGGCAGTGAAACAAAGTGGTTTAATACATATACATAGTTATTTTGTTGAAAGATTCTGCTGCTAATATTATTCAATATTTTTGTATGCTGGTGAAAGTAAGGAAATTTACATTGTCTAATAAAAATTATTTATCGATTTATAAAACAGTAAAAATTTCATAGAATGGGGCTAAGGATCTGCATTACAAACTAACTCTTTCAGTTGATTTTATGCACAGTAATTATTGAGAATCCCCTTATCTAGATCCAATGGATCTGGACCTACATATGTGCTATCAAGACTTAAGGAAGAAAATTTTCCTGACTCTATCCATACCTCCAATTAGTAATAGATCTAGAGATTTAGAACTGAAATCCAGTCCTCCTGCTTCCATGTGCAGTGACTTTTCACTGTCCTGTTTTGCTTCACTTGATGAAGAGGATTTGAGAATAAATGACCACATGATTCAACTCCTCCTCAGCTCTGAGGAACATAGCCCTGTCCTGGCAAACAAGAGGCTCCTGCAGTAGTAGAGGGGGCAAATATATGTTCACTAATCTAACATACAAGGCAGTAGGCACTGGACCATAAACAAGGCACTGTGGGGGTTCAGACCAGGGGCAAAGTGGGGATTAATAGGGCAAGTAAACTCTGGGAAGTGTTCACTAACAAAATGTCTAATCATTAACTAAACTAAACGGTTTCTCAACATGGCCTAATTAATGTAACAATATAAATGGTCGTTTGTTCATAAACCTTAATCTTTTGCCAAAATATTTGTAGCTTATGTTCCCATTTAACAAGGTTTTCTGGTCAAAACTGTGCACCCACATCATTCTAACGAACTTAGTGTCCAATAAAACATGGACTCTCAGTCGTCCCATGAAGGTTATTTTGTGTGCATAGTACATCTCTGTGAATATGCCAAATGAGGTATGGAAGGACACTTATTATCCAAACAGAGACATTCCACTGGTGCTAGAGAGCCACAGACGGAAGTTTTCTCTGCCTACAGGAAATAAAGCCAAGCTTTCTTCTTTCCTCAGCCATGAGGATTGCTGTCCTCCTCTTTATCATTCTCTCTCTCTTTTTTTTAATGAGCCAAGCTCCACCAAATAACAAGATAAACTTTGTGTAAGACTTGGTAAGAGTAGAGTGTCTGACACCTTATGGTGCTATAATACTCAACGCAAAAGCAAAATCGCCTAGGACCAGAAAAGGGAGTCACATAGGAAATCTAGAAGACCTATTGGCTGAGAGACCTGCAGCCTCATAGTTCATTAGCTCTCCATAGCAACTCTCACATGAAATGAAGTCAGTAGTGTTTCAAGTGCTTGAAACCCTGTTTACTCTACTTCTGAATGTGAATTAACTAGGCAAGTTTACTAGCAGTTACTAGACCTCAAAAGCAAAATAATCAGGCATTATTCTACTAAATATTGGTCTCCATAACTCCTCTATTTTCTTTTGGAAAAGTTAGTTAGTCTAAGACATTTGGCATAAAGGCTATGCCAAAGCTTTGGTGGGGTCAGCCAGGAAGGATTCGGGGGGGTCTCCTTGAAAATATTGCAATAATCTAAGAAATCTTCAACCTATTGCCCCTCAATACTGTTGGTCCCCTGTACTTGACTTTTCCCCTTAAGTGTGATTCCATTTCCTAACATTATCCTTCCCTCTTCCTCCTCAGCAACTAGTCTTCTAAATTAGAACTTAAACACAATGACCAGATATGACCCTGCTACAGAGCATGCCCTTCTGCATTGAGCATGCAATCATGAATCACAGGTATAAGACCCCTTGAACAGACATGGTTTTGGTGATTCTGTGTAGGACTTATTGCTTTTACCCAAGAAGATGATCAGGCATCCTAAGTAGATCAGAAAATTTTCTGGAGCTCTTGAATGTGTATAGGCAAGAAAGATTAAGCAACCTGTTGCCTTATATGAGGCAAACTATCTTCTCATATTTTCTTTTGAATTCAGGATTTCAAGGTTGGGGAAGGAGTGGGAAAGTAGCCATGGACATGTGAGAATGCGGATGGTCCTTTTACATTGTCAGGGATGGTCAAATTCTATGCTTTATGTTGTTTGCTAAAAGACACTTTCCAAAGTTTTCAACAGAAAATATGATGGCACACATGCCTATTCTTGGTGAACCCAGACTTTTCTATCTAGTCTGTGATAGTAAATTTAAAAGGACTGCTTAGGGTAAATGAATCCTTCAAGTTGTAAAGATGAAGGGCAGTTTTTGGACAATTCCCATTTTGCTGTAGGAAAACTAATCTGGATGATGTAAAAGGGAAAGATTGAAGTGGAGAGAATGGAGATGGAGAATGAGTGAGTTGATCAAATTTTTGTTAAGCGCCCACTGTATGTGGGGCCCTTACAGGGAAACAAGCAGACAAAGAACAAAAGCATGTAATGGCCTTGCTCCTAAGCAGCCAGAGGCCAGTCACCTGGATTGCTACATACCAGGAAGACGTCAACAAGCCCCTACAATACAGCACTGGCATAGGATGAAGAAGAGGTTTCTTTCTATGAGATAAATAGCACACAACCAAAAAAGAAAGCCAAAAGATACACAAGGCTCGAAAACCTACGGCACCAACCCTTAAGAGATCTGATTGTTGGTGGTGACTTCGGAAGGAAAATTATTATTAGGATTATTTTAGTACTAAGAGTTTTGAGCTGTCTATCCAAGATTGTCATCTGCACCTCTGCCTTAGGTAATACTGTGTGTGTGTGTGTGTTTGTGTGTGCGTGTGTGTGCCTTTGCATGTGTTTGAAATATATTCTGTATCCCACACTCCACATAGGTTTGGGGCTGATCTGAAACTATACTCTTAGGGATGGGGTTAAGCTACTCTATCACATTGTGAAGAGTTGATATGTAAGAGACTCTTAACCTTTTATAAATTACCTTTAAAATGTTTCCTTTTCTGTGAAGGGAAGAATAACAATTTGTAAACAAATGCAAAAATATCTTTAACTAAACAAAAGAACAGTTGGTTAGCCTTGTTATGATTAGCAGAGAGGATAGCTGCAGACACTGTAAAATCACTCAGCAACAAGATTTGACAAAACCTTAAATATAGCTCTATTTTTCCTGTTTCATAGAGGAAAATATTAAGGCTCTGGGAACTGAAGTGCTTTTCCCAACAGTGGAGTAAATGTCAGAGTCAAGGCTGGGTTTTACATCCCAGCTTTCCCTATACATTCCACCCTATGGTTCTGTTGTGCTGTTCCTTTGTGTGACTCCGTAAAGCCTGCTTAAAGGTGATACCATATCAAATTGCATTAAGTCAGTAGCACATAACACCAGGGAATTGATTTATAAGATGTTTATCCTTGTGGCATTGCTGAAGACCCATCTGATTAGTAGTTATCAAGTAGTCATCCTGGCTAAATATATGGGTTTGATTTTTAATTTTGAAAATGAAAAATATTTTAAAATATATGTCTTACATCCATATCCCAGGAAATTCTAATCAAGATTTAAATCTTCCAAATTTAGATAAACTAATGGTTTTTTTGTTTTAATTTTCTCTCAATGAAAATAGAAGAAACTAATTGGATGGAACAGCACAGCAGAAGCATTACTTATAGCCAAAAATGGGATACAACAAGACTGAAGAAGAAAATGCAAGACAGTGCTTAAAAAAGCAGTCTAATGAAAAGTGAGGTCTCCTCTGGATGTCCTTAGGTAGACATTGCAGCAGAACTGTAAAGTTTTTCTGGAAGGCTGGGGAAGAGAGGAGGAAACAGAGAAGGGGCAAGAGGAGAAAATAGAATGAGGCTCAGAATACCAAGCCTTAGTGCTGTCCCTATCGCCTTCCTCGCTAGATCACTGGGTGATCCTGGGCAAGTTTCTTCCTTTCCCTCAGCTCATTTCCTCATCTCTAATGTAAGTGACTAGACAAGATAGCCTATGATGTTCATTGTAACTCTAACTTTTCTTCCCAAAGCAAATAGCTGGAAAAGACACTGTGCTTACAATATGCAACAAATAAAAACAAAAGATTTTTAAAAACCCCTAGTGTAAGTTGAATTCTTACAAATAAGCAATGGTACATCATAATTTTACAAAGCCCTTTTGTGATTTCGTTTTTAAAATCACGTCAAGTTTTACCTTACATTATAATAAGATAATGGGAGATAAGTGTTAAATGGGTTCATGAAGGAATGTTTGTAAAAGATGCAATAATCCAAAATAGGTAATTGTTATATTAGTAGTTCCCTTTACTGGGGGGGAACAGATAAAAGAGTGTTAGGAAAAGCTTCATAAAGTGGATTATATAGAATGTGCTTTAAAAGAGTTTGGTGTTTTATTGAGTGGGGAAAGAGCAATATGGGGAGTTATTGTTCAAGGGTTAAAGCTATACAAAATGAGTCAATTACAGAGATAGGATCCAAAATATAGTACCTATAGTTAACAAAGAGGTATTTTGTGTTTAACAATTTGTTAAGAGGGTCGATCTTAGGGGTTCTGACAACAACAACCACAACAAAGGGACGTAGGAAACATTTGGAGGTGATGGATATATTATTACCTGGATATTGGTGTGGTAACAAGATAATATATATGTGCAAACTTGCCAAACTATATCCATTAATTATGTACTGTTTGTGTATAACAATTTTACTTCAGTTCCTACTATATTGCCTAGCAAACAATAGATGTATAAAGTGAGATCAATGATTATTGCATGTGCATGTCGAAAATAATAAAGAAAGCAGGTGACAATAAAGACATCCTGAATCTTTGGGAAATAAATTGCATTCACCTGCTTTCTCATCCATTGAGATATCACCACATTTATGTGCTTGTGTGTCCCTGGAAGTTTCCTGTGGGAGATTTAGTTATTCTCTTTTCGTTAGGCTTTACTGACCAAGAACAAATCACAGACTCAGAGAGCATCATAAAAAGGCCCAGACCCACGATACCCAGAGACTCCAGTCTCAACGTACATTGATGCTGGCCCTTCAGCCATGATACTCCATTTGCTTCTCCTTATTCTCCTTCTTTTTTTAATTCTCTTATCCCCAGGTAAGTTGGTAGCTGATTACTATAAGGTTCTGCAGATGAGAAGGCTATATCCCTGGCCAGACAAGATCCTAGAAACAGTCCTGTGGGTTCAAGAACCTAATATTTACAGCTTCACTAGGATTATAATAGGAAAAAATAGAAAAGAGACTCATTTAGCAGTATGTCCTCTTGATAAGATTCCATCCATGTCTTTTGACCTAGTGAGTGGATATAATAATGGATGCTGCTGAAATTCAATCCTGTCACATGAAACTGCCTGCATATAAATTTCCATGCCCCACCAAGCATCTCAAGATACAAAGTAAGGATATAACAGAACGTGACCTCAATGAAATGCCTTTGCGGGACATGGAAATTTATATGCAGGCAGTAAGATCTGACAGGATTGAATCTCTGTGGCGTCTATTATTATATTCACTTACTAGGTCAAAAGAGATGGATGGAATCCTATCAATAGGAGCTACTGTTTAATGAGTGTTGACAAATCTGAAAGTTTTATTTGAAGAGACAAATGGAAAAATTATAACCCTAGAATAAGTGAAAATTATATGAGAGACTTTTCAAAATAAATTATGTTTTATGTGGTTATGAATAAAAAATGATTTGCAAAGTGAAACTGAAGAGTAGAAAGGAGAGTTAAAGGAACTTTAGACAAGTGAATTAATAAGCAGCAAAGACACAAAGAAGTGCTGCTCATGGTATATTACAGGTAACCACACAGAAGTGGGTAACATTACTTTCAATACGAAAATGGCTAAAATTTAATGGGCTAAGCATGCATTTTGGGGGCTTTTGGAAAAAAAAACAGCATAATAACCCTAAAGAAGATAAAGGGAAAATTATAAATACAAAATATAAATTAATGAAACAAATGAGAAAAAACTAGTATTTTTAAAAATGTTTTTCAAAATGTCTAATGCACTTTATAATAACCTGGCAACACTGAACAAGAGAAAATGAGAGCATGCTTAAAATAACTATTGCAGGAATGAAAGGTTAATATCAAAACAGATGTTTCAGAGGTTCAAATAATTTTTAAATTTGTGTATTATATTCCCTCTTCACTGTGTACTTGGGGATTTTCCTGTTGCAGTTCACTATATCATGACTGTGTCATCAATTTTGATGCTAGTAAATTATTACCATCAGCATACAAATATGCTGTTGTTTTTCTGATCTAAGAAAAAGAATGTCCTTGCTTTTCTTCTGATGCCAGCTGTCCTCCCCTTTTTTGCTCTACTTTTCAGCAAAACATCTTAAAAGAGTTGTCCATACTCTCTGTCTTCAATTCCTCTCCTCTCATTGTTTCTTAAATATATCCCAATCAGGCTCTCTCCCCCTTTTTCGATCATGCTATTGACACCACTTTTGTCAAAGTTATGAATAATCTCCACATTGCTAGATCCAATGATCATTTTTCACTACAACTTTAATTGGCCTATTAGCAGCATTTGACACAAATAATCACTTCCTTCTTCACAGTATACTTTCTTCAGTTGGCTTCCAGGACGGCACATTCACTTGATTCTCAGCCTGTCTCACTGGAGCTACCACTTCGGCTTCCTTTGTTTCTTCCTCATCTTTTGCATCACACCTCCTATAGGAGACTCCAGAGCTCAGTTCCTGGTCCTCTTCTCTTCTCCCTCACCACACACTCTTTGGAGGGGCTCAGCAAGTCTCATCCCTTTCAATTCTCCTTTTGGACCTCCTTTTGAACTCCAGGCTTATAATAAATTACCCAACTGCATAACTGGTATATCTACTTGGACACTTGATTTCAAAAGTAATATATATCCAAAACCAAACTCACGATTTTCCCTCATAAACCTCTACATACAGGTTTTCTCTTCTTGCAGAGTGCCATGGTCAGCATTGGAGCTTCTCTTAGCTTTCCTGTCCACTTTCATCCTCAGCAAGCCTCTATCTCTGCACCTCAAGAATCTCTCAGGGCTCCCATCCCTTGCCCAACCACGGGCAGTAGCTGCCTCACACTCAGTGAAAGACCAGAGAATCTACTTCTCTCAGCTACCTGCCCTCCCCTGTCTTCAGACCTCATCAGGCCTCTCTTCTTATGCACCTGTGAGAAAAGAGAGTGAAGGGGGGATTCTCTCAGGTCCCCAACCTACTCCCCAGTAACAGAGGATCTTCCCCGATTCTCACAGTGTGAACTTTACCTTTCTGTGACCTCAAATTGCAGCAGTTCCTACATGCCTGTCCCACAAAAGTGTCTCAGGTAGTTCTCCTGCTCTCCATCTGATCTTACCTAGGAGCACACAAGATAGGTCATGAAAAAACCATTAGTGGGGCGGGCGCAGTGGCTCACTCCTGTAATCCCAGCACTTTGGGAGGCCAAGGCACTGTAATTCCAGCATTTGGGATCACGAGGTCAGTGGCCAACACGGTGAAACCCTGTCTCTACTAATACAAAAAATTAGCAGGGTGTGGTGGCACGCGCCTGTAGTTCCAGCTACTCGGGAGGCTGAGGCAGGACAATCACTTGAACCCTGGAGGCAGAGGTTGCAGTGAGCCGAGATCGTGCCATTGCACTCTAGCCTGGGTGACAGAGTGAGACTCCATCAAAAAAAAAAAAGGAAGAAAGAAAACAGAGAAAGAAAGAAAGAAAGAAACGAAGAAAGCAAGAAAGCAAGAAAGCAAGAAAGAAAGAAAGAAAGAAAGAGAAAGAAAGAAAGAAAGAAAAGGAAAGCATTAAAGCATTAGTGAGTGAGTGAGTGTGTTTGGGCCCCTACTGATGCTAAATTATCACAAGCCCACATTCAGCCTTTCCACATTTGCTTGAGGTTCACTTGTTTCCTTCTTATCTCCATCAAGGGCAGCTTCCTCCTGCTTCTGCTGCTGCAACTCAGGTACACACAAATCATCTGTGGATCCGTTCTTTTTTCAGTAGGGCGTCATTACTCGGAATTTAAGTTAATTAGCTTTTTTTGAGACCTCAGCTCTGTCTTTTAAAATGAAATCTATGATCTGTAGATTATCCAGCTTATTCTCTTTGTCAGGGCAAGAGCATTTTTTTATAACTTTCTAAATTCTAAACAAAAGTAAAAGTTCACTTCTTTTCAGAATCCCCCCATGTCAGAAAGTATTACTATTATCATCAGTTTAGTGATATTTATGGAATTCCAAGTTGACTGTGAGATCAGCTTTTGGGTTAAATTCTTTCTTCCTGATATATAGCCTTTGAAATTTTATTTGCTGCAGATCTCTTTATAGTGAACAATTTTAGTTTTTATCTGTCAATTTCATATTGTTATTTTTGTTCTTGAAAGACAGCATTACTGAGTACCCAATTCTATAGTAACAGTTATTTTCTCTCAACATTTGTTGATACTGGTTTACTCATTTTTAGTTTTTGCTTTACTATAATAATCAGATAAATATTATTTCATTGTAAATTGTCCTTTTTTCAATGTATGGTCTGGTGTTTGGTTTTAATGTTTTATAATTTATAATTTAATGTGAATTTATTTTTATATCATCTGTTAGAAATACATTCTTTGAATCAATGGATTTATACTTTTTCCTAATTTCTTTTTGAGAATCTCTTGAAATGGTGAATCCTCTTACACTTCTCTCCCCCCATATTTGAATTAAATGTTAGACCTGTGTTTCCATTCTACATACTGGGTATATCATTTAAGCATTTTTTTCTTTACTAATTATCCTGTTACCTATATGTAATATATCGTTAATAACTTGCATTTATTTTTAAATTTTTTTTTATTCAGACCTGCCTTTTTTTTTTTTTTTTTTTTGAGACAGAGTCTCACTCTGTTGCCCAAGCTGGAATTCAGTGGTGCAATCTTGGCTCACTGCAACCTGCACCTCCCGGGTTCAAGTGATTCTCCTGCCTCAGCCTCCTGAATAGCTGGGATTACAGGTGCCCACCACCATGTTCAGCTAATTTTTATATATATATATTTTTTTTAGTAGAGACAAGTTTTCACCATCTTGGGCATGCTGTTCTTGAACTCCTGACCTCGTGATCCACCCGCCTCGGCCTCCCAAAGTGCTGCGATTACAGGCATGAGCCATCACGCCCAGCCAGACCTGCCCATTTTTTCTATCATCTATGTTGTTTTACTATTGTTTTTACTTCTTTGTAATAGTAGATTGTTTCTTTAAACAATCGATACACAGCTGCTTAATTATTTCTCCATATTGACAATTTCAATACATTTAGTTTTCAAGAATTTAAATGTGCTATTCATTTCATTAACTTTTATTCATGGTGTCTTGCTTATATGATCATTTTTAATACTGAACTCATTGCTCATCCTTAATCTGCCATCATTCTACGGTCTGAAATAAGAACGCTATTATCCAAACTTCCTCTGTGAAACTGACTCAATGCTTTATCTCAATATAGAAGTTCCAGGATTAACAAACTGGAATTTCTGATGGCCCAAGAGTCAGTAGTACCACCATTAGCATTGCTGATAATAGCAGATCTTCCCAGAAGATGTGGGAAACCCTCACCCCCCTCCATCAGCTGGCCAATACAAAGTGCCCAGTGCTCAAGCTCCAGTTCACAGACTATTTTTGTGTTTGAAAGAGGAGATATTTTAAGAACTTGCCTAACCGTTTTCAAGAACAGAAATGTTTCAAAGAGATCCTCTAAAATGTATTTGTTCGATAGCAGCAGTCATTTGAGAGCAGCTAACTTGCAGTCATGGCCAAAAGCCTAAATCTTTCTTTCATTCTAATCACACCTATTTTATATCTTTTGGAGATATCTCAGATTCAGATGTATTCATACTATTCTATGATTTTGGACACTACTATAGATTCTTCAAAATGTTACAACATTCCAGTGGTATTTTGGGAGGTATAGAAGGAGAGGAAAAACAATGGGCTCAAGTCTCCCCTGACTTCTCTTCTTACAACATATTTCATTGTCCAGAACTTTTAGAACTATATTAATACAACATTGACAGTGGGTATTCTTCTTTTCCTTCTGATTTTAATAGGATTGAAGGAAGTGTTTTGCTATGAAATTGCTATATGGGTGGTATTCAGACAAATTTTGACTTTGTAAAGGCAATATTCTTTTCATTATTTTTAAATGTTTACCAGGATTCACAGTATTATTTTCAATTCTCCCCATTCAAAGGCATATTTAAATAACTTGATGAAAGGGGAATATTATATATGTTACTCTGCTATGGAAACAGAAAAACCACCACCAAATTGTATTCTAGATTCTTTGTACACCAATTGCACCATCTTTTTTTATCTAAGACATTCAATTCTTCCACAGGTGGGAGCACATGAATTAGCATCATTTAGTACTTGTAGTTTTCACTACTGACTTTCAGACTTATGGTGCCTAAAGGAAATAGAATGCTTCTAGCTGAGTTTAAAAGCTACAAATAAACAGAGGAAATATACACTATTTTGAAAGTACCACTTGAGTGTTATGTGTGTATTTCAATATTATGTTGCTAATTTTAATTGTTCAAGGTTAAAGAGCTTAAACCTCCTCCTCATGCATTCCTGAATCATCCATTACTCCCACACATACATTGTTTGATACAGCATAAACCTAAGTAAGTAAAGATGTGGCAAAATGAAAAAATAAAATAATGTTATACCATTCTCACCTAGGAATGGCATCAGTAGACAGATGTGAATAAAAGTAATGTGATTATAATTTTAAAAATCATATTTAATAGGATACATTTATTATTGAATGAACATTAAATTACTTAATGTATAATAAATCATTAACACAATGAAAACTCTTAATGCACAGTGAGACGAAAATGAAGGTATTAACTGTTTTCTTCCTAATCCTTGCTTTAGTTGTTCTTTCCACCAGACCGTCACTTTATTCGAAGGATATTGTAATAGCACAAAGCCATTAGCTTTCCCATTAGAGAGATCTTCATTAAATTATCTTTGTTGTAATAAAGGTCATATGGAGGAAATACTGGTCTGAATACAATAATAAATGTTAAGCTTTCTAGTATTTTCCACTTTTAGATACAAATTGAAAGAATCATTTATAATGTCAAAAACACTTTTTTCTAACTAATATATTCTATGCCTAAGACACTATTAGCAATTAAAGTAGATAGATCAAATCTAAATGGGGAGAGAAAAAGTAATTTCTACTTATGTTTAAACAGATGAAAGCATGAATAAATCGAAAGCCTGAAATATTAGCTTAGGGGAATAATGTCACTTTCGAGGAGCAGGAGCAGCATATACCAGCCTTTAGCTCTACACACTCCCCCAAAGAAAAAAAATATATAGATAGTTATGTACAAACCAAACTAGCCCTGGCAGGGTTCAAGGGACCATTTAAGAAACTATGGCAACACAGTGAAGCCAACAAAAAAAAAAAAAAAAGAAAGAGAGAAAGAGAGAGTGAAAGAAAAAAAAATAGCCATATAGAAAAAACAGCTGCTGAAATCAGCATACCTGAGATGCCAGAAACATCTTTTTTGGCTAGAAACAAAAGCAGAAAGGGACTATCTGTATCAGCCACAAGGTGGAACCACCAAGGCCCTCAGTAACCCACTCTGGCAGAAGACACTGGCATTTTTTGCCACTGGAGTAAGCAACATCCCTTTCTGACAGAAAACCCAGAGAAAAAGATGAAGAGGTACCATCTCCTCCCACATCCCTTTTCCCCACCAAAAATGCAGTGACTGTTGGGCCAAACCAGGATTGGAACTGCTACCTTTCTTAAACTGCATGTGTCTCTGACATATGAGCAGCAACCATGTCAAGAGCTCCCACATAAAAATGCTCATACTAAATTTATTCTGTTACTTAAGAGTGTTTATGGATTTACATTCCATTTGTGGACTAACTATCTCACTGGATCTTCTTTCCTGCAGTAAGAGGTGGTTTGGGTCCTGCGGAAGGTCATTGTCTCAATTTGTCTGGTGTTTGCAGAAGAGATGTCTGCAAAGTAGTAGAAGATCAAATTGGTGCCTGCCGAAGAAGGATGAAGTGCTGTAGAGCATGGTGGATTTTAATGCCAATTCCAACACCACTTATCATGTCAGATTATCAAGAACCCCTTAAACCTAAGTTGAAATGAAACTGAGACAAAATAAAAATACATCAAAAGTGAAGTTATTTGCATCTAAGAATATTAAAATATACATATTAAGTACTTCCATCTTGATAACTGTCTTGCATTTTCACTTATCAACATAAATGAATAAATACTAATTTCAAATATACCCAAGTACTATTTCTTTGTGAGTCATTAACAGATCTTAACAAAACTTTTAAAAATGAGAAAACTGTTACTTTTGTTTTCCAAGATAGTGGATTGAAGGCATTGTTAGTCTGCCTCTTGCACTTGGAAAGAGAAAATGGTGTGTAGAAACTCACACTGTGAACTTTCTTTCAATAAGCTACACAGGAATTTAACAGGAAAATTGAAATAAGCCACAGACCATTTGAAAGAAACAGCAGGATGCAGCTTACACCATAAGCTAGGCAGAAAATTGTAAGTTTCCAGGGTGTGACAGGAGGGTAAACTGACTCTAAGATATACACTTCCACTGGGAAACCTATCAATCCAGGCCGTGAGGGAAGGCCTTAACCCTACTCAGCGCTGGGGCTGATTTAGGGAAGAGTGGTGAGTATATGAGGAGTGGCATTGGGATGTGCTTTGAATCTCCAGCACATTCCCAGTTTCTGGTAGAATGGAGGGAAGCCATTTCTGATTCTACCTCAGACAGGACCTCCTAGAAGTCTGCCAGCTAACTCAGATGGTGGTCACAGGTTGAGACAACCTCCCAACTGAAATGTGTGATATAATCTTGACAGGGGACAAACTCTCCAGGCCAGAACTGAGAGGTGAGTGGGAAGTGTGCTGCAGCAGCAAGCACAGGAGCTGGGGGCCCCTGCTCTGCAGGTGGATCAGGAAGGGTGTGGCCTGAAGGTTGCAGTTGCTGTCTCCATAGGGGAGAATTATGGTATGGGTCAGTTTTGAGTTCTGAGCTCAGACTTCTTGAAACTTAGCTAGCTACTCCCAGTGGAACACTGTGGGTGTGAGACCTGCCTTGCCAAGTGTGTGGGAGCTGGATGGGGCTTACTACCAAGCTGCTACTCCCCATTCTTCACATGGACTCTCCTTGTACAGAGGCAGAGACAGCTTCACTTCTCTCTGGAAAATTACTCCAGTGGCCCAAGAACTGCCTTCCAATTCCCACTGGAGCCACTGCTTGTCCCACACATAGACAGCCAGAGCATCACCTTACCTGACCTAGTTCCCACCTGGCTTTGCTCAACCACCTACCCTGGTAGATTAACACAAATAACAGAAGAAACTTTTAGAAGCTCTATGGCTCCACCTATTTCCTGAGACACCAGAGTGCCTCCCATGGGTAACATAAGGCAAGTCCAAATCTCACCACTACCACCACAGCTGGCAGTCTTTTGGAAGCACCACCTCCTGGCTGAAGGCCTACTGACAGTCCTTTACAGCATCTGCAGGTAGAATAACATAGCACCCAGGAAGGAGAAAAGTTGTGAGTGACCACAACTGTTACCATTGCCTGCATCATTCTGGCTAAGCAGGAGGCCATGAGTCTGTCCATGTGATGAGTTCATTACTACTACAACTGGCATTTGAGAAATCCAATACACAACACACTAGGACTATTTATAACCAAGGAATCTTTCAGAGTCTACATCACTCCCCTGCCATCCCCATCTGATCAGCTGCCGATACACACTGCTGTGAGCCTTGAGGACAGATTATATCACTGGATCCATTGCAGCCATTCTTGAGCACCAGCATGGTGTGCGGCAGCCCCACTGGGTAGCCGGACCCAGAGAAGCAGCAGCAGCATATGCAGTAATCTGAATTTCAGTGACTCCTACTCTGAGGAAAGAGGAAGCACACCACATCAAGGGAGCACCCTGGGGACAAAATAATCTAGATGACCTTGAGTCCCAGAACATTCCACTTGTGGGAAGTTGTTTGGTGGTTTGTTTGTTTCTGCTTTTTTTTCCAGCAGAGGAACATGTGCATGCTGGGCTCAGCGAGGAAAGTCTGTAGCTATAGCTCAACAATCAGGCAGCCTTGATGCTCAAGAAGAGTCTTGGAGAATGGAGACTTATTTTCCATCTCATACACTACTGCAGACACAATAGTACTGTACTCAGAGCCAGTGTACTGAGGTGAGTGGCCATAAAACCTACTGAGACACCAGCCAGGACAGCTAAAGGAGTACTTGCATTACCACTCCCCCAACCCCAGGCAGCACAGCTTGCAGCTCCAAAAAAGACCGCTTCCTTCTGCTAGAGGAGATTAGAGGAAAGAGTAAAAAGGACTTTGTCTTGCATCTTGGATATCAGTTGAGCCACAGTAGGATAGGGCACTGGTCAGGGTCATGAGGCCCCCATTGTGGATGTAACTAACTTTTTTTTTTTAATTTTATAGGCTGATAGGCAGAAGGGACTTGTCTCAAATAAGACTTTGGACTTGGAGTTTTGAGTTATGCTGGAATCAGTTAAGACTTTGGGGGACTGTTGGAAAAGCATGATTGGCTTTGAAATATATATAAAAGACATGAGATTTGGGAGGTGCCAGGAGCAGAATAATATGGTTTGGCTCTGTGTCCCCACCCAAACCTCATCTCAAATTATTATCCCCACACATCGACAGAGGGACCTGTAATCGCCATGTGTCGAAGAAGTTTACTTCATGTTATCCTCATGATAGTGAGTGAATTCTTAGGAGATCTGATGGTTTTAAGAGTAGGTGATTTTTGGGTTTTTTTTCTGTGCACTCACTTCTCTCCCTGACACCTTGTGAAAAAAGGTGCCTGCTTCTGTCTTGCCTTCCACCATGACTGTAAGTTTCCTGAGGCCTCCCCAGCGATGCAGAACTGTAAATTAATTAAACACCTTCCCTTTGTAAATTACCCAGTGTGGGGTAGTGTCTTTACAACAGTGTAAAAATGGACTAATACAGGTTCCCTGAAATATTCTGAGTCCCTTTTGAGGCAAGAATCTCTTCATACCAGCATGGTATACTGATGAAGTACATCCTGATCTCATGGGCTGAGAAAGAATTTATACATACCATTTATGTGCCAGCAACTCTATGTGCAGGCTTTTGAGCCCCAGAATGGGCTTTCTTGCCCCATCTAGTCTATCTAACATGTTTCTAAGCCAACTCAATATCTCTCATCCACACTGGGATAGGTCCTAAATTGCTGTCTGTTGCCCACCTGAGATAACAAGATGTTGTTAAATCAGGTGTGTGTGACCCAGATATGTCTATCTGGAGTGGCAGGAGAGGGTCTATCTGCTCACAAGAGTCTCTGCAACATTTTCTAAGTCAGTTCAGAAGCTTATTGATTCACCTTTGCAGGCAACATAGCCATGAGAAAGGTGTCCAAAAATTCCTGAACTTCTGGAAATTTTTAAAGTCTCCACAGGTGTCCAGAGGTGACTGTAGCTGTACTGAAAGTCACTGCCTGGATAACTGGCCTGTTAAAACAAATGCAAAATACACTAAGCCCACTAAGGATACCCAGAAGCCATGGTATTCAGTTAATTTTTGTCTTTCTTGCAGGTGGGAGAATACTGAGGATTATGCCTTCCTATAGCCAGTGAAGGTTATTCCAGTGCCTAGATGTACCAGTCAACAGAGGCCATGGGAGAGCAGATGGCAGAAGGGCAGCCAGGTCCTTTCACTGGGGTTTACTGCTTGTCATGAGCTCTGCTGCTGGGCAGCATGTGTGATTTCTGACTCCTGCCATGTCCTCAAGAAGCCTTGCCCCATCAGCCAGCTGTCCTACCTCCTGAAAGCTGGTGCATGTTTGTTAGCATGGAGATCCAGAACAAGAGTCACTTTAGTATTTATCCATAGAGTCCCCATGTGTGCACATGCCTACCTGCAGGTTGTTTTTCCTATTTTTCTGAATGTTAATCTTTGCCTTCTGGAACTCAATATTACCCCATGTGGCCAAATATGGGATAATTGTCAGGGGAAACTGCTCTCTAGGTCCCAAGTCCACAGGGTTAGTATTATTATCAATATTAAAATTATTAATTATGGATATTAGTATCATAATAATCATCATTCCTGTTAATACTCATCAATATGTTTATTATTACTATCATTAAGATGGTTTATTAATGTTATTATTCAGTAATAAATGTTTAGTTTCTCCATTCACTCAGTCAAACTGGAGTCTGACTCCCGATATGACTATGGATATGACTGCATATGACTATGAGGGTTACCCTGCAGATATAGACATGAACAGCTGTCCCAGAGACAGCTCTTGCAGGCACTAATTGCTCTTTCATAGGATGAGTTCCTTACAGGAGAGAAGGGCTGATCTCCATGATGTGGTTTCCTCAGGGTCTCATTAAGGGCTGGTGATACAGGAGCACTTCCTACCCCTCTTCCTCATGTGAGAGTGGTACATTCTCTGTTGTCATGGCTGAGATGGCTCCATCTTGAACATATAAATTCCAGGTTGCAGAACCAAAAAAGCAAAAGAAGCATTGGATCTGCATAGGGAACTGCAAGCCATCCAGCAACCTCAGGACACACTCAGAAACAACCACGTGGACCACATCGCCCAAGCTCAGCTGCATGGCTCTCCGTTGGGCTAGGACGTGGACCTCTTCCACCAGGCTCAGCTGGAGTCCTATCCCTGGTCCCAGGACCACAAGGAGCATCTCTTTTTTTTGGAATCACACTGCTCCATTTGAAGGACAGCCCTCAGTTCTCTGTCTTCAAAAGAGGCTGCAAATGGTGCTAATTGGGAGGGAGCCGCCAGCAGCATCACCCTCTACAACTTTAAAATAAAAATGTCTTCCAGGGTGGGATATTATGCTGACCCTACCTAAAAGCACATTCCCTAGATGTTGCTTGTTGCCTGGAGTTTGAACAGCATTGTCCAAACTTTGCCATTGAAGAACAAGGAAACTTACCTGGGGTAGTTGCAGGTGTAGGACTAAATTCAGATGTGAAGATTCTTGAACTGGGGGTGTTTCTGTACCTGTAGAGATTGGAGACTGGGAAAGGTAAGGCTCTGGTCCTGCCAGACTCTCTAGAGGTTAAGAATGTGATCTGCAGAAAGACATGAACTAGCACAGGCAACTGTAGAACATCTGCCCCCAAGAATCATAAATGCCTTTTCACTCATCCTGTAGAATGCACTCTCTACTTTAATGATCATGTGGGATGTGACTTTAATTTCTAGGCATGGGGATTGATCTTAAGAAAAAGCAGGGAAAGTGCTTTACCTGTCCTGGGACTCTGCTCCACTTGCCAACATTTGAATGGATTCATTTGTGTGGTAGTCAAGCTACAGGAAATAAAGGGACCAGTCAGTCTTCCACACAATGACACAGAGGCCAATTATCACAAGTCCAAATCTCCATTTGTCACCCAGCTCACATTCCCGCTGTGGCACAAGGTCACATGCACTCGTGTCCAACTCCAAATAGTAGCTTCACATAGTATGTCAGCACTCTCCCATCCATCACCTCTTTTAGAAGGTCTTCCTCTGGATTGAAAATGGCCTGTGATAAAAGATAATGACAACAGGAAGCAGTTTTTTTTTAGGATCTGATCCACATGAGAAGATAGGACATCTAATTTGGTCTGAGGACTTTAGCTATGCTAATATTTAAGGTAACTGACCCCTGTGTCTATAGATTTACAAAGGGAATGGAGTGAGAGATGATGAAATCTGTTTTCTTTCCTAGTGAGTATGAGGAAGAACCCTTACATCATGCTCTCTGTTGCCTGTTCTCCATACAGTGCCATTTCCCATTTAGGGAGAAGACATGGATTGTCAGTGGGAGCAAGCCTGAGACATGCCCACTGGCAGCTCCCAGAAACCCCTGAAACCTGGCCACATCATGAAGTTTCAACTGTGGGTCTCATGCCTCCCTTGGTATCTTGAATTCAGAACATTTAATGTCATGGCAGGCCAGGGAACCTCCTCTGCTCTAGTTTGGCTCTCTATCGCATATTCACACACACACACAAACACACACACACAAAGTCACACACACTCACACATCAACCTACTGGCAAACCAAGGTAGAAACATACACACACACATACCTGCTCAATCCAGGCCAATATCCCTGACAACATCAATGCAAAAATTCCTAATATAATACTAGCAAACAGAATCCAGCAGCACATCAAAAAGCTTATCCACCACAATCAAGTCGGCTGCATCTTTGGGATGAAACGCTGGTTCAACATACACAAACGAATAAATGTAATTGATCACATAAACAGAACCAAAGACAAAAACCAGACAATTATTTCAATAGATGCAAAAATGCCTTTGATAAAATTCACCATCCCTTCATGTTAAAAACTCTCAGTAAACTAGGTACTGATGGAACATATTGCAAAATAATAAGAGTTATTTATAACAAACCCACAGCCAACATCATATTTAATAGGCAAAAGCTGGAAGCATTCCCTTTGAAAACTGGTACAAGACAAGGATGCCCTCTGTAACCACTTCTATTCAACATAGTATTGGAAGTTCTCACCAGGGCTATCAGGCAAGAGAAAGAAATAAAGGGTATTCAAATAGGAAGAGAGAAAGTGAAGTTGTCTCTGTTTGCAGATGACATGACTTTATATTTAGAAAACCCCATCATCTCAATTCAAAAACTTCTTGAACTGATAAGCAACTTCACCAAGGACTCAAGATATTAAATCATTGTGCAAAAATCACAAGCATTCCTTTACATCAACAATAGTCAAGCAGAGAGCCAGATCAAGAATGAACTCCCATTCACAATTGCTAGAAAGAGAATAAAATACCTAGGAATACAGCTAGGAGTACAAGGGATGTGAAGGACCTCTTCAAGGACATATGCAAACCACTGCTCAAGGAAATGAGAGAGGACACAAACGAATGGAAAAACATTCCATCCACATGAATAGGGAGAATCAATATTGTGAAAATGGCCATACTGCCCAAACTAATTTATAGATTCAATGCTATACCCATGAAGCTACCATTGACATTTTTCACAGAATTAGAAAGAACTATTTTAAATTTCATATGAAATCAAAGAATACCCCGTATAGCCAAGACAACTGTAAGCAAAAATACCAAAGCTGGAGGCATGACGCTACCTAACTTCAAACCATACTAGAAGGCTACAGTAACCAAAACAGCATGCTACTGCTGCCAAAACAGACATATAGACCAATGGAGCAGAACAAAGACCTCAGAAATAACCCCACACATCTGCAACCATCTGATATTTGACAAACCTGACAAAAACAGGCAAGGGAGAAAGGATCTCCTATTCAGTAAATGCTGCTGGGAAAACTGGCTTGCCATAGGCAGAAAACCAAAACTGGACCCCTTCCTTACACCTTATACAAAAATTAACTCAAGATGGATTAAAGACTTAAATGTGAAATCCAAAACCATAAAAACCCTAGAAGAAAACTTAAGCAATACCATTCAGGACATAGGCATGGGCAAAGGCTTCATGACAAAAATGCCAAAAGCAATTGCAACAAAAGCCAAAATTGACAAATTGGATCTAATTAAACTAAAGACCTTCTGCACAGCAAAGAAACTATCATCAGCATGAAAAAGCAAACTACAGAATGGGAGAAAATTGTTGCAATCTGCCCATCTGACAAAGGTCTAATAACCAAAGTTGACAAGGAACTTAAACATATTTACAAGCAAAAAAACAAACAACCCCATCAAACGTGAGCAAAAGATATGAACAGAAACTTATCAAAAGAAGACATTTATGCAACCAACAAATATATTTTTGAAAAGCTCAACAACACTGATCATCAGAGAAATGAAAATCAAAATTACAGTGAGATACCATCTCACACCCGTCAGAATGGTGATTATTAAAAAATTAAGAAACAATAGATGCTGGTGAGGCTGAGAAGAAAGAGGAACGCTTTTACACTGATGGTGAAATTGTAAATTAGTTCAACCATTGTGGAAGACAGTATGTCGATTCCTCAAGGATCTAGAACCAGAAATACCATTTGACCCAGCAATCCCATTACTGGCTATGTACCCAAAGGAATATAAATCATTCCACTATAAAGACACATGCACATGTATGTTTATTGCAGCACTATATACAATAGGAAAGACATGAAACCAACCCAAATGCCCTTCAGTGCTAGACTGGATAAAGAAAATGTGGTCCATATACACCAAAAAATACTATGCAGTCATAAAAAGGAATGAGATTATGTCTTTTGCAGGCACATGGATAAAGCTAGAAGCCATCATACTGAGCAAACTAACACAGGAACAAAAACAAAAAAAAAACAAATACTGCATGTTCTCACTAATAAGTGAAAGTTGAACATTCAGGAAACAAGGACACAGTGAGAGGAACAACACACAACACGGCCCGTTGGGGGCTGGGGGTGAGGGAAGGAAACTTACAGGATAAGTCAATAGGTGCAACGAACCACCATAGCAAAGGATACCTATATAACAAACCTGCTCATTCTGCACATGTATCCTGTAATTTTTAAATTTAAAAAGAGGAAATACATACATACATACATACATACATACATACATACATACATATGTACATACTTTTGAAAAAAGTCTGTACAGTTCGGATCTTCATTCCTGGTAAGCCAAGGAACCTGGACAAACACCAGAACTCTGTCCCTCTGAGAATGCCGGACAGGTTTACCTTCATCAGCATAAAATTTTGGAACAAATGTGGTAACTGCAGGTTCTCTCCACAATGGGTAACTGAAAATTGAGGCAGTATTTCAGATCCTAAAAAACTGATGAAGTAATTCACCACACATTTGGGTTGTTTTTGACTTTTCCTACTATGAAGAGTGCTAGTAGGAAGAATGGTGTACAAGTATCTGTTTGATTCCCTGCTTTTAGAATCCTTTGCTTGTTTGTGGGTTTGTCTGTTCTTTCTTGAGACAGGATGTCACTCCAGTCAGCCAGGCTTTTCCAGTGTGTAATTTTTGTTGTTTCCTTTTGTCAAGTTTTAGAAGTTGTTATTTTATTTCTATTGAATTTTAAGGCATTTTTAGATATGTATTAAAACATTATCACACAGGCCGTGTGTTACATTGCAATTATTTTTATCGTTCTTTTAAGAAACAAAAGGTTTTAGCTTAGATATCTTCCAATTTGTGAAGCTTTTCTGATTTTGACTTTTTAAAAAATGCTGTCATATACAAGAAACCCTTGGATTAAAAATGCCATGAATATTTCTCTTTTCTTGCAGTCATAACTTCGGTGGATGTCATCAATTAGTCTCCGGGTTATAGCATGTTTTCTTGAAAGTGTTTCGCAATCTATTTTGGGCATTGAGAATTTCATCAAACTTAAGTGAATGTTTCTACATTCACTATTGAGGGGAATAGTCCCATCTGATGCTTTATTATTTGCATATCTTGCTTCCACAAGACCATTTCATGCAAAGACTTGTCTTCTCCCCAATGCCAGATCATTACAACATGATATGGAATCAACTGGCCAAAAATGGGAAGGTTATCTCTGGAATGTCTATTTGACTCCATTGATCTCTCCATCTTAATTAAGACAAAGTATATGCTGTATTAATGACATACCATTGCTGCAAATTCTCAAGTCAGAAAGTGTAGTTATAACTTCTTGTCATTTAGTCGCTGAAAGAATGATCTTATGTCACAGATGCACATGCTTGGAAGTACTTCTCAATGCATGCAGACACATCCAGAAACAAACACACAAATACACAGATACACACAAACTGTTTACTATGTACACAAATGTTAACTAGCATTGTTTTACATGAAATAAGGCAAATGTTTAGCCCCTATCCTAACCCGGTTCCACTCCTATCATATTTGCCCATAATACTGACAAGTAAATCTGCTTCAAATCTTCCATAATCACAATGTAAGCTGTGTCCATTAAATTCTCTGAGGAATGCAAGAGGATACAACCTAAGACAAAAAAATTAATTGAATCCTGATATTTCATTAGTAAACAGGGTAATTGATGGATAAATGTAATGGTCTCGGTGGGTGGACAGTAGTTATATAAGGGCTGATGCAGCAAGATACTTAATTATTTAAAGGCGTTTGAAAGAAATTGAAACACAAGAGTGGGTGTATTCAACTAAAATAAAATCAGAGAGCCCTAAAATAAATCCATTTTGCGGGTAAAAAAATGGCATTAGAGGAGATTCTGGGTCAATCATCCAGCTGTGAAAGTTGCATCTTGGAAGCAGGATCCCTGTAATGCAACGATACTTGTTTATCAGTGGTGGTCTTTCAGTGGAAAAGATTTTGAAGAATGGACCCTTCCTTTTGTGTATTTGACAATTAGATTTCATGCCAAATCTTGGGTTTTAAACTCTATTTAAACGTTAACAGAATTAAATAAAATGGCGAAAAACCATGAGATTCTTTGATTTGGAATCGTCACATATGCATTTCTTGTTAAGTACAGTTATCAAAGATGACCTACCGGAGAGACACAATTGTGGACAATGGCCCGTTACTTTTGTATGTTTCCTGATTAGATTTCATAGTCCATTTCTCATTAGGTACAAAGATCAAAGTTGACCTACACAAGAGTAGAGAGGTCCAGGACAGAACTCAGGGCTCCGCAGAACCACAGAATCTTGGGTGTAAGATTGCTCAAGAACAAAAATGTGCTTATTCAGAGTGTTTCTGTGTGACATGTGTGTCAACTACAGTGCAATGAGCATGACACGCAGGCAGGATATCAATACGGCTCACCTCAAAAGCAGTTATGAGCATTAAAGGACACCCATGCCTAGGTCCCGGTTAAAGAGATAAGACTCTCCCACACCCTGTGTGAAGCCACGGCATGTGGATTGCTCATGCTTCTGGGGATCATTCTCCTGAAAATGGTGGCTCCTTTCTCACTGTGGAGCATCTTTGTAAGCAGTGTCCTTTCTTCCCCCAGGACACTTTACTTCAGGCACAGGAAGCCTTCTGATGGAGCACACCTGGCCCATGAAAAGACAAGGGAAAGAAATGGGGCCAAAGGTCACAGTCCTCTCATTCCATCATCCTCCTTAAAATCATCCTAATTTCATGGGCCCTGAAGCCAGGGCTGTTTCTTTAAAACTAGAGGCCTTGGCGCCGTGCCTCAATTCTGCCCTGTTCCTTACTGTCTAAGAAAGGTTGGGAAAATCCCTAGAGCCAGGATCTTCATTCCTGGTAAGCCAGAGAGCCTGAAGACACACCCAAATTCTGTCCCTCTTACTTCAGGGAACATGTCCACTTTCGTCAGCATTACAATTTTTGCACCAAATGTGCTAACTGCAATTCCACCATACAATGCATAAATGGAAATGGAGGGAACATCTCAGATCCTGAACAATCGATGCGAGAATCCAGGAGATACACGGCTGATTTTTGCGTTTTCCCTGTGAAACAAGGGCCAGTATTAAAAATGGTATGCTATCCTCTGTTTCACTCCCTGCTTTTAAGTCTCCGATGTTTCTTCTTAAGACAGGGCCTCACTTCCTTCCCCCTGACTTTTCTACGGTATAATTTTCGTTGTTTGCTTTTGTCAAAATTAGAACTTTTTATTTCATCTCTATGAAATGTTGATCCATTATCACATACGTATGGAAAGACTATCACCCATGCTGTGAGATACGTTGTTTTTATTTTCATCAATTCTTTAATAAACCAAAGGTTATAGTTGGGATACCTTCCGATTTCTCTAGTTTTTTGTTTCATGTTTTCTTTCTTTTTTTTTTTTTTTTTTTTTTTTTTTTTTTTTGAGACGGGGTCTCGCTCTGTCGCCCAGGCCGGACTGCGGACTGCAGTGGCGCAATCTCGGCTCACTGCAAGCTCCGCTTCCCGGGTTCACGCCATTCTCCTGCCTCAGCCTCCCGAGTAGCTGGGACTACAGGCGCCCGCCACCGCGCCCGGCTAATTTTTTGTATTTTTAGTAGAGACGGGGTTTCACCTTGTTAGCCAGGATGGTCTCGATCTCCTGACCTCATGATCCACCCGCCTCGGCCTCCCAAAGTGCTGGGATTACAGGCGTGAGCCACCGCGCCCGGCCGTTTCATGTTTTCTTAAACTGCCATCGCACATCCGAAATCATTCACTATACAATGTCATGACCATCTCTCTTTTCTGGCAAACATAAATTTGGGGATTGTCATCAATTAGTCTCTCAGTGACTGCATGATTTCCACAAAGTTTTTCACAGTCTACTTTGTGCACTGAGTATCTCTTCAAACTTCAGTGTATGTTTCTACCATTTGATGCTTTATTATTTGGCAACCTAGCTTCCAAAAGAGCATTTCATGCAAAGACTTGTCTTGTTATCCACTGGCAGCTAATTTCATTCGGATAGAGAATCAATAGGCTGAACGTGGAAAGCTTATCGCTGGAAGGTTTGTTTGTTTCCACGGATCTCTCCTTTCTTATTAGGGAAAAAAATACGCTGTGCTAAATACTATACTTCATTGACTATTCTCAGGTCAGAAAGCGCACTTCCGACTTCTTCTCTTTCCGTCGCTGAGAGGATGATGGTAGCTGCCAAAAGCACATACTTGGAGGTTCATCCCAGCACAAACACACACACACAAACACACAAACACACACACACACGGCTTCATAGGTAAAGATTTCTTCCCTGACATTGTTTTACCTAAAATAAGGCAACTGTGTGGCCACTGTCCCAACCTGGTTACACTCATATTACATCTGCCTATCATCCTGAGGAGTAATGTGATTCAGGTGTTCTAGAAGTCATGATGTGGGCTGTGTCTGTTGAATTCCCAGCGATGCAAGGGGACACACCCTGTGACTCATTCCTTAATTAAATGCTGATATTTGATTGGTTTATCGCGCACCTGATGAGTGGGTGAGGTGTTCGCCGTTGGTGGGGGTGAGTTATATAAGGGCTGATGCGGCCAGAGAGCTCGTCATTTGAAGACTCTCTCGGAAGAGATAGCGTCTTTCTGCAACATAAGGTCCCAGCCGAAAAACCTTGTGATCCTTGTTCCGGGCGACATGGAGGACGACTCACTCTACTTGGGAGGTGAGTGGCAGTTCAACCACTTTTCAAAACTCACATCTTCTCGGCCAGATGCAGCCTTTGCTGAAATCCAGCGGACTTCTCTCCCTGAGAAGTCACAACTCTCAACTGAGAACCGCGTCGACCTCTGCGATGATTTGGGGCCTGTGGCAAGACAGCTTGCTCCCAGGGAGAAGCTTCCTCTGAGTAGCAGGAGACCTGCTGCGGTGGGGGCTGGGCTCCAGAATATGGGAAATACCTGCTACGTGAACGCTTCCCAGCAGTGTCTGACATACACACCGCCCCTTGCCAACTACATGCTGTCCCGGGAGCACTCTCAAACATGTCATCGTCACAAGTGCTGCATGCTCTGTACCATGGAAGCTCACATCACATAGCCCCTCCACATTCCTGGCCATGTCATCCAGCCCTCACAGGCATTGGCTGCTGGCTTCCATAGAGGCAAGCAGGAAGCTGCCCTTGAATTTCTCATGTTCACTGTGGATGCCATGAAAAAGGCATGCCTTCCCGGGCACAAGCAGGTAGATCATCACTCCAAGGACACCACCCTCATCCACCAAATATTTGGAGGGTACTGGAGATCTCAAATCAAGTGTCTCCACTGCCACGGCATTTCAGACACTTTTGGCCCTTACCTGGACATCGCCCTGGATATCCAGGAAGCTCAGAGTGTCAAGCAAGCTTTGGAACAGTTGGTGAAGCCCGAAGAACTCAATGGATAAAATGCCTATCATTGTGGTCTTTGTCTCCAGAGGGCGCCGGCCTCCAAGACGTAAACTTTACACACTTCTGCCAAGATCCTCATCCTCGTATTGAAGAGATTCTCCGATGTCACAGGCAACAAAATTGCCAAGAATGTGCAATATCCTGAGTGCCTTGACATGCAGCCATACCTGTCTCAGCAGAACACAGGACCTCTTGTCTATGTCCTCTATGCTGTGCTGGTCCACGCCGGGTGGAGTTGTCACAACGGACATTACTTCTCTTATGTCAAAGTTCAAGAAGGCCAGTGGTATAAAATGGATGATGCCGAGGTCACTGCCTCTGGCATCACCTCTGTCCTGAGTCAACAGGCCTATGTCCTCTTTTACATCCACAAGAGTGAATGGGAAAGACACAGTGAGAGTGTGTCAAGAGGCAGGGAACCAAGAGCCCTCGGCGCTGAAGACACAGACAGGCGAGCAACGCAAGGAGAGCTCAAGAGAGACTACCCCTGCCTCCAGGTACCCGAGTTGGACGAGCACTTGGTGGAAAGAGCCACTCAGGAAAGCACCTTAGACCACTGGAAATTCCTCCAAGAGCAAAACAAAACGAAGCCTGAGTTCAACGTCAGAAAACTTGAAGGTACCCTGCCTCCCAACGTACTTGTGATTCATCAATCAAAATACAAGTGTGGGATGAAAAACCATCATCCTGAACAGCAAAGCTCCCTGCTAAACCTCTCTTCGACGAACCCGACAGATCAGGAGTCCATGAACACTGGCACACTCGCTTCTCTGCAAGGGAGGACCAGGAGATCCAAAGGGAAGAACAAACACTGCAAGAGATCTCTGCTTGTGTGCCAGTGATCACAGTGGAAGTGCCGACCCACACGTAGGGGAGAAAAACACACACACACACACACAAACACAAATACACCCACAAGCGCGCAAGGAAACACACACACACCCACACAAACACGAACACCGTCTATCCTACATAAAGTAATGAGGAGCCCCAGTTTCTGTCTCTACAACAGGGACAACTGGATAGTGACGGCTGCATCTCAGGATGAGCCCACACATGGGAAACATCAAGTTTTGGGGTCGTGAGTCTTCCGAACCTCTGGAGGGATTGTCTGTGTGTTTGTGTTCATGGTAGATGACATTCAGTGTGTATTTCTTAATGTGACCTATTGACGTGTAGGTTTGCATGTGAGGTTATTGCAGGGGACAGGGTTTACTATTTCCTCTTGGGGTTTGTTTCATTCATCAGTTCTTGGTCGGCAAGAGAAGGTGAAATTTTGCTCATGTGGGACATCCGTGGATCATTCTCGCCACGTTGAATAGTGGAAACTGGAATTCAATTGGAAGATAGGAACGGTGCTCTTTTTTCTTACCCTGGCTCGCCCATTTTATTTTGGTTTCTGAATGGACCTTAGGCGCCCTGGGACTTGTGCTCTTGCTGGAACCCACATAACGCCGGAAGCAGACAGACCGACTTGCCTGTTTCACGGTGTCCACTTCCAATGAGTCGAAACAGAAAATTTTCCCACTAGCACGGAAGTCATTTGGAACTAAGTCTTATTGCTACTAAAGGAAATCAAACACTGGAGTGTTTGTATTCAACTAAAATACATTCAGAAAGCCCTGAAATAAACCTCATTTGGTGTGTTTACAAATGGCATTTGGGGAGATTCCGGGTCATTCGTCCAGCTGCGAAAGCTGCATCTCTGAAGCACAGTCCCTGTCCTGCAATCAGACTTATTTATTCGACGTGGTGTTTCTGTGGAAATTATTGTGGGAAATGGCCCCTTCCTTTTCTGTATTTGCTGATTAGATTTCATGGTCCCTTTCTTGTTAGGTGCAGTGATCAAAGTTGACCAACCCCTGAAGAAAGCTGTCCAGGGCACAACTCAGGGCTCCGTAGTACCACAGAATCGTGGGCGCAACCCTGCTCAAGCACCCCAATGTGCATACGAACAGGGTCTCTCTGTGACGTGTGTGAAAACTACAGTGTGATGAGCATGACTCGCAGACAGGTTATCGATTGGGCTCCCCTCAAAATCAGTTATGAGCATTAAAGCACACCGATGCCCAGGTCCCGGCTCCAGGAATAAGACCCTCCAGCGTCTTGTGTGAAGCCACGGCATCTGGATTGCTCATGCTTCTGGGGATCATTCTCCTGAAAACGGTGGCTCCTTTCTCCCTGTGGAGCACCTTTCTAAGCAGTGCCCTTTCTTCACCCAGGACACTTTACATCAGGCACAGAAAGCCTTCTGATGGAGCACACCTGGCCCATGAAAAAACAAGGGAAAGAAACGGGGCCAAAGGTCACAGTCCTCTCATTCCATCATCCTCCTTAAAATCATCCGAATTTCATGGGCCCTGAGGCCACGGCTGTTTCTTTACACCCAGAGGCCTTGGCGCCGGGCCTCAATTCTGCCCCAGTGCTTACTGTCTAAGACATTTTGGGAAAATCCCTAGAGCCTAGATCTTCAATCCTGGTAAGCCAGAGAGCCTGAAGACACACCCAAATTATGTCCCTCTTAGTTCAGGGAACATGTCCATTTTCGTCAGCACTAAAATTTTTGCACCAAATGTGCTAACTGCAATTCCACCATACAATGCGTAACTGTAAATGGAGGCAACATCTCAGATCCTGAACAATCGATGCGAGAATCCAGGAGACACACGGCTTATTTTTGCCTTTTCCCACTGAAACAAGGGCCAGTATTAACAATCTTATGCTATCCTGGGTTTCACTCTCTGCTTTTAAATCTCTCCGATGTTTTCTTCTTGAGACAGGGCCTCACTCCCGTCACCAGGGCTTTTCTATGGTGCAATTTTCGGTGTTTGCTTTTGTCAAATTTAGAACTTTTCATTTCATCTCTATCAAATGTTGATCCATTATCACATACGTATGAAAATATTATCACCCATGCTGTGAGATACGTTGTTTTTATTTTCATCAATTCTTTAATAAACCAAAGGTTATAGTTGGGATACCTTCTGATTTCTCAAGTTTTTTGTTTCAGGTTTTCTTAAACTGCCGTCGCACGTCCGAAACCATTCACTATACAATGTCATTTTCATCTCTCTTTTCTGGCACACATAAATTTGCGGAATGTCATCAATTAGTCTCTCGGTGATTGCATGATTTCCCCAAAGTCTTACACACTCTACATTGTGCACTGAGTATCTCTTCAGACTTTAGTGCATGTTTCTACCACTTGATGCTTTATTACTTGCCATCTAGCTTCCACAAGAGCATTTCATGCAAAGACTTCTCTTGTTCTCCACTGGCAGGTAATTTCACTCGGATAGAGAATCAATAGGCTGAACGTGGAAAGGTTATCGCTGGAAGGTCTGTTTGATTCCATGGATCTCTCCTTTCTTATTAAGGAAAAAGATACACTGCGCTAATTACTATACTTCATTGACTATTCTCAGGTCAGAAAGCGCACTTCCGACTTCTTGTCCTTCCATCGCTGAGAGGATGATGGTATCTGCCAAAAGCACATATTTGGAAGTACATCCCAGCACAAACACACACACACACACACACACACACACACACACACACGGTTTCATAGGTAAAGATTTCTTCCCTGACATTGTTTTACCTAAAATAAGGCAACTGTGTGGCCACTGTCCCAACCCGGTTACACTCATATTACATGTGTCTATCAGCCTGAGGAGTAGTTTGATTCAGGTGTTCTAGAAGTCATGATGTGGGCTGTGTCTGTTGAATTCCCAGCGATGCAAGGGGACACACCCTGTGACTCATTCCTTAATTGAGTGCTGATATTTGATTGGTTTATCGCACACCTGATGGGTGGGTGGGGTGTTCGCGGTTGGTGGGGGTGAGTTATATAAGGGCTGATGCGGCCAGAGAGCTCGTCATTTGAAGACTCTCTCGGAAGAGATAGCGTCTTTCTGCAACCTGCGGTCCCAGCCGAAAAACCTTGTGATCCTTGTTCCGGGCGACATGGAGGACGACTCACTCTACTTGGGAGGTGAGTGGCAGTTCAACCACTTTTCAAAACTCACATCTTCTCGGCCAGATGCAGCTTTTGCTGAAATCCAGCGGACTTCTCTCTCTGAGAAGTCATCACTCTCATCTGAGACCCGCGTCGACCTCTGTGATGATTTGGCTCCTGTGGCAAGACAGCTCGCTCCCAGGGAGAAGCTTCCTCTGAGTAGCAGGAGACCTGCTGCGGTGGGGGCTGGGCTCCAGAATATGGGAAATACCTGCTACGTGAACGCTTCCCTGCAGTGCCTGACATACACACCGCCCCTTGCCAACTACATGCTGTCCCGGGAGCACTCTCAAACGTGTCATCGTCACAAGTGCTGCATGCTCTGTACTATGCAAGCTCACATCACATGGCCCCTCCACAGTCCTGGCCATGTCATCCAGCCCTCACAGGTGTTGGCTGCTGGCTTCCATAGAGGCGAGCAGGAAGATGCCCATGAATTTCTCATGTTCACTGTGGATGCCATGAAAAAGGCATTCCTTCCCGGGCACAAGCATTTAGATAATCACTCTAAGGACACCACCCTCATCCACCAAATATTTGGAGGGTACTGGAGATCTCACATCAACTGTTTCCACTGCCACGGGATTTCAGACACCTTTGACCCTTACCTGGACATCGCCCTGGATATCCAGGCAGCTCAGAGTGTCAAGCAAGCTTTGGAACAGTTGGTGAAGCCCGAAGAACTCAATGGACAAAATGCCTATCATTGTGGTCTTTGTCTCCAGAAGGCGCCTGCCTCCAGGACGTTAACTTTACACACTTCTGCCAAGGTCCTCATCCTTGTATTGAAGAGATTCCCTGATGTCACAGGCAACAAACTTGCCAAGAATGTGCAATATCCTGAGTGCCTTGACATGCAGCCATACATGTCTCAGCAGAACACAGGACCTCTTGTCTATGTCCTCTATGCTGTGCTGGTCCACGCTGGGTGGAGTTGTCACAACGGACATTACTTCTCTTATGTCAAACTCAAGAAGGCCATTGGTATAAAATGGATGATGCCGAGGTCACTGCCTCCGGTATCACTTCTGTCCTGAGTCAACAGACCTATGTCCTCTTTTACATCCAGAAGAATGAATTTGGAAGACCCAGTTACAGTGTGTCCATAGGCAGGGAACCGAGAGCTCTTTGCGTGAAGGCAAGTGAATTGTGTGTGAAATAAAATGTCATGAATAAATCTTGCAGTGGAGTATTTATTTGTCTCACTTTGTAATCAGTGAATGAGCTTTAACCAATATCAATGCCTAGTGCCTACCCCCCAGAGATAAGAACTTCCACTCTCTTATGTGTAACCATGGCCTCTGGATTGCTTATGACTCTGAAGATAATTCTCCTTTCCCCCAATGTTTCAGAATCACTTCAGGTGGTGGTAACAGATAACACATCAGTCCCTTTCTCTCTCTTTTCTCTTCACTCAGGAAAACTCTCACTGAGACAAAGGAAAATCCTATGGTTTACTGGGGAGGAAGAATTCCCTCAGGAATGAAATTGGTGGCTCCTTCCTCCCTGTCAAGTCTCTTCCTCAGGATTGCCCCTTTGTCTCTTCAGGACTCTGCTCATCAGGCCCGAGATGCCCCCTGGTTGTGCATACCTGGCCTGTGAAGAAATAAGAGGAAGGAATGGTTCCAAAAACCATACTATGCTCACTCCACCATCGCCCCTGACACCATGCTGACTTCATGAGCCCTGGGTCAGAAGCTGTTTCTTTACACCACTAGGCCTTGCCTCATGGCCTAAAGACGTCCCCATTTCTTACATCTTATAAATTTTGACAAAACCCTCAGAGCCTAAATCTTCATTCCTCATAGGCCAAAGGGAGATACACCAGAATTCTGTCCCTCTGAGACTGCAGGACATATCAGCTTCCATCGACATGAAATTTTGCACCAAATGTAGTTACTGCAGTTCCACTTCACAATGAGTGACTGGAATTTCAGACAACATCTCAGACTCTATACAGTTTCTATCCAAGCTCATTTGGTTTGACAATGCTTTTACTCTATAAATCAGCTGTGAGAACACTTAGGATTCATATTATTTAGTCTTTTAATCAGTCTGTTATTATTTTCAATGTATTTACTAGACTTTAGTTTAATATTTCTGATAAACTTTGATGCAAAAATTCTCGATATAATAGTGGCAAACCAAATCCAGCAACATATCAAAAAGCTTATCCACCAAGATCAAGTCAGCTTCATCCGTTTGGTGCAAGGCTGGTTCAACATGCACAAATCAATAAATGTAATTCACCATGTAAACAGAACTAAAGACAAAAACCCCATGATTATTTCAGTAGACTCAGAATAGATCTTTGATAAAATTCAACATTCCTTTAAATTAAAAACCTCATGAAACTAGGTATTGATGGAACATATCTCAAAATAATAGGAGCCATTTATGACAAACCCAGAGCCAATATCATATTGAATAGGCAAAACCTGGAAGCATTCCGTTTGAAATTCGGCACAAGGCAAGGATGCCCTCTCTCACCACTCCTACTCCATATAGTACTGGAAGTTCTGGCCAAGGAAATCAGGCAAGAGAAAAAAATAAAGCATATTCAAATAGTAAAAGAAGAAGTTGAATTGTCTTTGTTTGCAGATGACATGATCCTATATCTATAAAATCCCATCATCTCAGCCCAAAAGATTCTTAAGCTTATAAGCAACTTCAGTGAAGTCTCAAGATACAAAATCAGTGTGCAAAAATCACAAGCATTCTTATACACCAATAGACAAGAAGAGAGCCAAATCACAAATGAGCTCCCATTTACAATTGCTGCAAAGAGTATAAAATACCTAGGAATACGGCAAACAAGGCAAGTGAAGGACCTCTTCAAGAAGAATTGCAAACCACTACTCAAAGAAATAAGAGAGGACACAAACAAATGGAAAAACATTCCATGCTCATGGGTAAGAAGAATCAATATCATGAAAATGCCATACTTCCCAAATTAATTCATAGATTCAATGCTATTCCCATAAACTACCATGGACATTCATTACAAAATTAGAAAAAACTACCTCAAAATTCATATGGAATGAAAAAAGAGCCCATATACCCAGGACAATCCTAAGCTAAAATAACAAAGTTAGAGGCATCATGCTACCTAACTTCAAACTATATTACAAGGCTACAGTAACCCAACAGCATGGTAGTGGTACAAAACAGACACATAGACCAATGGAATGGAATAGATATATCAGAAATAAGATTGCACATCTACAACCATTTTATTTTTGATGAAAACAAGCAATGGGGAAAGGATTCCCTATTTAATAATAAATGGTGTTTGAAAAACTGGCTAGACATATGCAGAAAACTGAAACTGTACCCCTTCCTTATACCTTATACAAAAATGAACTGAAAATGGATGAAAGACTTAAATGTAAAACCCAAAACTGTAAAAAACCCAACCCCATATAAAAGTGGGGAAAACCAGGGTACAGTGGCTCATGCCTGTAATCCCAGCAGTTTGGGAGGGTGAAGTGGGCAGATAACTTGAGGCCAGGAGTTCAAGATCAGCCTGGCCAAGCTGGTGAAACCACGTCTCTACTGAAAATACAATAAATTAGCCGGATGTAGTGGTGCGGGCCTGTAATCCCAACTACTCAGGAGCCTGAGAGAGAAGAATCACCTGAGTCTGGGAGGCAGAGGTTACAGTGACCCGAAATTGTGTCACTGAACTCCACCCTGAGTGACAGAGCAAGACTCTGTCTTAAAAAATAAAAATTTAAAAATTTCAAAAGTGAGCAAAGGACATGAACAGACACTTCTCAAAAGAAGACATTTATGCAGCCAACAAACATGAAAAAAATGCCCAACATTACTGATCATTAGAGAAATACAAATCAAAACCACAGTGAGATACCGTCTCATGCCAGTCAGAATGGTGATTATTAAAAAGTCAAAAAACAACAGATGCTGGTGAGACTGTGGGGAAATAGGAACACTTTTACACTGTTGGTGCAAATGTAAGTTAGTTCAACCACTGTGGAAGACTGTGGTGATTTTTCAAAGACCTAGAATCAGAAATACCATTTGACCCAGCAATCCCATTACAGAGTATATGCCCAAAGGAATATAAATTCTTGTATTATAAAGATACATGCATGCGTATGTTCATTGTAGCACTATTCACAATAGCAAAGACATAGAACCAACCCAAATGCCCATCAATGATAGACTGGATAAAGAAACTGTGATACATATACACCATGGAATACTATGCAGCCATAAAAAGGAATGAGATCATGTCCTTTGCAGGGACATGGATGAAGCTGGAAGTCATTATTCTCAGCAAACTAATGCAGGAACAGAAAACCAAATACACATGTTCTCACTTATAAGTGGGAGATGAACAATGAGAGAACACAGACACAGGGAGGGGAACAACACACACTGGAACCTGTCTGGGAGTGAGTGGGGAGGGAGTGCATCAGGATAAATAGCTAATGCATGTGGGCTTAATACCTAGGTGATGGGTTGATAGGTAGAGCAAACCACCATGGCACACATTTACCTATGTAACAAACCTGCACATCCTGCACATATAGCCCAGAACTTAAAATGAAATAAAATAAAGTTTTAAAAAACTTTATTCTAACCTTCCAAAATGCAGGGATTACAGGCGTGAGCCACCGTGCCTGGCCCTGTTTTAACATACCTGAACAAGATTTAAGACATCAGTTTGAAAAGAGCCCCTCTATGGCAGCAACATGAATTCTGTCAAACCTGAAGCAAGAACAAACATCAAATTTATGGTGAAGCTGGGGTACAAAAAATGGTGAAATAAATTATTCTTTATGAAAAGTCTATGGGAAAAATGACCTGAAGAATCAGTCATTTACAAATGGATACCTTATTCTAAGAAGAGATAATACAATGTTGAAGATGAAGTCAACAGAGGAGGGACATCCATACCAATTTTTGAGGAAAAAAAAAATCGTTTCTATGCCCTAATTGAGGAGGATTGACAATTAACAAGAGATATTACAGCCAACACCACAGACATCTCAATTGGTTCAGGTTACACAATACTGACTATAACGTGAAAGTTGAGAAACTTTACATTTGATGAGTCCCAAATACCCTTGTGCCTAGATGAGCAGTGGACAAAAGCAGAGCTATTAGTGACTATTTTGAGCAAGCGGAATCAAGATCCTGAAGCATTGTTTTGAAGAATTATAACAGGGAGTGAAACTGGCTTTATCAATAAGATCCTGAAGACAAAGCACAATTCAAGCAATGGCTACCAAGAGGTAGAAGTGGTCCAGTCAAAGCAAAAGCAAACTTCTCAAAAGCTAAAGCCATGGAGGTTTTGGGGATGCTCAAGGCATTTTGCTTGTTGACTTTCTGTAAGATCAAAGCACGATAACATCTGCTTACTAGGAGAGTTCTTAGAGAAAATTAGCAAATACTTTTGCAGAAAAGCGCCCTGTAAAGCTTCACTAGAGAGTCCCTCTGCACCACAACAACACTTCTGTTCCTTCCTCTCATCAAACATGGGTAATTTTGCAAGAGTTTTCATGGGAAATTATTAGGCATCAACATTACAGTCCTGATTTGGTTTCTTCTGACCTTTTTTTCCCTAATCTTAAAATAACTGTAAAGGGCACTCATTTTTCTTTAGTTAGTAAAAGAAGACTGCATTGACACGGTTAAATTCCCGTTACCCTCAGTTGTTTAGCAATGGACTGAATGGCTGGGATCATCCCTTAATGGAGTGTCTGGACCTCAATAGAGCTTATATTGAGAAATAAAGTTTATATTTTTATTGTTAATTCCATTTTTCACTGACATTTTTAAATCCCTTCACAATTCACCTTTGTCTCAAAGGTATTTAAATTTAGAAATCATATCAAGTGTGAAATAAAGAAAATTAAATAGAGAGAGGGAGAACAGAATCTATAAATATGCATGTTTGTGTACATACATCCATATACATACATATGTGTGTGCATGCAGTAATTTTATTCTCCTAAAGCAATGCCTCTGCCTTCCACCCTCACTGCACATGTCCTAGTCCTGTGATGTCCCTGGAACTGAGCACCTGATTTCCTTCTCTGCCTCCCACATGAACAGGGAATAGAAATGGAAACCACGCTCTGTGGTTGCTGTTGTGAAAATCCATGTTCCCCACAGGCTGAGTTTGGCATCTTACATTCTAGTTCCCATTGTAAAAAAGCAAGCAACAAACAAAAAATACAAAAGAAAAAATAAAATAGTTGAAAGTCTAGAGCCACAGAGTTTCCGGATCCACCCACCGCCCACGGTGACCTCCACAGCCCTCCAGGCCTGAGGACAGCTATGCCTGAACAGCCTGCCTCTTCACCATCCACGCAGGAAAGTGACTTTAAACTTCAATAGCTATTACTCTGTTCCACAAGGAACCAGGTCAACATTGAAATTCAGTGGTCTGACAACTCTAAGCTTTGGCCAGAAAGTATTGGAAACATTTAATGTGCAGTGGATGAAGCAGCCCGGCCCCACTGCACACAACACACTCACGGGGACTCAAAGGAAGAGACTCAGGATCTGCTGGGTGGAACTGAGGACAGACCCAGAAACACAGGGGGTGGGAGGGGGTCAAACCAGGAGGGCTCAGGACCTGACCTCCTCCTAGGCCCTGCCCCTCTGGAACTCGCAGTTTTTTCTGACCCAGAAGCGGATTTCACTGATGGAAAAGAAGTTCAGTATTTCTGGTCCAGCCCAGTAAGCTGCTCCCGTTGCCCAGCCTTCCACACCCCTGCAGACGTCACAATCCCTGCACCCACTAACCTGACAAGGGAGCTATGCATCACCTGGAGACAGTCTTAGGCCTGCACTCCTGTGATGGGGTCCAGGGTCTGTGTCCATTTCTGGTTAAAATTGCTGTGAGGCTGGTCGCTGTCTTGGCCTTCCCTGCTTCCTCTCTGTTCACTTCTCCCCTCCTCACTCCATGTGAAGTTTTTACTCAGGAGATGGATTCTCACCCCTCTTGGAACATCAGGGACAGTGCCCGGACACCGCACCATCCCCTTGACCCTGGGATTCTGTAGACCTCAGTCTTCTCCTGAGGTCCCCTCCCTCCCTACCTCATTTTTTCCATACTTCTGGGGCCTGGGCCTGCTACACCTCAGGCTTCCTCTTCACAGTCACACAGTGAGGGAGTCCCCTTCATCCTTGAGCTCTGGCCACAGCTCACCTGCTGCAAGACACTCAGCAGCTTTCAGTAGTTCATGCAGACATCTAGCTGGAAGTGGGATTTCCTGGAAGGAAAGCAGGAACCCAGAATTACACTGAATTCTAACACCAGGGCCCAGGTTCCCCTTCTGCATGGGACACTAAGCTGCAAACACTACATAGGCACTTAATGCTCAGCTGTCCTTCTAACATCTGGTCCAATTGTGTCCCTCCTCCTTGGAATATCTCAGAAAATGTATCTACACCTAGAGTTGTTTGAAAGCATCATCCTATGTGATTGCAGACCATCAGGGGGTGCAATGGGTCCTCACCAGTATTTCTACTCTTCTTGGAAGACTTAGAATATCCTGCGGCTGCTCAGAGGGTCAGATTCCCATCTCTGTGTTTCAGTAAAACTTCAGTCTTCCCCGGACAAGTGAGGAGACAGAAAATGTCTAGTCTCTGGCACATCTTTTGCAAGCAATGGCGGCTCCCAGGAATCAAAACTATCAACGAATATATTTTTGAGACTCTGGTCAAAAGAAGAGTCATCCTGCAATTTCAGGTAGGATGGAGTGGTTCTGTGGCTCCTGAGGTGATTTTGAAAAGATCTTGACTCTCAGAAGGACCAAGGAGGACATTTCTGGCATTTCCAGACCAGGAAGACTGACTGACGGACCTCCAGTATTACTTGGAAAACTTTTTGTTGGACAGCTTTGTAACAAGAGGATCTTGCTTTGGCTTTCAGGCCTTCACATAGGTTGTTTAGATAATGGAAGTGTTTCTACATTTCTGCATAGGCTTAGGATGCCTTCTCAAGTCGTCCCTGCAATTATGAGACAGTTGCTTTCTCCAGAGGTCACTTAGAATAATACAACAGGCTTCACCCTCAAAGGGACACCAGACAATATAGCCACAGTTCAGCCAAGATTATCTGTATTTACATACCTGTGAAGTAACACTCCTAGTTATCTCCATTAACTTGGACATCTTTCATGAATAGGGAAACTCTAGTGATTGTTATATAACAGCTGCCACAAAAATTAACCAATAAAAAGAAATGATATACGAAAAATAATTAATAATCATGATAATGAACTCAATGACCTAAATAGTATGAATTTTAATACTGGAGACATTATAAACGTAAGGATACAAAAATTAATGTGGAGCTTCCCCTAAATATATGAAAACTTCACAGACTGTGTCCTCCTTGTGTAATTTGGAGTCAGAGTCAAAGAATTTCTCTATGAAATGTGTTCCATGATGGCAAACATCAAAAACAGGAGGTAAAAGAAAAGCAAGCCGCAGGAGACCATGGGCTAATATGAACATTTGTGTGCAAACCTCTCTCATCAAGAACTACCAGCCAGAGGTGAAGGGACTGTGATTTGTGTCCTGCCCACCACTGGGCACACAAAAGCTTTCAGTAGTGCAACCAGATGGTTGGTTTGGCCTGGCTCCCTGCAAGGAAGACACGTCTCTGATCCCCACCAGCCCATCAGTCCTGGAACTCAGAATCCTACATGCAGTAAACATGAAGCTCCAACTCCATAGCTGACTTTACCTCCTTACTGTCCTTCTGCCATCTGGTGTTTCAGGTGCTCTCCAGATCTGGACTTCTTGGCTACCCTACCTTTACCAAGTGAACTCAGGATGTATCATTCTCAGTCTTCTCCTGCCAGTCCAAAGTGAAACTCACCAATACAGACATACCCTGAATGGGCTTCCTTGGAATATTTAGAAAACAATGAGCTTGCTCAGGGGTGGTGTGAGCTCTAGGAGTAGAGTTACAGTCTCCCATGGAAACCCGAGAGGACTTAGAATATTCCCAAAGGCCTAAGCAGTCCAATCTGTCCTGGAAACATCAGGAATGATATACTCGGTCTTCCTGAGGCTCCAAAATTTTTCTAAATAAACTCAGAGGTTACAGAACCATTTTTCTCTTGAGAACTGAAGTGGAGTTATTTGTCTTCTGCCAGCACTTCAATTTTTTTTTCTCTAAGTTAGATTTTGAGCCCAGAAGTAGATATTCCTTGTATTTGATTTACACAGGGAGCTTCCTAGAATGCCCGTGCCTCTGGATAGTTTCTGCATTCACTCAGGTATTGACAAAATGCTGCAGTTCTACTGAAAATCTCTGAGATGACCATTTGATCACCTGAGTAACTTTAGAATGTGTCTTCTATGGAAGCCCTGGAGCCTCCCTTCTGGTATTTCATACATTGCTGATACCAAGTACCCAGGGTGAAACCCTCCATCAGACATTGTTGGCAATTCCAGTATGGAGATGACACTAACATGATGGGGCTCAAGAATCAGATGGTACAAGACCAGCTGGGAGGTGAAGTTTCAGTAGGCTAGGGGCTTAATGTTCCATGCACACCAGACTTCTGAGACTCAGGAGGTGGGTATGGATCTGTCTGCCCAGTGCCTCTCATCTACAGCCTGGACCAGCTATTTCTTGGGGTGCACTACTGAAGGCTTTTGTACGAGCTGTGTCAGGCAAGACTCTGGCCAGACCCTTTGCCATAGTCCATTTGTAATGTATTTCCACATGGCACAGGTATCTCCACTTTTGCCCATGCTCTCATGTGGCTCAGAATAATTCTCCGTACTGCCACTCTTCTTTGCCTTCACAGAATATATTTCAAGATGTAGCCCTAAGCTTCCCCATCTAATCAATAACATGAGGGCTCATATGGGAACATTGTCACAGGCTTACAGGAATATGTTCTTAAATATCTGCTTTTTATTACTCTCTTCATTAAATTGACATATCATCACCATTATGATTGTTATTAATGTTATTATATTGGTACAGTTCTTTATCATGGATATATTTGTGGTCATTTTTATGTAATGTTGAAAAATTTTTTTATGTTCCTGAAGACTGTTGAATTTGCTGAAGATGATTAAAAGACAACCTTAAAACATAAATACCACAGCAACCCCAGGACTCCTACTGTACTGCCTGGTGTCCTGTAGAAGAATGGGCTTCCTGAATTATTCTTTTATTTTTCAGGCAAGTACCTATTCATACCAGCATAAGAGACTGATGAAGTGCACCCTCATCTTGCCATGGGCTCAGAAAGAGTTCATACATCGGCTTTATCTGATAGCAACTCTGTGTGTAGGCCTGTGAGTCCTAGAATGCACTTTCTTTCACCAACTAGTCCACGTAACAGTTTTCTAAGTCAAATCCCCTCTCCATGCTTGGATAGGTCATGAATGGCTTTCTCTTACCCACCTAAGATGAAGGGATATTGCCAAATCAGGTTTGTGGCCAAGAAACTTTTACCTGGAGTGGCAGGAGAGGGCCTACCTGTTCACCAGAGTGTCTGTGAATTTTCTTTTTTCTTCCTTTTTATTTTATTTATTTATTTATTTATTTATTTATTTATTTATTTATTGAGATAAAATGTCTCTCCGTCGCTCAGGTTGGAGTCCAGTGTCGCCATCTTGGCTCGCTGCAACCTCCAACTCCCAGGTTCAAGCGATTCTCCTGCCTCAGCCTCCCGAGTAGCTGGGATTATAGGTGCGTGTCACCACGCCCGGCTAATTTTTGTAGTTTTAGTAGAGAGGGGTTTCACCATGTTAGTCAGACTGGTCTCAAACTCCTGACCTCATGATCCGCCTGCCTTGGCCTCCCGAAGTGCTGGGATTACAGGCATAAGCCACCGCACCTGGCCTCTGCAACATTTTCTAAGTCAGTATAGAAGCTCTTTGAACCATCTTTTCAGTCAAAGAACTCATGAAAAAGTCCTCCAAGAACTTGTGACCTTCTGGAAATTGTCAAAATCTCTACAGGTGTCCAGAGTCATCTAGATCTGTATTGCAAGCTACTGACTGGGTTCCACCACTATTAAAGCAAATGCAAAATATGCCATGCCCACCAAAAAAAATCCAGAAGCCGTGGTATTTAGCTGTTTCCATCTTTCTTGCCTCCTGCAGGTGGGAGAGTACTGAGTATCATGCCCTCCTGCAGCCTCTGGAGGACATGCCAGTGCCTAGAGGTACCAGTAGAGAGGGGCCATGAAAGAGCAGATGACAGCCAGGTGGCTGGGAATGACATTGTCCTGGGGCTTATTGCTTGTCATGAACTCTGCCGCTGGGCAACATGTGCAGGTGTGGACCCGTGCCTTCTCTGGATCCCTGCCCCATCAGCCAGCTGTCTTATCTCCTGAAAGCTGATAGGTGTTGGTCAGCATGGTGTTCCAGGACCAGGGTTATATTAACATTCCCTCTTAGGCTGAAACACCAGAAGTTAACACAGGAGTCCCCAGGTGTGCACATACTAACCTCCAGATTGTTTTTCTTCTCGTTCTAGATGTTCATCCTTGCTTTTTGGGACTTGAAGTAACCCTACACAGCCAAATATTTATGCCTATTATCCACTTATGGAAAACTTATATGTCCCAAGTCCATAGGGTTAGTATTATTATCAGTATTAAAACCATTAGTACTAGTATCATGATGATCATTATTCCTGTTAATATCCATCAATATTTTTATTACTGCCATTGTTAATATGGATTTTTCATCATTGTACAGCAATGAATATAGTTTATCCATTCACAAATGGTGTTCAGTTACTAAAGATGACTGCAAGGCATGTGCTACAGACATATACACACACAGCTATCCTGGAGACCCAGCTTTGCCACCAATTGCTCTTTCGTAAGTTGAGATCCCCCAGTACCCACCAGTTTTTTCAGGACTCAACCTGAGCTGGCTCAGCTAGACCCGGAAAAGTTTCCTATGCCCAAATGTACTTGGAAAAATTTTAAAGTCTCTTCAGGGCCCAGTAATAGCTTTTGGCAGCTTCTAAGATCAGGGAGGGTTTCTTGGCCATTCAGAGCCATTCAAATATTCTAAGTAAACTCAAGGATCCAGAAACCCCACTTGCAGTCATGAAATACCAGTGAATAGCCTCTGTGAGTCTCTTCAAGGTTTTCAAAGATGACTGCCTGGGAAGGCTGGCCAGGAAGTCACCCAAGCCCAACCTTCGGCAGGATGTTCTATATCAGCCAGGGACCCAGGGAATTGCCATTGAACAGAAGGGAGGAACAGAGACAGCACGCCTGAGCTTCTGGAAACATTCTAAGTGCCCTTGTTGGCCCAGAAAAGACTGGTGCTACCATATGAGGCACAGACTTGGCAACCTACCTACTCCAGGAACCACAGAAGGTTTAAAGGTTCCCAGGAAGTCCCAGGAAGGGCAGCCATGGCCCTTTAGAGCCATCAGATTTTATTCTAAGTCTACGTGGGAGACAGTGCTCTTAGCTTCATAAAAACACCAGTGGAGGTGCTAACACTTGCCCCAGTATCCAGTCTTTTCTACCTCATCTCAGAGCCAGCAGTAACTATTTCCCAAAGCTGCTGTGCAATGAAAGGGGAATATTCTAGGTGCTCTCCTGTGCCCACGAAATTCTGTGGCTGTGCTGAAAGGCAGGAGATGTCCTCCGGAATGCTCTTCAGAAATCTGACAACACTGGTCAAGATTAAAGAAGCTCAATTCAACGTCATACAAAACCAATCCCCCCACCCCCCACAAAAAAAAAAATGCATAGTGAGACAAAATGATGAACACACCTGCTAATAATCATAAATGACAATAATAACAACAATGATGATCTTAGTGATAATGCCACCAACACTGTTAATGGCAATAACAATAAACCTGAAGGTAATGAGTGTTAGGGTCCCGATTCACCGATGTGAAGGATGGCGACAATTTCTGGCCTCACAGAAAATAAAGGAAAAGTAAACACCTGGAGGAGGAGGAGGTGAACCTGGAGCTCCCGCCGGCCTCTGGGCGCTCCTTGGTGGAAGGAGAGGGACTTGGTCCTGAGCCTGCCCCGGATCCACCTACACCAGAATCCCAGAGTCCCAGTCCCTGGATGGGCTCAGTCCCACCCAGGCCAGACGCCCCGGAGCCCCGCAGCCCGGGTCCTCCAGCCCTCGCTGCCGCCGCTTCTCGCGGAGCCGGGGCCGCCCCCGCGCCACCTCAGCCTCTGCGTGGCTCTGGGAGGGCAGCGCCGGAGGATGCTCCGGGCCCAGCGGGGGCATCCGGGGCCAGCGGGGGTATCCAGCCTCAGGCTGATACTGACGCCCTGAGGGCGCGCGGAAATAGGGCGGCCTGCGCAGGGCCCGCCGTCTCGGGCCTTGCAAAAAGAGCGGGCCTCTCCAACGCCCCTACCGGAACCTCCCCGGAGGCCCCAGCCCCAAAAGCCAGGGCGATGGCGCCTTCCTGACAATGGGTGAAGAAAACTCAGGTCCTCCCTGGAGACCCGGCCCGCCGCGGGAGGCAGGACCGCGCATGCGCCCTGCATGGCCGGAAAGGTGGGTTTCATTGCCCCTCTGCCGGCCATGAGGTGGCAGCACAGGACGTTTGGTCTTAGCGGTGGACCTGAGTCTGAATCACTGAAATTCAGGTGTGGATTATTCAGTACTTTCTTTTGGAAGATCAAATGGAAATTGAGTACGATATCTTGTGCTTTAATTAAAGAAGATGGAAATAAAGAAGCAAATTCAAAATCAGTATACAAAAGTCGATTGATTCCCTCTATGTGGAGGGAAGACGAGCTTGAATAAGAGAAGCATTCTGTGTTACGCTTTAATAATGGCTGGAGATTCTGCCACCATGCATTTGTCAAATCCCATAGAATTTTCACAGCACAAATAGTACATCTTAATGTGGCTCAGGAGTACATATAATGTCAGCCCCAGTTTGTGGGTAAATTACATATTTAATTAAATAGATTAAAACAATAAATAATGATTATGAGCTCTGCCTGGACACAGTCCTTGCCTCTCCAACCAGTTTGCCAAGGGCTTGAATTTCTTGCTCATTATCCTCACACTTGACATAAACCCTGGCTGCAGAGTAAAATCAATCACTCGTGGAGATTTTTTAATATGATGATGTGTCAATTTCAACCATGGATAAGGCCATTTAGCCTTAGTAAGGCCGATCGTATTAAGATTCTGCCTGTTTGACAAAATTTCAAGTCATCCCACTTGATATTCAGGAAACATTTTCTCTTGAGTTTTAGGTTCAGTGGTGAGGCTCCTTCACGGACAATACATTTTCCAATTCTGAGGACAAGGCAGAGGAGGGCCCCTCTGTGAGAACTTTCATTTTGCTTCGGGAAAAGTACATTGAATCAAATATAGAAAAGGCTTGCAAGGTGGCTGACAGGTTCGGCTGTTTTATCATGCTGGTGTTTTATCTTCTGGACTGCAGTAAAAGGAGCACAGCTGTGTCTGTCTCTGTGTAATAACTCAGGACTCACCTGAATAAAATGTGGGGTGTCATGAGATGAACTGCTACTTCCAGTTAGAGAGGCTCCAGGGACAAAATTTCAAGAGCCTTCTGAGGGATAGAAGAGAAGAGCTGCCTTATTCTCTGATCCCAGGTAACTGCTCAGAGACAGAGGCAAGAGCTGGGGACACCCAAATGCATATACTAGGGGTCTTTGATACAGCCTCCATTTCCCTGCTAAATCTATGCAATGACAAACTGAGAAATCTAGCAAGTGGGGCTGAAGATCCCTGGTGTGTCAACTCGAGGGTTGGATGGAAACAAGTGGTTTTGGTGGACGTTGAAGTAAAGGGAGGTGAGCTGTGAGGAAAGAGCTGTTGAAGACTGGGGAGACTCAGAAGTTGGGGTAGAATCTCCACCAAGAATCTCACCCAAGGAGTTCAGATGCAAATCAGTTTGTTAGGGCTGCATAAATGAAACAAGGGCTTCACCAACATACTAAGTTTTTTCAACAACAGATTGTATTCTTTCAATATTTGTAAGTATTGCTCTTTTGGAAAAGTTTAATGAGATTTCTTATATAATTCTGCATTCAATTTATTCCTTGGTCACTTTGCTATTATGCATTTACATGCCACATTTTTATGAATAGATATTTTCTCAAATTTCTGAATTATTTTGCTAAAGTATGTGTTAAGAGTTTTTTCTAGAGGTCCACCTTCTTGACTCACTTTTCTGATGAGAAATCTATCAGGTTTCTCCACAGTGATTTTCAAGTTTGATAGCTCCTCAACGTGAGAAACTTAATGTCAACTAAGAAATGAATTACCACTAAAGAATTTTCTTCTTTCAAGATGCTAACCCTGTTTTGTCCAGTGTGAAATCTCACATGTGCCACATGTGTTGCTCTATGAAGAAAGGATTTCTCATGATTTTTCATTGCATAACTTCTCCAGTAAGAAGTATTTGGTATTCCAAGAGAATTCATTGCCCTTGGAAAGACTTTCCCTTGTTATTTAGCTTATGAAGGCTTTCCTCTCTTATTTTCCATTTTAGCAGCATTTTGTCACTCTTCTCTTGTGAATATCAAGCCTGGTGCTTGGCTGAATGTTCATTCACAGAAAAATACAAATAAAGGGTTCATCCAAGTAAAGTTTTCTCATGTTATTTGACAATAAATTGCAAATAAAAACATTTTCACACTGAATGCAGAGTTAGAGATTCTCTACCTGAAAGTCCCACATGTTTTAAGTTAAAGCTGTTGCTGAAGACTTTTAGTTGATTATGCTGACAGTTTCAGCTCTCTCATGTCATTTATGCTCAGATCACTAACAAGTCTTTGGTACATACATGTCATACAATTTCTCTTCCATATGAATTTATTGATGTGGGCTGAAGAATAAAGGCAACTGAAGTATCTTCCATGTTGATTACAGTATTTCTTCAAAATGTGAGTCCTTTGGCATGTTTAGATGCTACAACTACAGCTGAAGTCTCTTCCACATTCCTTACCTTCGTCATTCCTAACACTGTGTCATCTAAAGTCAGAATATGTTCTGAAGAAGTTTATAATTTTCTCTCCAGGGTGAATTTTCTGATGCTTTTTAATATTAGTACATTGACTGAAGGCTTTCCCACATAAATGGCATTCATATGGCTTTTCTCCAGTGCATGTTCTCTCATGTCATCTAAGGTCGGAAGACAGACTGAAGGCCTTCCCACATAGAAGACAAGCATGAGGTTTCTCTCCAATGTGAATTATTTTGTTTCCTCTAAAGCCAGAGCTTTGACTAAAGGCTTTCCCACTTTTATCACATTCATAACACTTTTGTCCAAGGTGAGTTCTCTCATGTCTTCGAAGGTTAAAGGATTGAATAAAGGCTTTCCCACACTGATGACACTTATATGGTCTCTCTCCCGTGTGAGTTTTCTCATGTCTTCTAAGGTGAGAACACTGAGTGAAGGCTTTTCCACATAGATGACATGCATATGGCCTCTCTCCAGTGTGAGTCATCTTGTGCCGTCTAAGGTAAAAGCAATTAGTATAGGCCTTTTCACACAGATTACATTGATATGATTTACCTTTAGTATGAATTTGTTTACGTGGTTTAGGGGACAAAAGATTACGAAGGGATTTTCCACACTGTTTGCTGACATAGGGTTTCTTTCCACTGTGAGTTAACAAACACTGAGTTATTGTGGAACTGTGAGTGCAATCTTCTCCCGAATCATTATATTCAAAAGGATCCTCCAGAATGAGAGAGTTCTCCTTTGGGACAAAGATTAAAAGCTCTTAATGGTTTACCCACATATATCTATACATTCATTTCACTACCTTTGAATCCTAGACCAACCATTCAGTGGTAGACCCCAGTTGAAATCTTTCCAATGTTTCTTGTGTGAAAGGAAATTAAATTTTGGGACCCCAAACTCATTTAACCAAAGGGAAAAATCAAGCTGGGAACTGGGTCACACAAACCTGCCTCCCCCTTCTGGTTCCTAAATAATATGACTACAAGATGAAAAGCTACATGCCTCCCCCATATTTTGCCCACAAGGAAATTCCTCATGAGCTGTTAAAATTACACCACGGCAATGCAAACTGATAACTTGTCTTTACAGGTGCAGTCATCCCAAGTTCACCAGACACAAATGCATATCTGATTGTTTCCCTGCCCCCATTTTGCCTATGTTGTCTTATGTAAAATGCAGCTTTCCTGCATTATTCCTCTGCCTCATTTGTTTATGTCATGTTATGTAAAAAAATCCAGATTCACTGAGCCAGAAAAATGCATGAATGACTATTTTTTCTACCCACCTTTTACATGAAAATTGTGTACTTCTCAATATCCCAGCCTTTCCCCTTTGAATTTGGAGCCTTCAAAATCATCTTTGGAGAAAGGCATACACCTGTCCCCTGGGTGCATGTCCTTAACTTTGGCAAATAAATCTCCTAAAATGATTGAGACTTGTCATTTTTCTCGATTGACATTTGCATACACATTATCTCCTGCAGACACAGGTATGTTCTCTTCTGTAAGATCTCAACTGCAGAGTTATTGCATAATTGTGATGATATCAATATCTTTCAATGTCTGGGCATGAGCAATGTATATGCACTTGCTCTATTTTAGAGATCTCATGTTATGATTTAGAACAGAGGTCAATGTATTCACTAAATTCAAAGTCTCCAGTTTTTTTCTTTGCTTAGAAAGCACTTAATGCCAGCCTAATTACACTCAGGTGATTGTGCTTCATTATTAACTTAACCCATTACCATATCTTTAACTTAGATGACTGGTGTACACAGCTATAAAACTTACCATTGTCATACTGGTGGATGCGTCTTTTCTGATGATAGGATGCATGGATATCATGTGTTTTTTCTTAAGGGCACTTTCCCTGTCTGAAATAATTGAAAAATAAATTGTTACATTGGTATTATGGTAATAAAATTGTTTGAAAAGCCCCAAGGCCCATTTACTTTTTTTCAAAAATTGACACTTAGATGTGGCAAGTGTGTCAAATGAAGAAACTACTTGAATAGAAGAAATAGATTGTACAGTGTCAGCAATTAGAAAAGATTTTTAAAATTAAAATGTGAAAAGAGTTAAAATGGAGATGAGATATCAGGCAAGTAAATAGAGGGATAGTCTTCACAGGGGTATCAGGGAAAGGGTCAGCATATGAAAGTTTAACCCCAGCCAAGTACATGAATTGTCTTTTTCCCAAAAGTAAAAGAAAAGAAAAAAAAGAGGACACAAGAGTAACATCTGACACATGAACAAAATGATAATAACATCTAAGGAATTCTGCTCCAGTAGCCTAACCTACATTTTAGAAATTATCACTCATTTAATAAAACCACTAATTAATATTCAACTGATATTATTCATTGAGAAAGCACCTCCTCCTATTAGGACACAGGACCCTGTTGCTTACCTGGATTCTGGTCTTGAAGAAATACTCTTCCTTCCCGCCACAGCTCTTTTCCTTGCTCCAGCTGCAAAATTATATAGGATTTGCTTATCTGGTACCCTGTTAGTGGAAAGAATACATGTGTTTTGAGTTCACTGTCAATAAATGTGCATTATCACCAAGTGTAAGGCAGGCTATCAAGGAAGAATAAAAACAGTGAAGGTCAGCTCAGGCCACAAGACCTAGAACACAGAAAACTCCCCAGGATTTTTCTGACCCAACTTGAGACTAGAAAATAAATCCAAACCAAAGGGCCATCAGGAAAAGGAAATTCAAAACAGTCAGGACCTATGAATGCTGAGTCCATGCCTAAGTTCCAAGACACAATGCATAATACACAATCTTTTCAGAAAGAGAGTAATTAAATCTCTGCACATTGTGTTTATTATTATTCTCACGCAGAACAAAAAAAAACATTCGATTTACAAAAATAATTGGTGTTCTATATGGAAAAGATATTGCTATTGTTTTCACTAATTGGTCTCAGCCTAAGCATAGACTAAAGCAGAAGAGTTATTTAGAGAGTATTTAATTTAATACATTGAAAATATTCATTATGTTCCCAGGTCTGTTATGAGTATTAGAGACTGAGGACCAAAGACACCATGAAATACTTGTCAAGATTACATTCTAATTGAGTGACAAACTAAATAAAATAAAATAAAAAGAAAGATACTTATTTAAGATAGATTTAGAGAGTTCAAACTTTTTTCAGATGAGATCTGTGAGAGAATCAGAGAAGAGATTAGAGTGAGATATGGGGAAGCTGTTCTAACACTTATTGAATGAATGAGCGAATGTGTGTCTACATATGTACGTGAATGTTGAGGGACTCACCGAGGGACACCAGGTGACTGATATTTTCCAGCATCACATCTCTGTACAGCTTTCTCTTGGATGTGTCCATCATGTCCCACTCTTCCTGGGTGAAGTCAATAGCTACATCTTCAAAAGTCACTTTCTCCTAAAACATCACAGACATTTTAGTTTAGACAGAGAAATCCCTTTCAATGTCCGGAAGAGGAAGGCTGAGATGATATAGCTAGGAGCTGGGTATGCAGAATACTCAGTGTTTTTGGTTCCAGCCAGTTCATTCTCAGTACTAAGCTGGTATCTGCCTTTCAGATTCACTCACAGAGATATACCCACTCTGAATCCATTAAACTTTACTATAAAGAAATATTGCATGAGGTGTGGCATAATATAACCCAGATATTTTTCAGTAATGTCTTAATCACCTCTACATAACTGCTTATAAAATTTTCACTTGAACATTCATAAATAAAATGAAATTTACCATGAATTTCAAGTAAATTACAGATTTGTCACAAGGCAAATAACCATGATTTACTACTTTTTAAACATGACTGCGATGAAATAAATTATTTCTCTAGATGAAAGACAGGTTTCTCCCCAATCAAATGGTTAAAAGACCAATGATGTGTTTTGAATAATCTAATGAACTAATAGAAAATGTGTTTCCTACCTAGCAAATATTTATTAAATATAAGTCATTGGTCCCTTATTCATTCAAAAGTTAGAAAGTAATGAACCAGACTCCAGCATTCTTCAGAACTGAACGCTTTATGCAGAATATAGGATTCAATTCATACATATAGTCTCTCTAATGTTATATAATTCAGGTGTTCATGAAAAGGCTTGAAGACAGTCTAGCAGCACAAGACAAGACTGCTGAGGCTGCTATACTGAGGAAATCTTAGTCCGATGATTCCTGTGATATGAAGCCTCCTGTTCTCAACTTTCTCTCGGCAGTCCAAACATCAGTTATCATTGTTTCTCTTTTAAATTGACCTTCTCACTTCACTTGTTCAAAGATTAAGAAAGCCTCTTCATTGTTTTTTTTTTGTAACCAGCCCTTATAAAGCATTTCCACAGAACCCTAAATTGTACTCTATCTACTATATTCCTTCTTCTGAGTGTGCAACCATAATTAAATAATTATATTTCCTATATGTTACTTTCACTTACCAGAAGGCAAAAAAGTTAATTACCAAAAGGTAAAATGAATGGGGATAAGAATAGTAATGACTTCTTTAGTTGTCCTTTCACAAAGTTTTTAAAAGCTCAAATATATTTTATAAAACTCTTCTTTTCCCTCAACACTGCACAGCTCTTGCCCAAGTCCTATCACACTGGATTTATTGAACTCAGCTGCTAGAACATCAGACTCATTGTTGGGCTGTGATGTTCTGCTCTTCACTCATCTCTGTCGTCTGCATTCATCACAATCCTAAGTCTATTTCAGCCAACAGTACAGTTAATGGGTCAATTATTTCCCTATGAGATTATAGGATGGATAGAAGAAAAAGAAATATATAAATGAAACCTCTCATATCTTTTTTTGTAAATAGTCTTAATAAGGGCTGGAATAAAGTAGTGTAATATTAGAAATTATATTGATAATTTAGGAGTCTTTGACACACGATACCCAACCTAGAGTCCTGAGAAAACTTAATTGGAGGCCAGATACCTGAAAGCCTCCTGACTGCATTTGGAACACCCAGGCTGGGTGGATTTTACATCATAAAAACAAACAAAAAAAGAATAAAAATGAAACACCCATGCAAATTGGAGAAAACTGCCCATTTGCCAGCAATATGGGTATAATTTCAGTAGAAAGAGGCATCCCCTACTCACTAGTGAATGCATTGTCAGGAACTCAGTTTCTCTCTGTCTTCCTCTGGATTTCCACTTGCAGACACTTTAGGCACTAAGAAAAGCTGAGGTTGGAGAAAGAACATGTGAGACACCAGTCTTGTGCACAATTTTCAGATCAACCTGTGATGAAAAGCCAGACTTTCACTGAAGTGTGACACCAGCTGCACCACAGCCTAACCAACAGACACAAACACGCAGAGGCCTCTCCTCTTTTCCCGTGGTCAAAATTAGGAAGCCTATGACTATGGTTGCTAATAAACAAGGAACACAGATATCTTGTGAATGAGAACATCAAAAGCACGGAGTTTTGTATGTTAATTGGCACAAGTCCAGATATTCAATTCCCTCACTGATTTTAAAACACAGGGATCCCTGACTCCATCCACATGTGGAATATGATTTCCACCTATAGATAAACACTGGGATTTCTCAGATTTTATTATCCTAGCTTTATGCCCTAGCAACGTTTCTCCAACACCCACCACAGCCTTCTGAAGCCTTACTCCACTTTTATTTTCACTCAACTCTGACTTTTGTATTTCCCCTTGGAACGTGGAAATAATCAAGTAAGAATCTGTTTTAGGGTCGAGTGCGGTGGCTCACGCCTGTAATCCCAGCACTTTGGGAGGCCAAGGCAGGTGGATCACCTGAGGTCAAGGGTTCGAGACTAGCCTGGCCAACATGGTGAAACCCCATCTTTACTAAAAATACAAAAATTAACTGGGTATGGTGGTGCTTGCCTGTAATCCCAGCTACTCAGGAAGCTGAAGCAGGAGAATCTCTTGAACCCAGGAGGCAGAGATTACAGTGAGCTGAGATCCCACCACTGCACTCCAGCGATGGCGACAGAGTGAGACTCTGTCTCAAAAAAAAAAAAAATCTGTTTTAGGATGGGGATAATGAATTGAGGGATTTATTTCACTTAGAGGGTCAACACTCCCATCCTGCTAATCTAGCCCTTAAAATCTCCTGCATCGGAAATTAGCAGGAGTACCCTGAGTCATGGTGTTTCTGTCCTGTGTATACAGTCACAATCGTCTAGGATGCTCAGAAAATACAAAATGACATAGGGGTGGGAGAAATTTAGCAGCTCAATCTGATGTTTCACTAACGTGGTATCTAAAATTCTTGCAATCATGGTTTATATTAGTCTTTGTTAGCTGCAATATCTGTGATTATCATGATACATATTTGCTGAGAAATACCCATGTCCATGTATATATTCGTACATAGATATGTAGGTATATAGGTGCATATGTTTATATGAGTGTATGTGTTTGAGACAGGGGGAAACATGCATGTATTATTTCCTTGCTAAAAATATAAAAATAATTAAATATATTTTATGTGCAAGTGATAATTATGTGTCATAAACAAAAAATTTACTGACCCCTTTGTACATGAAGTCCAGGAAAAATAAAAAGGGTAACTTTGTATTAATTGTGACATTGTGCTTACAGATGTACATATATTTCCTTATTTAACCCTCATAATAATCCTGCTGATTATAATTTATTTACCAATTTAATAAATGATCAACAGGGTTTGAATAATATGACAAAATTACAAAATTAGAAAATGGCCCAGCAATACTTTTAATTATATTCTGCCTGTCACTGCCTCTTCTTGCTTTTTGACAAAATTACTCCCCTAACCAAGGTTCTCTATGATTCTGGGGACTCCAGCATTTAGACCCCAGTTCCCAAACATCATTGTGTCTATTTTTACTGCCACATTTAATGCACATTTACAGACTTCAACAAGCACTTTTCAATATCAACTTTTTTCTTATTCCTTGAACTATTTTCTACATCTGTTCATCAAGACTCCAGTAACATATGACTCCATCTGCCTGTCCCTTCCATGAATGTACCTGACAGTACATGTATTATGTAGCCTACAATTCAAGCAGAACAGATATTCCTTCAAAAAAAATAAGATATTAGAGAATGCCGACAAAGCTTCAGTGTAACCAGCTGTAACCCTTAATATTATTACCATGTAAACTCTTCCTCGAATATCAAAATAAGATTTGGGCTTTAGAGAATATTTGTGTGTAATTATAACCCAAACATGAACTAAAAGTAATTTAACTGGTCATATACAGACCGTGCCAGGGACAAAAAAGGACAAATATTATAAGAAAGTTAAAGCATACTTATTTCATAAAGGACTCTTGTGTGGAATCTATCAAAACGATTTCAAGATGTAGAGATTAAATATATTTTAAACCACATACATACACAAGCAATCTTTAGGAGAAACTTTTAAAAACTTATGTTATAGGTCTAAAATTTTCATTAATTCATGGAAAAAAAATGTATTGACAAACTTTTCACCAGAGCAGAAATAACAACTTATGTATTTGGTGACTTCAAGATGAGAGCCTGCACAGCTTAGTATCTCCCTCCAGTTGTCTCTCTCTCTCTCTTTTTTTTTTTTTTTTTTGGTAGAGTTTCACTCCTGTTGCCCAGGCTGGAGTGCAGTGGCGCGATCTCGGCTCACCGCAACCTCCACCTCCTGGGTTCAAGCAATTCTCCAGCCTCAGCCTCCTGAGTAGCTAGGATGACAAGCATGCGCCATCGTGCTCGGCTAATTTTGTATTTTTAGTCGAGACGGGGTTTCTCCATTTTGGTAGGGCTGGTCTAGAACTCCTGACCTCAGGTGATCCGCCAGCCTCCGCCTCTCAAAGTGTTGGGATTACAGGCGTAAGCCACCGTGCCCGGCCCAGATCTCTTAAAAAGTCATGAGGAATGAGCCATTCTGCATCCTCAATATTACCTTAATATTTTAAGGGCACCCGTAAAAATTAAGAGGCCAACTTGTGACTTCTTAGCCCTTTCACGGCTATTTAGACACACGTTAGTGAAGTATTAGGAATGCAGTATTAGGTCTCAAGTTCCTGGACAACAAAACCATGTTCTCCAACAGATCTTCAGTAAAAATAGCTGATGTCTATATTGTTTTGCCTGTCCTTTCCCTTCCTTTTAATTCAGAACTGCAGTCTCGAAAAGTGCTATTATTTAGTAGATTCTCTCAATTCTCAACACCAGTGCTATACAATGTTGAATGACATCTGAGGTGCTAGGGAAACAGCAGCTCACATTCTAGCAATGAAAAAATAGAAAAGCAAAGATCACCACAGAGTAAAAGAGAATAGATTTTTTTAAAGTATGAAACCAGAACGAATATATATCAGATTACACTATAAATGGAAAATCCTATTATCTTGACGGGATTGCAAGTCAGATTACACTATAAATGGAAAATCCTATTATCTTGACAGGATTGCAAGCCTCTCATGGCTTCCAACCTCCAATATATTCAAAGCAGTTCAGGAATGGTGAAAGTGGAATGGAATTTAAAATTATTCTAAGGTTTTATGTGTGAAAGCATCATGCCCTGAAACAAAATATTTATTTTTAAAGTGCATAATGAACACTGCATATAAAGTTTATGTAACAGGAGAGAGGAAATATCTCACATTTTAAAAAAAGGAATATGCAACATATTTATATACAATAAAATTAAATTAAATTAAAATACAGCAATGGAAGACAGAATCTAACATCTGAAAATCAAGGGAGAAATCTATTTTAAATAAACTTGTCACAATTTTAAAAGTAAGTTATGAAAAATAATAATACCTGAATATAGTACATAAAAGTACCAATACAATAAAGCTAAAACAATATCGATGGAAAAATTATTTGCTGTGCATTATTTTAAAAAAATAATCTAAGTACTTACCTCAATAAGGTAAAAGAATGAAATTTAAAAATTGCTTGAGAAAATCTGTGAAAGGAAATGAATATAGAGAAGCAGAATATAATTTAACTATAAACCACACAAATAGAATTTAAAAATAAGTGGTAGCCAACATGCCCAACACGATTTTCTGTGATGAAAGAAATTCTCTATATCTGCATTGTCCAATGCAGTAACTACCACACATATGTAGTTACAGAATTTCTAGTTTGGCCAAGACTTTGGCTATTACTACTAAGGATATGTCATTTAGTTATTTAATTATAATTAATTTACAGTTTATAGTCACATGTGACTAGTAGTTACTATATTGGCCAATGCAGATCTAGAATCTTGGAGGAGGCAGTTCAAATAATGAGATATGGTCAAAATAAAAGTGGAAAAGGCACACAAATAGTGAACACAGATTATGAGAATGTGAAGTAACAATTCACACAATAAAATGTAATAATGAGATGCTGCCTTGATGGGACAAATGTCTAATGATATACAAGGCTTGTCTTGTTACAGGTAGAAGAGCATGAGCAGGGCAGGAGAGGGCTCTTCCCCTACCCACTAGAAATGTCAGGTGATGGCCTGTCAATTATCACATTGCCTCTCTAAAAATGATAATTAGGCAGCACCAAAGAGAGGCCATTTCCTGATGGTCTACACCTGTTAACATCAAAAATGTTAGTTAAATGCAGACCTCAGGAAGAAGCAACTTCTTGGGCATGCATGTTAAGAGACAAAAATGGCAAAGCATAATCTTCCGGGGGCACGCTCCACCGGAAAAGGAAAGAAAGCTTCAGATGGACATGCATATAACTCCCTAAACACACCGTGCATGCTCAATTTCAAAGGGTAAGGAAAGCACTGTGCAAGCCGGAAACGCTCCCTAAAGTTAGAATCATGGGAAAGAGGAAAACCCATGGCAGGATCAAGGTTAAAGGCTCTTCTCTTTTCTTTCTTGGACATTCAGGCATCTGTTCGGGTCTCTTCCAAGAGAATTTTCCTCTCCTTCCTGTTCTAAAGCCTTTTTAAATAAACTTCCACTCCTGCTCTGAAACTTACCGCTCAGTCTCTTTTTCTGCTGTATGCCCTTCAGTCAAATTATTTCTTCTGAGGAGGCAAGGACTGAAGTTGCTTATGGACCCATGCAGATACGCTGCCAGAAACTGGAATCTCTTCTACTGGTAACAGTATCATTGTAAGGGAATGAGGCCAGTTCACATCTCAGTGCTTGGAGAACTCACCAGAAATAAAAAGTTGGAGGATGCAGTGAACTTATCTACCTTCCAAGGCAAGTCCCACAAGCAAGCAGCAAGACTCTCTTTCCCCAAGGTCGTATAGCAAAGACATGGAATCAACCTAGATGCCCATCAATGTTAGAGTGGATAGAGAAAATACAGTATATGTACACCATGGAATACTACACAACCATAAAAAAATTATGTCCTTTGCACCAACATGGATGCAGCTGGAGGCCATTATTCTAACATAATGCAGGAAGAGAAAACCAAATACCATATGTTCTTAGTTATAAGTGAGAACAAAGCGTTGGTTACACACGGATGTAAAGATCGGAACAACAGATACTGGGGACTACTAGAGGGGGAAGGGAAGGTGGGGACAAAGGCCTTAAAAACTGTCTATTGGGTATTATGTTTTCTATCTGGGTTACAAGATCATCCATACTCCAAGCCTCAGCATCACACAATGTGCCAATGTAAAAACCTGCACATGCATCTCCTGAATCTAAAATAAAAGTTGAATTCTTTTTTTAAATGCTCAAAGATCTGGCTAACACGGTGAAACTCTGTCTCCACTAAAAAAAGAAAAAAAAAATTACAAAAAATTAGCTGGGCATGGTGGTGGGTGCCTGTAGTCCCAGCTACTTGGGAGGCTGAGGCACGAGAATGGTGTGAATCTGGGAGGCGGAGCTTGCAGTGAGCCGAGATCACGCCACTGCACTCCAGCCTGGGTGACAGAGCGAGACTCCATCTCAAAAAAATAATAATAATAATAAAAATGAGCAAAGATCTGAGTAGACATTTCCCAGAAGAACAGATACAAATGGCCAACAAATATGTGAAAATATTCTTACCATCTCTAATCATCAGGGGGATGCAGATAAAAACCACCATGAAATATCACCTGATACCTCTTAGAATAGCTATTATCAAAAAGATGTATAACAAGTATTAGCGAGGATGTGGAGAAAAGATAACCCTTGTATACTTGCGGTGGAAGTACAAATTACTATGTCCATTTCAGATAACAGTATGAAGGTTTCTCAAAAATTTTTTAAATAAAACTACCTGCTGATGAGGCTGTTGAGATATAAGAACACTTTTACACTGTTGGTGGGAATGCAATTTAGTTCAACTATTGTGGAAGACAGTATGGTGATTCCTCAAAGACCTACAACCAGAAATACCACTTGACCCAGCAATCCCATTACTGGGTATATACCCAAAGGAATATAAATCATTCTATTATAAAGATACATGCACACATATGTTCATTGCAGCACTATTCACAATACCAAAGACATGGAATCAACCCGAATGTCCATCAGTGACAGACTGGATAAAGAAAATGTGGTACGTATACACCATGGAATACTATGCAGCCATAAAAAGGAATGAGATCATGTTCTTTGCAGGATCATGAATGGAGATGGAAGCCATTATCCTCAGCAAACTAACCCACGAACAGAAAACCAAACACTTCGCTTCTAACTTACAAGTGGGAGCAGAACGGTGAGAACACATGGATATTAGGAGGGGAACAACACACACTGGGGCCTGTTGGGAGGCAGGTGGAGGGAGAGTAT